>NC_000002.12:94823082-95150149 GCF_000001405.40 Homo sapiens
AAATTCACTGGTTTAGTTCAAATGAACTAAGAACAGTTAGATAAAGACTATAATCTATATAAAAATAAATAGAGAATAACATTTCTTTGTATTTTATATTTTGAGAGTTTCAATGAAGCTTAATGTTTACTGAAATATTTAGTTCTTTAAGAAATACTTCTAATCATCCAAAACTTCAACAAACCACTTGGGGAGACACTAGATATCACCAGGTTCAAGCCATATGAAATCTCAGGGTCACTCACAAATTGTTCCACCCAACATAAATCAACAAAACTGTTAGAAACAAAACAAAATTTTGAAATACAGTCAAAATATACAATGTAACACTTTACTATACTTCATAACAGTATCTTTTTAACAAGACACTAATTGAGTTGGCAGTTACTAATAATTTGCAAAATTATTGTTGTTCATACCTTAATTAGTGTGCACCCCATTTTTTACATCGCAAATGTTTTCCCCTACTATTCTGAAAAATCTATTTTCATCTTTTAAGACTCAGAAAGTAGGCTGGGCATAATAGCTCACATCTGTAATCCCAGCACTTTGGAAGGCCAAAATGGGAGAATTGCTCAAGGCCAGGAGTTTAAGACCAGCCTGGGAACCATAGATAACCTTGACTCTACAAAAAATTGGACAGGTATGGTGATATGTGCCTGTAGTCCCAGCTACTCAAGAAGCTTAGGTGAGAAGATCCCTCGAGCCCAGGAGTTTGAGGTTGCAGTGAGTCTCGATCACACCATCGCACTCCACCCTGGGTGATAGAGTAAGAACTTGTCTCCAACAACAGAAAAAGAAAAAAAAAAGGCTCAGAATGCTGTGTGAAGTCTTCCTTGATTCTAGCTATCTTTCTCCACACACACGGGTATCTGCTTCATTGGAGTCCCTTAGTACTTTGTCAATTTTTCCAGTGTCACTTTACCACCTGAACTGCACATCATGTCTTAACATGTCGATCCCCTTTGCTGCTAGACTGTAGAGGACAATCTTTTGAATCATCTTTGTATAAACAGTCTTAATTTTGCTAAATAATTACTTATTGAGTTCCTGCTAAGTGTTAGGCACTGGGGTATAAGGAAGGAAAATAAAAGCTGTCAGGGATGGCTTTCCTAAAGATCATGCATGAGCTGAGACTTAGAGAGTAAGGTTAGCCAGATTAAGTGAGGCAGAGGGCAAGAAAGGGTGAGCACATGCCAGGCAGCAACAAGAGGGGGAGAGAAGCCTCCAAGAGAGTATGTATTTCTCTGCAAAAGAGGAATGGTGAGGGGGCCATTACCAGCAGCTCAGTAATTCCAGAGAAAAAGGCAGATGGGGAAAGGGCTGCAGATGGGGAAAGGGCTACAGATGGAGATTTGGGCAGAAATCAGTTTCCTTTTCTTTCCTTTTTTTGGGACAAGGTCTTACTCTGTCTCCCAGACTGAAGTGCAGTGGCATGATCTTGGCTCACTGCAACCCGGCCTCCCAGGTTCAAGCAATTCTCCTGCCTCAGCCTCCCAAGTAGCTGAGATTACAGGCATGTGCCATTACCACCTGCTAATTTTTGTATTCTATTAGAGATGGGGTTTCGCCTTGTTGGCCAGGCTGGTCTTGAACTCCTGACCTCAAATGATCCACCTGCCTCAGCGTCCCAAAGTGCTGGGATTATAGACACGAGCCACCATGCCCAACCCAGAAATCAGTTTCTGAAATCCTTATATAAAACTTTAAGATGCTTGGACATAGGTATTCAGGAGTGGTTCACAGATCTATTTGCATTAGAGATAATTAACTCTAATTATTGTGAGGAGCATAAAATTCTGAGGCACATAAATCAATGAACAAAGATAAAATATAAGGCAGTGTTGCAAAGATGCTGCAGGCCTGAGGAGATGTTTTCAGAAATATTTAGGATACAAGTATCAGTGGCCATTATAAGAATGAATTTTTATTGAATGAATAAATGTATATATCTGGGTCCCTGGAGAAATACACTCTGCTCATTACTTTACAAATTTTATCAAATGAGAAGTAAAATAATATACATAAACTGTTTCAGTTACTTGTATTTACTTTACACTTTTTCTGTTTCAGTTTTACTGTGCCAAGGAAATGCATTTGGGTTTTGTGGTGGTTGTTGCTGCTGCTGTTGTTGCTGCTGCTGCTGCTGTTGTTGTTGTTGTTGTTGTTGTTGTTGTTGTTTGAGATGGAGTTTCACTCTTGCTTCCCAGGCTGAAGTGCAGTGGTGCAATCTCAGCTCACCACAACTGCTGCCTCCCAGGTTCAAGTGATTCTCCTGCCTCAGCCTCCCGAGTAGCTGGAATTACAGGTATGTGCCACCATGCCCAGCTAATTTTGTGTTTTTAGTAGAGATGTGTTTCTCCATGTTGGTCAGGCTGGTCTCAAACTCCCAACCTCAGGTTATCTGCCCGCCTCAGCCTCCCAAAGTGCTGGGATTACAGGCACGAGCCACCGCGCCCAGCCATATATGGGGATTTTGTTTTAAAAGTTCTGTTTCCTGGATCTACCAAGCTCATGAGAAAATAGAAGCAAACAAGTCATTTGCATAGGTAAGAAACCTTGCATTTATACTTCGTCATCACTACTCTAGAAGATTATCATCATGTTATGTAAAATAAAATGTTAATTCTAGACATAAGGGGAAAAAGAAATTAAAACTATAGGGGTGAAAAAATATTGCATAATTTATTACTGTTGACCTGATCATATGACTGATTAAGGGCACTGAATTTAACTTGTATGTGAAGTAGACCCCATATTAGCTGCAGTTAATCAATAGACCAGGTATTCTAGCAGAATTAAATTTGATGCTCCTGTGTTATCTTTAAATGATACAGCTCTTCTGAAAACCCATACTCATAGTGCATGATTATCCATTAAGACAAGGTGATGGAATGTGTGAATACAGCTGAGGAGACACCACAAGGCAAACGCTCAATGGTTCCCATTAATATTGGGGAAATCAACATTATAATACAGAAAGCCATAGGCATTATTTAATATTTGGTTTTGGAAGGTATTTTTAGTGACAGTGCATACAGTTGTACCTAATAATTGCAAAATTAGAGATGTAAAAATAAAACAAAGGCACACTGTGTTTGAGTAGGAAATCTGTAGACGTCTAGCTGGTTTTCTATTCCAGGCCCAAAATTCTAAATATAATCATGGTACCCGCACACAAATTTATGTTAAATACCAACTTCAATGAAATTACTCTTTCTCCTCATTCTCTTTGTTATTTATATGTTGCTTTCCTTAAGGGAAGAATACAAATGCCTTGCTAAGAAGCATTCTGTTTGGTTGTAGGCTGCATAAAGGGAGTAAACACAAAGTACATTTGACCACAAAATGACTTTTTAAAAGCTAGAACTATGGTAGCATGAAGCCAACTGAGGTAATCTAGAATAAAATTTTCTATGTTTGTTTCCCTTCTTTGCTCTCTTTCTACTCTAATAACTGCGATTCACAGAGGTAATGAAGAGTATAATTCCCTGATAAAAACACAGCTCCAAGATTAATCCTTTCTTTAACTATGAAGTTCGCGGGTCCAAAGTCTTGTAGTTGCTGTCTGATTTTTGATCATGGATGGTGATACAGATATTTATCATCAACTCATAACTTCCCAAATCTTTGAAAAGTCTTACTATTGATGGTTCAACTAGTAGAAACATAATCTAAAATATCTGACAATAAAGTTTTTATTAGAATGTAAATAGTAATACAAATTGTAATAAGGTGTAAAAGTTCTTTCTTCACTGAAGCAGGACCATGATGTCCTGTACCCCACAAACACACTACTCCCTCATGGTCTAATGTATTTTAAAAGTCCTGTAATTGCTATTAACTCAGACAAGTTTACTTAACTTGTTCTAAGCTTCTGTTATTTACTACAATTTACTTTATCACTCAACAATCTCTATTATATATGTTGTTTTCCATGAGAAATTTTTTTATTAATAATTAGGATTCTTCAGGGATAAGAAAATATTTGAATAACTAAGTTTGTGCATAAACACATTAAGGTCAAATACCCATGACAATATTGTGTGTTTCTGTGTACTAGAGACAAAAACTTCAAAAAAAATTTTAATGAATATACATTAAAAACTGCTTTCATTACACTGAGATGATCTTCCCTCAATGCATGAATACCTTCAGAATTCACAAAGACCAAAGAATTGTATAAAATATAATAGCCTTAAAAATCTTATTTGTACCTGGCACAGTGGCTCCTGCCTGTAATCCCAGCATACTGGCAAGCTGAGGCAGGCAGATCACCTGAGATCAGGAGTTTGAGAGCAGCCTGGCCAACATGGTGAAACCCCATCTCTACTAAAAATAGAGCATTTAGCAGGGTATGGTAGCACATGCAGGTAGTATCAGCTACTCGAGGGGCTGAGGCAGGAGAATTGCTTGAACCCGAGAGGCAGAGGTGGTAATGAGTCAAGACCGAGCCACTGCACTCCAGCCTTGGTGACAGAGCAAGACTCTGTCTCAAAAACACAAACAAACAAACAAAAAACCTAATTGTTCCCACATAAGTCTATGTTCACACAAGATCTGAAGAGTACACAACACCGTGAGACAGGACAGACATAAATTTTAAAAGTTATATTCTGGTTTCTGTAAAAATAAAACGGTTGAATTTAAGCTTTTAAGACAAGTCAAGGAAAAGAGCAAAAAATGCAAAAGTGAAACTTGAAAGGTCATTTTCCCATCAAGGGCTCATGATCCACTGGACATTCACAAACTATATTGTTCAAAACATTAGTTCTGAATTTTGATCTGAGTATCCCCGGAGTTGCAGTTTCATTCAAAGATGTCCAAGAGGTCAAATAAGACAATATCATTTGCTATTTTCAGTTTTCTTTTTTGAGAACAGCACAACAAACTTCTTCAGAGAAATGAATCGTCCTAACTTCATAGGCTAAAGGCTCATGAGTCACAGTTCTAAGGGCATTTATAAAATATGGTGGTGCATGCTTGTATTCTGAACTTTTCAACTTTAAACTCTCATATAGTAAATATTAATAAATACAAACTGATTAAAGAAAAGCCCACTTAATCTGACATTATTTTTATTTTTCTTTCTTTCTTCATTTATCAGCAACAGGAGAGTCTAACTAAATGTGGTAAAGTGGTATAAGGGAATACAATGAAAAGTGTAAAATGAATTAAACCAGAGATAATCATATCAATGTGGATACATCTGGAAAATATAATACAAAATACACCAAAGAAAGTGGCAGAAAGGTATGTAAAGTGTATAACCACTCACATACCATTTTGGGACACAAATAAAAAATTCTGCATATTATTTCTGAGCATCACAATATAGTTAAAGATTTCAAAAGGGCATTGAAATGAAAAACAACCAACTTATGATGTCGGTAGCCTCTATGCAATCATGTTTTAAAAACCTTAACACCAAAAAGTCTCAAAATCACCATTTTAAAAGACTGTGTCTACCAGTTACAAATGAATCATTACTTTCCTCATTTTTAATAGTCAAAGATGCCACAAACACACAGCAGCAAGCCTCTAAAGTTAAAACAGAATCTGACATGTTAATAAGTAAAGCTTTCCTCTAGGTAAAGATCAGAACTCCAAGTAGCACTTAACTCACTGGAAATATCTTAGAGTCTCAAAATTCACTGCTTTGAATCCCTGACAGGTATAAAAATTTTATACTGAAAACTTCATGCTATTCAAAACATTAAAAGAGAAACATCTGAGTTAAAGCTTACATTTTTAAAATCTTTTTTATGCTTCTAAATTTACTTTTATTCAAATATGGATACCAACAATAACATTTATGTCAATGCCTTCCATTCAATTTTAAACAAATAGAATTAGGAATAAGAATAATGTGAGTACTTCCAATCATTGAATGTACTTATTTCCAGTATTCCATTAAATGTACCTGCTCTCAATGTCTGTACATTCTTTCTTTGTACTGCTCCTTTCACAGCAGGATCTTCCACTCCAGTGGTAGGCTGAATGGGTTTTAAAAGAAAATGATTCATAAATCATATATGTTTTATACAACATGGAGTTAGTGATTCAAAAATATACATAATTAATTACCTTCAAGGAAGGATGTTTTGCAGGAGGCCCTACAAAGCAAAGGGGATATGTCATCAATTATATGTAAGTATGACAGGGCCAACCAAACATTCATGCAGTGGTACTATCGAGCTGAATTCTCATGCCTGGCTATAAAAATAATTACTTAAGGTTTGGAGGGTTCTTCTTGGCTTCTTTTCATTGCCTAGGACAGCAACATGACAGAAACATAATGAGGAAAATAGGAATATAGGATTCCTAAAATGCACAGTTTACATTTCAGTAGTGAGATTATGTTTCAAATGCCTATACCTAAAATAGAAAAGCATGGATATCACCGTGAACACATGGACTGATGAGGAGAAAAGGGACCATTAAACAGAGGAGCAAATCAAACCTGAGGGAATCGACATCAAAGCTGATGGTGAATGTACAGAGTATTTTAACTCAACACATCAGAGGCATTGCTGCCAGCATGCCACAAACAAATTCCCCTTGTCTTGTCACTGAGGAAATACACAGTTGGGATGACAGTTCAGGTGAATGTGTGATTCACCTCTCATCAAAGAAAGTGTTCTACATTGATCAGCTCTTATACACACTTATGAAATGACAGCTAATCAAACTACTCATTTTTCCCATGATCACATGGGCTACTGCAGCACCTACATTTCTCCTGTCCCCTCATTTGGCCTTCAATTAGAGCTCCTTGATCCACTCATGCAAGGCGGTCCATAAAACACATAAACCATGTCGAATAAGCTTCCGATATCAAAATATTTATCAAAAAAGAAAACACTGAATTACCACAGACTTGCTGGATATGAATACATATTTAATTTCAAAATCAGTGCAGTATTTATTGAAAAAGAGAATTTTGGTATTCACAGAATGAATTTTATAATATGATTGCTTCTAAAATTAACTAAGTTTGGTGTATTATCTTACACTGTAAAGGACTTTTATAAAACAGCTATCATATCAAAGAACTGGCTGTCTCAAAAAAAATTAGCCAAAGCATCTATATGCAACTTAATCACATCTTATTCCCTCATGTCAGTGAAACTTCTCTCTCTGAGGCCTGACAGTTATCAAGTGAAATGAGCTGCTGTGGTTTACCCCAACTCTAGCACTCCCTCCTGCCTCCAGTACTCTCCACAGCAATAACCTCTTTTGTGAGACTGGGCATATGCTGAAGCAACTGGAAGTGAGTTGTCTCAAGTTTACTTGGCTTCAACTCCCAAGACCCCAGCAAATGTCTTTCTTTCCTCCCTCCGTGTGCTTTCACAATCCCTCTTCCTTTGAAAAATTGATTTTTAGAACTGTCATCCTGATGCTTCCCTTCCTAACTGCTTTTTATGGATAATTGTGACCACTGACCACTTTTTTCATCTGTATTCAGCAGTAGTATACACCTGTAATCTCTCTGTTTTCATCTCATTCTCCTTCCTCTGTGGCTAGAATCATGCTCAGAAATAAAAGGAAATTAATGCTTTCCCTGGATTCTGTTATTTTTTAAATTGCTCTCCAATGGTTCTTTTTCCAGAGTTCTTTAAAGGAAGGCTATTCCCTTGCTATTCAGAGCTGTGTCCAAGGACCAGCACCAAAATCACCTGAGTACTCATGAGAAATGCAGACTCCCATACCTGCTGAATCAGAATGTGCACCTTCCAGAAGCTTCTCAACTAATTCATGACAATTTGAATGCCCCGTTCTACACTGATGTGCTTCCATATTGGTTTACCCTAATTGCCCTTTTGCCCTAGCCTCAATTTCTTCCCTATTATGTCCCTCAATTTAATACTACATTGTAAGCCATAATGTTTCTAATGAACTTTTAATCAGGCAATACTTCTCAAATTAATTTCTTCTCCATAAATCACCCAACACTATTCAATTATGTTAATTTGGCCTATATGATACTATCCTATGAGGTTACATTTTCTATAAAAACAAATTATAGCCATACATGGCTGACCATTTTTGGTGATGTTCATCTATGGTAGACAAAACACAGGTCTGTGTGGTGAGTTGCCTCAATCCTTAATGCCTCCCCAGTATTGAGGATGACAGCAAGAGAAGGAAAATGTTATTCTAATTCTCTGACACATTTTCGTACTGGAAGCTCACTTTATCTTCTTTCCTGTTTCTAACACCATGTTCTTCCTTCTTCTACAGATCAATTTGCCTTTACTATCCTCTATTACTTACCTCTGCATATGCTTTTTTATTTATTCCATGTACACTCCGCTCTCCTCATTCTTTCTTTCTCTTTATTCATTTCCTCTTCCCTCTCTCCTGACTTGCCTCAGGTCTTAGAGTATCTTAAAATGGAACTCATAACTCAGCTCCTTTAGTGGTACTCCTGATAGTATCAACTGCTGACCCTTGGTTAGACACACAACTTATCACCATTTCACTTCTCCTTTACTTATTATACAGTTAATAGGACACTTTCTTTAGCTATTACACTCTATTAGTGCTCATATTTTCAAATAAACATTCCATCAAATGACTTTTTTTTGTTTTGTTTTTTTCTGAGACGGAGTCTCGCTCTGTCGCCCAGGGTGGAATGCAGTGGTGGTATCTCCGCTCACTGCAAGCTTTGCCTCCCGGGTTCAAGCCATTCTCCTGCCTCAGCCTCCTGAGTAGCTGGGACTACAGGCGCCCACCACAACACCTGGCTAGTTTTTTGTATTTTTAGTAGAGATGGGGTTTCACCATGTTATCCAGGATGTTCTGGATCTCCTGACCTCGCGATCCACCCGCCTTGGCCTCCCAAAGTGCTGGGATTACAGGCGTGAGCCACCGCACCCGGCCTCCATCAAATGACTTTTTAAATAAAATACGGTTCTCACCTTCTCCTTGTCCATTGACTATTCTGTTTCCTTTTTCATGCGAAGGTCCAGGTAAAGGCTCTGACACTTTCTCGGGGACACACTGCTAAGGTAATATCAAGAATTAGTTTCCATTTTAAAATTATAATGAGTTGCATCAAGAGTTTCTTATCAATCTCTTTTTATGAAACTGGGTCTCACTCTGTCAACCCAGGGCTAGAATGCAGGGGCCTGATTATGGCTCACTGTGGTCTCAAACTCCTGACCTCAAGCAATCTTCCCACCTCAACTTCCTGAATAGCTGGAACTACAGGTGCGTACCATCATGCCATGCTAATGTTTTTATTGTTATCTTAGTAGAGACAAGGCCTCATTATACTGTCCAGGCTGGTCTCAAACTCCTGGGCTCAAGTAAATCTTCCACTTCTGCCTCCCAAAGTGTTGAGATAAGCAGTGTGCACCACCACACCCAGCCCTAATCAATTTCTTTAAATCAATCTCAATGCTGCCCAGGCATGGTGGCTCACACCTGTAATCTCAGCCCTTTGCAAGGCCAACGTGGGTGGATTGCTTGAGTTCAGGAGTTTGAGACCAGCCTGGGCAACATAATGAGAACACATCTCTGCTCAAAAAATACCAAAAGGAGTCAGGCATGATGGTGTGTGCCTGTAGTCCCAGCTGCTTGGGAAGCTGATGTGGGAGGATCACTTGAGCCTGAGAGGTGGATACTGCAGTGAGCCAAGATCATGCCACTACACTGCAGCATGGGCAACAGAGCAAGACCCTGACTCCCCAAAAATTTCAATTTAAAATGTGAGAATGAAGAGAGATACAAACAAAAAACAAACCTAATTGGTCAATGAAATATGAGCTTAAGCCAAGAAAGAAAAGAAACAGCATGAAGTACAATAAAGTACATGGGGAAATAGATCTATAACAGAGCCTTTTGCTCTTTCATATCCCTGATAATACTAATTAATATTTATGCTACAATTAGTTTTTTGTAAGTACTTCTGTGATAGAGTTTATTACTATAAGACATTCAATTAGCTAAATATGGTCATCGACCACTACCTGAAAGAACATTATTATAAGAGAGAGAGAAAACTAGAACTTTCAATCAGCTTTCCACCCAGAAAAAAATTGGTCACCAGAATTCTAAAGAGTAATGTATGGCAGACACATGAAAAAATGATCATCATCACTGGCCATCAGAGAAATGCAAATCAAAACCACAATGAGATACCATCTCACACCAGTTACAATGACGATCATTAAAAAGTCAGGAACCCACAGGTGCTGGAGAGGATGTGGAGAAATAGGAGTACTTTTACACTGTTGGTGGGACTGTAAACTAGTTCATCCTTTGAGGAAGACAGTATGGTGATTCCTCAAGGATCTAGAACTAGAAATACCATTTGACCCAGCCATCCCATTACTGGGTATATACCCAAAGGATTATAAATCATGCTGCTCAAAGACACATGCACACGTATGTTTATTGCGGCACTATTTACAATAGCAAAGACTTGGAACCAACCCAAATGTCCATCAATGATAGACTAGATTAAGACAATGTGGCACATATACACCATGGAATGCTATGCAGCCATGAAAAAGGATGAGTTCATGTCCTTTGTAGGGACATGGATGAAGCTGGAAACCATCATTCTGAGCAAACGGTCACAAGGACAGAAAACCAAACACCACATATTCTCACTCATGGGTGGAAATTGAATAATGAGAACACTTGGACACAGGATGGGGAACATCACACACTGGGGCCTGTCGTGGGGTGGAGGAAGGGGGGAGGGATAGCATTAGGAGATATACCTAATGTAAATGATGAGTTAATGGGTGCAGCACACCAACATGGCACGTGTATACACATGTAACAAACCCACACATTGTGCACATGTACCCTAGAACTTACAGTATAATAATAATAAAGAGTAATGTATGGCTTGAAAAGGTATATTTAATAGAACATGAGTTGGAGCTAATAAAAAGCTTAAGAAATGTTAATCTAAAATCTCAATGTTAAGATTCCAGTTGAATTATACTAGAAAATATATTGTAACCCTCTTTGCTACTGATGACCTATTTCTATTTTATTTCCTTTTTAATTATGGCATAATTTCTCAACATAACATATCAAAACTTATACACCCTTAAATATTAAAAAATACAATGTAAGCAATATTTTAAATACAATATTTAATTATTAGATACATTAGGTTTATTATATTACTTATAACATTCCATTATATAAAAATTCATTTGTCTATTTATTCAGATTAAACAACTATTAAGGCTGAATGTCTTATGCCTGTAACCCAGCACTTTGAGAGGCTGAGGCAGGCAGAACACTTGAGCCCAACAGTTAAAGACCAGCCTGGGCAACAAGGCAAAACCCTGTCTCTACAAAACTCAGCTGAGCATGGTGACACAGGTCTATGGTGACATAGCTCTATTGTTTCAACTACTGGGATGGCTGAGGTGTGAGGATCACCTGAGCCCAGGAAATGGAGATCGGAGTGAGCCAAGATCTCACCAGTGCCCTCCAGCCTGGGGGACAGAATGAAACCCCATCTCAAAAAACAACAAGTAAAATGCTTCTTACATGGAAGAATGTATTCTAGGTACTCCAGGATACACACAAATATGTTTACTGACCTCCAGTAGCTTATGGTATGCAGGAGCTTCCAATGATTATTTAAACAACTAAATAGAAAACCTTCTGAAATTCAAAATTTCAGAATATGATATGAGGACTTTGAGTGGTTATTTTATTTCTTAAGATGTAGTCTTGCTCTGTCACCCAGGCTGGAGTGCAATGGTGTGATCTTGGCTCACTGCAACCTCTGCCTCCCGGGTTCAAGCGATTCTCCCACCTTGGCCTCCTGAGCAGCTGGGATTACAGGTATGCACCATCACGCCTGGTTAATTTTTCTGCTTTTGTTTTGTTTTGTTTTGTTTTTGGTTTTTTTTAGAGACAGGGTTTCACCATGTTGGCCAGGCTGATCTTGAACTCCTGAACTCAGGTGATCTACCGACCTCCTGAACTCAGGTGATCTACCGACCTCGGCCTCCAAAACTGCTGGGATTACAGGTGAGTCTCCACACCTGGTGAAATAAATATTTTAAATAAACTACAATGACAAAATTATGATGATAAAGTCTTACCATCCATTGGTATTAAGAGTCTCTGCTTCTAGAACTGGTTATTTGCAGCAAAATACATGTTATTCAATTAGATGAAGTGCCTTATATAAACTCTTCATGGACAACTCATAAACCACACAAAAATTCCTTTGCAATACACATTTTGAGAACATAAATTTAAATTTCTATATTTCCACAATTTATATTTTTAAATCAGATACGATGTTGCCCAGGCTGTTCTCAAACTCCTGGGTTCAAGCAATCTTCCTGCCTCAAATTCCCAAGTAGCAGGGACTACAGGTGTACACCACCACACTCAGTTATTTTTCTACAATTTTTAATTTTTTTTGTCTCACTACAGAACCAATAATATAAGTAGAAAAACAATCTCTCATAAAAACAATAGGATACCAAAATAATAAGTTTCCAAGATCAAAAGCTATATGCTATGTGCTGAATATTTTTGCCACTAAAAATCACCAGGAGGATCCCATGATTACTGCAAATAATTTGATCCACTGAAGATTTATACAGGCATAAATATTAAGAAAGTCACACTCGTATGATTTAAAAGTCAAAGTATTAGTATTTATCCAAATAAACCTTAACCAAATTTCACATTTCCTCTATTGGAGAAAGCATTTCCTAATGTGATTTTCCTGTCACTACTAATTTTCCAATTCATTTTTTTTCAGCTCCCACCCTGTCACAGTACTTATCAATCTTTGTTAGTTACCAAAGTTAAACACATTTTTTGAATCAACTAGCCATATGTATGTTTTTCTCTGACCAACTTTCCATTACCACCATAAAACAATGATAGGTAAACCACTGCTAAACTTGAAAAGTAAATACTCTGCAAAAGTACATTCAGAGTGAGAAAATTAATTTTACAAGAGACCACTTTACCTTAGTAGCAACACTCAAGTCTTTGTCATCCGATGCAGGCAATGAATCCACACGCAGTTCATGGAAAATGCTTGAGAGCGAAAATACACAACGAAAATGAGCAAGTTGATTTCTTTACAATTTTTTTAACTGCCAGTTTATATCCAGCTTCCCCCTCAAAAAAGGAAACCATAATCTTGGGAAAGGTCAGCAATCTATATATTAAATAGTGATTCTTGATATAATTAAAATATGTCCTCTGTTCTAAAAATAGATTTTAGTTACCTATTTCTGCCTCCACCTGTCTAAATCTATAAAATATTCAATGAAAACTAACTTTGAGCTTTATAACAAATAGTGACAGTCAATAAATTGGCAGAGCCTGACAATGATTTGCCCTCACAAATTATCTGTCCTGAAGCTAAACTTAAAATTCAATTAATGGATGACATAAATTTTGTTACCTAAACTGGAAGAAAACTGATGACCTAAAACAAGGTAGAAAGATCCACTGTCTCTTTTCCATGATCTGTCTCTGGATAAAAGACTAATCTGCATCACTTCAGAATGGCAGTCTTGATTCCTCAGCATGGAACCCACTTAGGAAGGTCCTATTGCTTTCCTTTGCCCTAAATCAGTACAGGAAAGCCCCTACAATATTTGAAATGTATGAAAGCTAAATGTACAGAAGTCAAATAACAAAGGTGTATGTTCTTATTGAGAATACTTTTCCCAGAAAGATTGAAATATTAACAATTATAAAATCCCATTATTTTCACCCTATAGGTCCTACCTTATTCAGGTCCACATAAACTAGCAAGCCCTTAAAACTCTTCATAGGCACTCAGACACCCAAGGAGAGAGACTGCCAGAAAAAAACAGAGTCCTGGTAGTTGCACCTCTATTTCCCTAAGTACTCTCTAAGTATCTGTCTTCCTATGGGCTCCCACTTCCAGATTCCACTTCTGCAGGGCTCCACAGAAGTCTTCAATCTTTAAATCTTCAGTCTATGAAAGCACAGATTCCTGAAAGGATGGCCTCAAATGACCAGGAGTAGGAGCTCTCTATATCCCTGCTCCTGAAAAACAAGCTAACTGGAGTCTCCATCACCTGCCCCCAGCTAGACACACTACCAACTACCCAACTGAACTCCATGACTGATTTGCCAGCCAGTCATGCCCCTGACCCAGCCCACATGGACATGGGAAGGACATCAGTGAATCGGGAAAAGAGGCAGAGGTGAGGAGACACTTGTACTGGGCCACAGATCTATGTAGTTCAGCAATCTCCAGCCCCTCACTACTCCAGGGGCTCTAAGCCACCCCTTTGTAAGTCAGGATGGAAATAGATGACACCACATTTCTATCTGCTGCAGACGCTCCTCCCAGTGTCTCAAAATGTTTTAGCATCTTTCAGTAAAAATCTTCAAGTTTGTCAGTCCTTGATTTAAAAAAAAGCAGCAAACTTTTTAGAGCTCCCTTGAACCTTCTATTTTAATATGCCTTTGTAGATAATTCCCAACATCTTGTGTCCTTCATTTTTATAATTTATCTTTATCAAACTTGTCATAAACCCCAATATTTTGATCTCTTATAGAAGAGTCTGTACTCCTATCCAATCCAGTGTTGTTTATCTTCAAACTTGGACTTCCCCTGCTCATTCCATTCTTATCTACTTCCATTGGGTTCACCAGCTAATTCCATTCTCATTCTACCCACAGACTCACTCCCGTTTGTATTATTAAAACACACGCCAATAGGATATAAAAAGAAGCAAGAGTACTGGGCTTTAACATGAGTTCAAATCTCATTTCTGCCAATTCCTATGTCTAAAAAAAAGCATCCTAATCTCTTTGAGCCTCACATTCTCTATCTAGAGAATCATTTGACCAGAATGTTCAACACAGGTAAAAATACTAGAAGGTATTTTAATTCATTCCAAGATTCCTTAAAATTCTGTAATTCTATGTCCTCTTGATACTATCTATAGAAAAACTTAGAATACATAGCTAGCAGAGTTTGAAAAAATAATAGAACAAAAGAAATACCAAGAAAAGCAGAGAAGAAAGTTTTAAAAAATGCAGACAAGATTATAGAAAAGTCATGGAAAAAGCAACAAGACTAAAAAATGTATTATGGAAGTAAGCAGAAATACTTGCCTAAATGGAAAACCAAACTGGGAAGTCAAATAATTTGTCTCTAAGACTTGCCTAAACTTGCTTTTGTAAAACTTACACCCCTATGGCCAAAGCTAAGTAAGATCTGCCCTAGAGCCTTTGATGGTAAAAATAAGATACTGGTTACCACTGAAATTGTCAAATTTATTAGGACAAACTCTTGGACTAACCACATTCTAATGATAAATGAGAGTTCAAGGTATTTAAACTCTCATTAATTTAGACATTAATCAAATTAATGAATCTGACTAATCTGATTCAGACCTATACCTTGATCCAAGGGCTGCACAGATATCTGTCAATCTATGCTGAGGAGCAAGAGACAGAATTTGGAAGGTAGGCAGGCTGATGGTCAAACTGTAGGCCAGCTACTTTGTTAACTATGGGATCATGAGGCAATTAATCAGCTCTAATCCATAGTTGTTTATTTAATAAACAGCAGGTTATAGGAAGACAGATGTTGTGATGGCTTTATGAGATGATAAATGCATAGAACATATTAGGATGTCTAGCCCACAATACAACACTCAACAGATATTCGTTTCTTCCATCTATATTTTCTTAGTTAACATAATTTTTTAAATCTATAAAATCCTACCTGACTGCAGATTCATCAGAACTTCCAACATCTATTAAAGAAAAAGGTAAAACGCACTTTAAATCAATAATAAATGTACAGAATATTAAAAGCATAAGTATGCACAGTGATGCATCCCTCTAATCCAAACTACTTGGGAGGCTGAGGCAGGAGGATCACTTGAGGAGCCCAGAAGTTTGAGACCAGCTTGGGAAACATAGTAAGACTCTACCTTCATAAAAAAATTGTGCACACTTGTATGTATGCTTTAGATCCTGTTTTTTGTTGTTGTTGTTTTGGTTTGGTTTGGTTTTTTAAAGCATAAGACTGATGCTTTGTTACAAAGCATTCCTTTGGGAGCATGCCTGGGACCTTATTAGAATTAACATTCGTTATACATATTGGTAGGTAGTTAATGCAGTAAGAACTCTTCCCTTTGTATTTATTAGATGCAAAGAAGAATAAATTTATTAAAATTTGGTATCTACAAGTGAACTGAAGTATGCAAGTCATCCTAGCCAAACCCTGTGAGATCGAGTAAAAATGGTATTGTTAGCAGAACAGGTGTGATGAGTCAAAAGTGTCAAAGAGCATGATTTCTGGACCACAATATGAGGTGCCATTAAAACAGAGTATACAGTAGTATCCCTTATCCACTATATGTGCAGAAAGACACACTTGACACGTTTTTCTCTGCTGTCACACCACAGCAACAATCATCAACAAAGAAGGCTTCTGTGACCAAATATGTGGAGGGTTTTTCCCCACCAACAAGCAAGCAATCATTCCTGCTGATGACACAATTCAATTCTCACACCCTATCTGCTGGTAACATCAGATTCAATTTAATTTATAAATTAAACTTTAGCATAGATATGTATGTATAGGGAAAAACAGTTTGTGATTCAGTACTATTCATGGTTTCATGCATCCACTGGGGGTCTCGGAATGTATCTCCCACAGTTAAGGGGGAGCTACTGCACTTATTTTGTTATAACACAACACAGCCTCTCTAGCTCTTCAGTTCAAACTGCTCAGTTTAGAATAAAACACCCTATCACCAGAAGTCAGCAAAACATAGGAATCAGACCAGAAACAGGAATCCTTGCAAAGACTTTCCAGCTGCTACTGGAAAAGAGCTCAAAAGAGATCAATGTATTACTCTGGCTACTACTCTTTGGGGACGGTGCTGGGTGGTTTACTTAGTTGTAGCTATTTGCTCTGCCCTACATATAGCAAGGCCCAAATTCACCTGCCATTTTACCTCCCACAGAAAAACCGCTGGAAATATCACTCCTTTAAGAGCTTATCCGCTAGGAACCACACCTCACATTCAGAGAGAAGCTGAAGAAACACCAGGGAGGTGTGGCAGGCTGCTGGGCAGTACTATATGATGTGAAAAATATATAGAAAGAAAACCATCAATGCCCTTTTACTACCAGAATGTTCCAGTGCTTGCCCTTCTCCCTAGTAGGGGAAAAAAATTCTTTTTCACCTCACAGAAAGCAAAACTCTCTTGCAATCCCTCATGACAGAATCTAGTTGTAAGTGAGTCACATCATCATAATACAGGCTGTTATCAACCCCATCAGTCAAAGGAAGAGGATCAGTGAGGAACATATGTATTTACCTATAGCATTCACTGCCTGGTCTTATTTCCAACCGAAGGTAAGTATGAAAGACTTTGTGATTCCAGTTTTATAAAGTACAACCCCTTGCACTTGTCCCCTTCCATTACTAGAGAGTCTATCTGGACCCACCTCACAGAGCAAGATGCTCCAGTTTGTGCTGTGTGGTACAGCACGGTGTCCTTTTCCTCAACCCTTTCTATTATGTGCCACATATCTATACAAATCACGTTTTCTAAGTATGTAAAGCATATGTCATCAGAATATATCATTCTTTACAATGATAAAGAAGCAAAAGGAAAACAAAAGGACAAAGAACATCTTAAATGACTACATTCAACTGCCACGGAGCTTTAATTTTTTAACTATTCAAAAAGATATCCACTGTATTATTCCAACTATGTGACTCTTCTGAAAAAAGTGAAACTATGAAGACAGAGTAAACATCAATGGTTGCCACGAGTTGCTAGGGAGAAAGGGAGAGATGAACACGCATAGCATAGAGAACTTTTAGGGCTGTGAAACTGTTCTGTCGATAATATTACAGTAATAGATACATGTCATGTCATTATACATTTGTCCAAATTCACAGAATGTACAGCATCAAGAGTGAAGCCTGATGTAAACTATGAACTTTGAATGATTATAATGTGTCAATGTAAGTTCATCAGTTCTAACAAATGTACCACTCTCTGGTGGAAAATAGTAATAATGGGGGAGCCTATGCGTGTGTGGGAGGCATGGGATATATGAGAAATCTCTGTACCTTCCTCTCAATTTTGCTGTGAACCTAAAACTGCTCTAAGAAATAAGGTTATTGATTTAAAAAAGATATTCAGCTGGGCTCAGTGGCTCATGCCTGTAATCTCAGCACTTTGGGAGGCAAAGGTGGGTGGATCACCTGAGGTCAGGAGTTCAAGACCGGCCTGGCCAACATGGCAAAACTTCATCTCTAATAAAAAATACAAAAATTAGTTGGGCATGGTGGCTGGCACCTGTAATTTCAGCTACTCAGGAGGCTGAGGCAGGAGAATCACTTGCGCCTAGAAGGCGGAGGTTGCAGTTAACTGAGATCGCACCACTGCACTGCAGCCTGGGAGACAGAGTGAGACTCCATCTCAAAAAACAAAAAAGATATTCACTGTCTATGCATCCCAGGATCTCCAGAACAACAATTAAAATAAATAAATAAATGGCTGGGGGCAGTGGCTCATGCCTGTAATCCCAGCACTTTGAGAGGCCGAGGTAGGTGGATCACCTGAGGTCAGGAGTTCGAGACCAGCCTGACTAACATGGTGAAACCCCATCTCTACTAAATACAAAAAATTAGCCAGGCATGATTGTGCATGCCTGTAGTTCCAGGTACCTGGGAGGCTGAGGCAGGAGAATCATTTGAAACTGGGAGGTGGAGGTTGCAATGAGCCAAGATTGTGTCATTGCACTGCAGCCTGGGCAACAAGAGCAAAACTCCGTCTCAAAAAAAATAAGTAAATAAAATAAAAAATAAAGATATTCACTGAACCTGTTACTATGATATATTTAAGCAAGACACGGTGTCCCTAAAAATTAGAGATCATTGAAGACCAAAGTAACAACATGTGGTCATTACTTCTCAAATTGAGCTATATAAAATATATAAAATAAATAAATTTAATTGCATGCTTAGGTAAGAAAATATTGATAAAAATAATTGAATATTTTATCTTATTTCATAATTCTAAACAGGGATTTAGCACAATATGAAAACTAGACTATTCATGTAATCAAAATAAAAGACAATTTTTATTCTAATTTTAACTCAGAAATTATTTTGCTCATTTAATTTAACAATTTTACTGAAAGGTTAATGAGATAAATAGGACAGATTATAATTACCTAACATTGCTATGGTAACTTATATACAAATAGCTGTTCATCACCAAAAGCCAAAAAAGTAACCAGCACTGCAACTTAAGATGGATCATACAACAGAAATTAGTACCAAGTTACCTTATCTTATAATATTATGTTATTAAAATGAAATTTTAAAACAACACCAAAAATTAAGTTGGGGTTACAAGTGTTGTGCAGAAAAGATTTCATATAGCAGGCAAGAGGCTGCCATCCATCCTTAGAAAGGCCTGCATGCAAGGCTGGCCCTTGGCTGGTGTTTAGGAAATTGGAAATGGGAGGGTTTCCACCATTCCCTGAGAAGAATGGCTCACTGTGTCTAAAGTGCTTATAGAAACAGTGTATTTACTCTAAACAGCTGCTTTCCTTGTAAGAGTCTGGAATTTCGGTACATGTGAGGGAGAGTAACCTCCATAGAAAAACTTGGGCACTTAGTCTCTAATGAGACTCTGCTACTGGTAGACATCACTGCACATATGTTGTCAAAATGTGAGCCTGGGAGAATTAAGCAGATCCCGGGAACTCCACAGGACAGAACTCCTGGAGGCTTGTGCCTTGTTTCCTCCAGAATTGACCACATGCACCTTTTTTCTCTACTAATTTTGCTTGTCCCCTTCCTTGTTATCAATTAAAGATCTGAGTATGACTATTTGCTGAGTCCTGTGAGTCCTTCTAATGAACCACCAAACCTGGGGTGGTCTTGGGAAACCTTGACACAAATTCATTGTGTAAGATTTGTATTAAGTTGATATGATACATGTAACTGTAATCAGATGGTTATTTCACAGAATAACTTTCCCTAATCTGTTTTTCTTTTCTTTTTTTGCCTTGATATTTGACTTGGAGATTCTTGTATTTCTATATCTATCCAATTGAATAAAGCCATAGAAGGAATAAATGAAAAAATAATGTCAGAAAATAATGTGAAATAAGCAGCAATCCTCTTTTATCCGAATAAAAAATAGAGAATCTGGGTGATTGACAATATGTTCTACAATATGAATGTTTCTAGAAACAAAAATGAAAAAGTGGTCAATTTTCTGCAACTAAACTGGGCTTCATTCCTTTTTATAATAATTTTGAAGGCCAAGTGCAGTGGCTCACACTTGTAAATCCAAGCATTTTGGGAGGTTGAGGCAGGAGGATCACTTGAGCCCAGAAGTTCCAGACCAGCCTCGGCAATATAGTGAGACCTCATCTATTAAACAAACAAACAAACAAACAAAAAAACCCTTAAAAAGAAAATTAGCCAAGTGTGGTAGTGCATGCCTGTAGTCCCAGCTACTTGGGAGGCTAAGGTGAAAGGATCATTTAAGGCCAGCAAGCAGAAGTTGCAGTGAGCCAAGATGGCACCACTGCACACCAGTACTGACAACAGAGGGAGACCCTGTATTAAAAATAAATAAACAAATAAATAATTGTGTATCAGGCCAGATGTAACCACACAAAACTGTAGTCCCAGCTACTCAGGAGGATGAGGTAGGAGGACTGCTTGAGCCCAGGAGTTCAAGGCTACAGTCAGCTATGATTGCACCAATGAATAGACACTGTATTCTAGCCTAGGCAACATAGAGAGACCCCATCTACTATGATAATAATAATTGATTAATTGTGCATCATTCAAGTAAATTGTATAACTGGAGAAAAACATATGACTATTGAATATACTATTATAGTCTACTACAGACCATAGAGTTCCTGTTTACTTGCTTCTAATCTTTTTCTTCATTTCTCATAAAACTAAAAACATGATTTAAACCCATTAAAGGCAGTTCATCACAAAACAAGTCAAAAAGTCAAAAGAATTGCATCCAAACAGTAGGATGCATTATCCACCGCTCTCTGTGAACAGTTGGATTTGGTCATTAAGAATCAGCAGGACTTTTAACTTTGTGTCTGTGTGCACAGGTGTGTGCACATGTGCATGTGTGTATGTGTACGTATGTAAACTATGACAGATAAAATCATTTTGCTTGTGTACGAATATGTAATATAACTTGTGCTTCTCACAAAGGAATTGCTTTTCCATCTTCTGTGCTCAGTAGCTATCTTCAAAAAATAATCTCCTATTTGTATGGGTGCACACTGGTTCAGTTCTACAGTTCTTATTGCCATTTATTTACGGTACCAGAAAGGGATTGCTGAGTTCCCGGTTCTAAAGATAGTTACTTTCTTAGTGACACAAATCAATATGTAATACAGTTCACCCTTGAACAGCAAGGGTTTCAACTGCAGGGATTCACTTATATGCAGATTTTCTTCTGCCTCTGCAACAGAGAGACAGCAAGATCCACCTCTCCTCTTCCTCCTCAGCCTAATCAACCTGAAGATCATGAAGACCTTTGTCAGGACTACTTATGCTTTATGAAAAGTCAATATGTTTTTCCTGATGATTTCCTTTCTAACAGCTTCATTTCTCTAGCTTATTTTATTGTACGAACACAGTATATAATAATGCAGCACAAACAAAATAGGTGTTCATCAACTGTTTATGTTATCAGGAAGGCTTCCAGTCAATTGTGGGCTATTAGTAGCTAAGGTGAAGGAATCAAAAGTTATACTCAGATTTTCAACTGCACAGGGATCAGAGTCCCTCACCCCCACATTATTCATGGGTCAACTGTAGTTATTTATTTACTAAATATAAACAATTTATTATAAAAATGAAATCGAAGATCCATTTGTATAACAAGTCCAATTTGGTATAATGTGACTATAGAGGAAACATACAACATACTAACTTAAAAATCTTTTTTCTTATTTATGCAAAAATATTATATAGGATTTTAGGGATCATAATTAAATAAATGAATGTTTTCAGACAATAATGTTTGAGATTATAAATTAGCTACAACTACCTTCTTAAATAAATCTGAATTTCAAACTAAACAAGTTAAATTTTAAAAATTAATTTACATATGTATATACATATATACACTTTCAATTTACACATATTTTTAAACTGGTCTTTTTTGACTGAAACTACCTTAATCTTACATCTTACTTTGTACTTTCTTATCAAGAGTAGGACCACCAAGAGAAGTAAGAAATTCACAATCAGAAGTCTTACCTGATTTCTCCTTTTTAAGTATCTTCTGTTTATGTTCCAAAATTTGTTGTTGAATTCTACGTATACAAAAGTAATAAATAAAATTGCTATTTTTATACTGAAATAAAAAATATTTACCAAACATATTAAATTCCAAAACCCTTTCAGGCAATATCAGACCTAATATCAGAATTTTAATGTCCCATACACTTCAAATTTGTAAACCTTACAAGCTTATTAAGCTTATAATTAAAGAAGAAAAGAAAGTGAAGTACTCATAAATGGAGGAAGCACAGCTCAGTAAATGAACTCTAGTTAGCTGGATATCATGCAAAGTGTCCTGCACTCAGAGTAAGTCCTCGCTCTGTAACCAAAATACCTCGCTCTGTAGGTATTTTGTCTTCAGACAAGTTGCTTCTCTTAGGCTTCTTCTAAAAAATAAGGATTCTGCTACCTTACTTCACTAAGTTGTTTGGAAGATGTAATGAGATTACATGTTTAAATGTTCAGAGAAATAGTAAAGCAATGGAATAATTTATTCTTGAACTTTATTGCTGAAACCATTTTGGAATCCCAAATAATGCTCGGTGTGTGTTTTTCTGTAAGTTCTAATATTCAAATGTTGCAGTTTTCAGAAAATGTTATTAAGTGCTAATTTTGGTTATTACTTGTATTCATTGTGGCTTGTAATTCAGGGCATTTTACCTAATTCATAACTTATTACTAAATTTATATATATATATAAATTTAGTGAGCTCATCACTGAGCTCATCAATCACACCAAGGGCAGAAAACTAATAGGTGTCAAAACCTGGCTTGGACAACTACCACTCCTTCTCTACCTCCCCAAACTCTGAGCCAGCAGATCTGTGCTTGGCTGCTGGATCTCCATGGTCCTCTCCAACTAACAGACAAGACAAAACCCTGCTTTGATTGTTTTTCAGTTCCATGAAGGAAATGCAAGTTGACATTTTCTCATTTCCAAGACATGTACTAACAACATGTAACATCCCCTTATTACTCAGCTCTGTTCCCATTTCAGAGATCACCATACATCAATAGTTTCATAGCGATAATCACAATTTCAATATTGCGTGTCACCTGTTTTGGTTTTGCTCACACTGCTTCCTTGGAGCTACTCAACAAATAGTCAAATGGCCTTCCTGGGACTATGTAAAATATGGAATGTTTTCTGAATTTGTGTGCCATCCCTAGGCAGTAGCCATGCTTATCTGCTCTGTATTGATCCAATTTTAAAATATGTGCTGTTGAAATAAGTACAAAGCCCTGTTTGATACATGGATACTCATGAGTCATGGATGAGGCTTAGCTCTATTAAATCCAACTCACTTACTTCAGATTCAGAGAATTTTATTGAATGGCTTCCTGTGAGGTAGAATTTTAAAATATATTTAAAACTTGAGGAAGAGCTGCAAGTAGCCCAGGAGATTTTCATGATTATAGAGACACATTACTTGAGGGGCCAACTGCAAGCTGGTTCCCACTACTCAGTGGAAAGATAACATGGAACATTCCGCTATCTAACCAAAGCTGCTGCACAGGATATAAAAAAGCCTCAAGGTACAGATCTGATAGCAAAAGAGACAGGGAACTCTGATCTCTTCCTGCAACATTATTTGAACATCCCTGACTATTGAGAACAATCCCAACTAATATTGGTTAAAGGAAAGACAAACATGGCTCTCAAAGGATAACATACCATGAAGGCCTAGGCAAAGTCTAGCTAAGACGTGGGCTCCAAATAAGGTTTTTAGTGTACGGTGAGCATCAACTTGCTCAATACTTGTGTGGATAAAGCTAGGAGGCCTAGCTGCCAGAGCAGGGTGCTGGGAACAATGACCGAGCACAAGTACATAAACTAATAAACACCGTAGCTTTGACCTCTATATATGAATCACCATGAAAACTGAGGGGTCTGAATCAGTGAAGGCATCCTGGTGGCAAAGGTCAATCATTATCAGATTGCAGGACCGGTTATAATGGCAATAATACAGCAAGTGAGTCCATGGAAACAACAGAATGATCAGAATGGCCTTTTTTCCCCTTCTTCTGACTTGTGAAGAAAGATTGCCTTCCTTGGACTTAGGAAACCCCTTAGCTTCTTGGAAAATTCAAAGAAGGAAGACACAGGAGAGAGCCCCAGGGGACAAGATTTTCTGTTAAACTGGACATTACAAGACTCAATAACTAATTAGAAAAGTCAGGCCAGGCATGGTGGCTAGCACTTTCAGAGGCCGAGGCAGGGGGATTACTTGACCTCAAAAGTTCAAGACCAGCCAGGGCAACAGAGTGAGACCTTGTCTCTACAAAAAAAAAAAAAAAAAAAGGAAAGGAAAGGAAAAGAAATCAAAGACATGGCTCCTTTTATCCCATGCATGGGGATTATACTTAGAATAAAATGAATAACATTGAGATCCCTAGGGATAAAGGTCTCAAAAATCCAGAAAAAATCTTGCACTCTACTTCTAACTAATCTAGACTTCTGCTTGATTTCTGGCTAAAAGGCAGACTAACTCTTCGCTATTTCAAACTATCTGAACCAAACTGTGAACTCTCACCTAATGTATAAGATGGAGTAGTTGCAATTATTTTAAACTTCAATTTAGCATTAACTGGCCTTTTAACATAAACACTTACTTTGTCAAATGATGAGAAATAGCGTAATCTTCTGCATCTCGTCCACACATGTCTTGAGCGAAGACATCAATATTTTGCTTAAGAAGGATACTGACAATACCTGGTGAGTCATAGTATACAGCAAGCATGAGAGCTGACCTAAAATAACAAAGAAATAACTCCACTCAAGAACTTTAATAAAGACTTTTTTAAAAAGCTAGTTTGATACACTTTACCAATTTAATATCCGCCTGTCAGTGTAGATGTAATAACCATTTGCATGTACTAGCTTGGGTCTATAAGCATCTAGGGTGCTCAAGTGTTCATCTTTGTAAATTGTCACCAAGGCTAAAAGAAAGGGACAACAGGGAAGCCTCTTGTCCCACTGGGGTAAGACATAATACAAGTTGCTAACTTATAGTCCTTCGATGGCCAAGAAACTGTGCTGAGGTCACTTATCTAAAGTAGGCAAAGACTTAGATGAAGATTTCCCCATTGCTTTCCTAGTCAAATCAGCTAGGGGTCAGATAAGAGTTATCTGCAGGCTGAAAACAACAACAACAACAATAATAATAATGACAATGCTAGTAGTCATAAACTAAAAGTCCACACTTTAAAAATGAATAAAACTTGTCAGGTGCAGTGTCTCATACCTGTAATCCCAGCACTTTGGGAAGCCAAGGAGAGCAGATCACGAGGTCAAGAGATCGAGACCATCCTGGCCAACATGGTGAAATCCCATCTCTACTAAAAATACAAAAATTAGCTGGGCATGGTGGCGTGCACCTGTAGTCCCAGCTACTTGGGAGGCTGAGGCAGGAGAATCGCTTGAACCTGGGAGGTGGAGAATGCAGTGAGCTGAGATCACACCACGGCACTCCAGCCTGGCAACAGAGCAAGACTCCATCTCAAAAAAAAAAAAAATTAATAAAACTAATACAAAACCCTTTAGCTAATAAAAGATTACAGTACCAAAAACATCTGATTATAAATACCAAACACTGTATATTATAAGAGAAGATGAATCCTACTATGTACTATTCTTTATGTTACTCAGTCCAAATATTTGCTGGTCTATCTGATTATTCATGGTGATATTTTTCATTATATGCCAATAATTATGTTAATCTTCTTATTAATATTTCTGACTTGAGTGACCACTCTAGAATACTCAGGTTTTATTTTTAAAAAAAGAACTACTGTACCGTCTCAGCCTATCAACGGCATGTGTACTTGCTTTCTTTTTCAATAAAAATTCCACCATTTTCTCTTTCTTGCAAATTATAGCGAATAAAAGTGGGGTATTACTGTCCTACAAAACAGCAGAAAAAAATTAATAATTCACAAAATTACATATTTCTCAACTGAACTGAAAGTCTTCTCTAGGATGCTTTGAACTTCAACATACAATATAGAAAGGAAGTAAATGAAAAGCAGTCCCTTCCTTCTCACTCCTCTGTGCTTTCTGATGTGCTGCGCTCTGCCTTGCAAACAACCCTCCTCTGTCTCCCCGGATTAACTGTGGTGATTGCCAAAACTCACTTTAAACATTTACCAGTCCCAAGAATCCTTGCTTTGATCACAGCACTTAGCATGGTACATTGTAGTCATTTCACTGTTTCCCACTGAAACCAAGAGCTTCTTGAGGCAAGGGCCTAAAACCCTAAGACACAGTAGCAAATATTTTAAGTTTTTTACATAAATTAATGATCTAAATTACTATCTCTAAAGCAGTGTTTCTTAAACTATATTCCAAAGAATATTTGCTTTATCAGAAGTATTATACCCCAAGAGAAAGACTCCATGACCATCTGTATTTGAGAAGTATTACAAAACTGTATTTTATGTCCAATAATCAAGAAATCTCTTTAATTTTACCTAATCCCCCTTTGACAATACTATTTGTGGCAAACATTAACATTTGAGGAATTAAGAGTTTCAGAGATACAGTTGCCAGAGCTTCCCAATACAGGTGGCGGTTTCCTCTGGGTGGTACAAACTTGCTTGATTCACTTCTATCAATGGTGTCAGGATCCCAGATGCCAATGTCAGGCACTCCTGCTCCAAATGGGTCACCATGGAAATGAGCTTTGAATTAAGAGAGATTGCCTTCAAATGCATTTATTTTCCTTATTATTAAGTAGTCCATGGGTTTTTCCCCTAATACAAGAGAAGAGATTTTTATCTTTACTGTTAGAAAGCTCAGTATATTCTGTGTAAGAGAGATAGGTTTAAAAAACTTAAGAACAAATATTTTAAAAACCAAAACTCAGTAAGAAATACTATTCTCAATTATAATGGTAATCCCGGGACCCTAGTGCAGCTCTACTTTTTAAATCCATTTTTACTGGCTTCCACTTAAATGGCTACTTAAAATTATTTTTTATTTTAGACAAAATATAAATTGGAAATAAAAACATAATGGCTTATCAATAAAAGTTCTCATACTGATCCATATGGATTATTTCTGGCATTATACAAGCCAATAAGTCACTTGCATCTTTAAGGAAGAGCACTGAGGAGAAAGATGTACTGTCTGCAATATTCGTAAATTATCCAACTATAACCAGGAATAACCTAAAAAGGCTTCTAGGCATTCTTATGGGCAGAGAATTATTTGTGGTATATATAAAGAAAAGAGTTAAAAAATTCTAAACTCTAAAATTCAACTCCATAACTGAGGGATTTATATACTCTATAGACTATATATTATAAACAAATACATGCTGACTTAAAAACCTTGAAATTTTTATCAAAATATACTATAACATAGGAGTTGTAAACTCAGATACTTACAAGGACAAAGGAAGGTTGCCTGAGTAAGGGAAGTACTAAGGTGGGCACAGTAGCAAACTGGAGAATACCTGCCTTCTATAAAGGGGCAACTTCTGCACAGCAGACCAAAGAATGATAGAAACTCAGGGGACACCAGATTTGATTTTTTAGGATAAGCCTGAAGTCCACATTTCTTCACGAGTCTTCTAAATTTTACATGTTGATTCAACTTATAGAGGAAAACAAACAAATCTGTGTACCACATTAGAATATGGCCCTTGTGTTTTTATATTCGCCATTAATGTGTTACTAAATGGTTGTGTATAATCCAAGTATTTGCATGTAAAATATTTTCTTTCTCTGGTATCATATGTTCTACCAAAAAATCAGGCTCTCATATGTAATAAAAATTGCTAAAACGACTCACAATACCTGCTTCAAGAATTTTTCCAACATGTATTCATTTAAAATATGTTTGTATATAATTTTCCCAGATTGTTAACCAAATAGATAATTGGTTCACAAGACTGCTAAAACTAAATTATTAAAAGAATTCCTATCTATATTCTTAGTAACTTCATGGATTTCAGTGTTTAAAACTGACATTTTGGGTATGCTAAAGTTCTATAAACTTAAACATACTGAGATAGTTCATAATAAAACTTCAACTAAAAAAAAAAGTTTAGGATTTGCTACTATTCTAATTGAGAAAGCCCAACTTGTAATGAACATTTGTTGACACATAATCACCTGCGTGGTGACAAAGGGACATGAAATCATGAAAGGGTCAGCCTCTACCTATTGAAAGATTACCCATAAGCAAATTTCTGAAGACTCTCTGAATGGTAGTGAATGATTCATGGTGGGAAGGAAAACATGTTATTCTGTAAGCTGAGAGATATTGCCAATGATATTTCCTTTCACTTCCCAGTCACAGATGTAGAGAAAGACAGATAAGTCAGGCTAATATTATTGAAAAGGAGAACTTTGAAGGAAGTGGCAACTATCAAATGCCAACTCTTCTAGAGATTTCTTACATTTTTGAGATACAGAAATTTATATATTGCACTTATCTATTCTGGGGTTTTTAATCAAGAGTGTATCCCAACCTTGAAGGTTTTTTGTTATTTTGTGTGTGGTTTTTTTTTTTTTTTTTTTTTTGGCTATTATTGTTGTTAGAGACAAGAGTCTCACTATGTTGCTCAAGCTGGATTCAAACTCTTAGGCTCAAGCTGGGACTACAGGAATACACCACTTTGCCCAGCTTCAAGAAAACATTTTTAAACATGTTCAGGCCTTATTAGGTCTATTACATCAAAATCTTCAGGGGAAAGCCTACAATTGTAGATTTTTAACAAAATGTCCTCAGGTCACTGTAATGCACAATTCTGAGAATTAGTGCAGCAATCACTTCAGTCTCACCTCTCACCCACATGGCTAATTCCTTTATCAGTTGGAGATGTGGCCAAAAAGAGAAAAGAGTAAGAGAGAGTGTCATTTATTAAAACTCCAGTTAAGTTTCCTGGCTATGGGTAGAACAGGGACAAGTAAACTCAAAATCCCACTTGATTTTGCTATTTACAAGCTCCTTATCTCCCACCTTCCCACTAAGACATTCTAGATTTGAGAGGAGGCTTTAGGTTCTTATTTAAGTGGCTGTTTCTGCCAGGATGAGCAATAAGTCAGTTAATAATTTGTTCCACCTTCTGCTGAAGTGTTTCTCACTTCGTCACCACATATTCACTGCCAATCTAGTTTCCTCAGAGTCCTCCTAAAATTCGTCTCTAGGCAAGTTGCAACTCATTCTTTTTCAAACCAAAAATTATTAGACCCAAAGCTAAACAGCACCTTGTCTAAACACATAAAACAAACTTAAAAAAAAAAAAAAAAACCTCTTCCTGGCATTTCCCCTCATTATCTAATATCCAAGTGACCTGCATATTTCTGATTGCTCTCTTTCTCCCCTCCCATTTTTCCCTCTTAAGCCTTGCCACTGAGAGATAATACATCAGTTTTTCAGAAAATTAGCAGCAGCAGCAGCATGTCCACTTTTTCTAAGTTGCTTTAGTTTTGTTTGAGTTTTAAGATAAAGCCTATTTCCAGGGAATATTTTCTTTCCTGTGTTGTTTTACACTAATTAAGAAAAAAAAAAAAAAAAGAATAACCCTGTGTAGAAAAAAAGTTGAAAAGGTTTTACCTTTAACAAATTCACAAATATTTTCCAAAGTGCATTTTATAAAGCTGTGCCCTTTAATGCTTCTTTAAAAGTATCAATATTTAAAATAAAATCTTAGACAATTAAGTTATTTCAAAATAACTTAATTTGTATTTGCATTCAGGGAATGGTTGAGCTTCCACATATAAAAAATTGACCCTTACCTATGTCAATGTTAAAACAAATATTTTGGAAAGAAAGTTGATTGATCTATACCTTGTCCAGTGCTTCAATGTGTGCACCATGGGAAAGCAGTTTTTCTGCCAGTGAGGTGCTCTCACTATACACAGCATAATGGAGAGCAGTGTTGCCGTAGATATCCTTAAGGTTTGGATTGGCGCCATGTTTCAGCAGAATAACGGCACAAGCCTCTTCCTGGCAATGGACAGCCTGTCCGTGTTAGACCAAGAAACAGATTGTAAATTCCAAGAATTCAAAATACACATTCCACAGGTTTCACCAACTAGTTACATGTAAATGAGATCAATTTATTTTAATTCTATATATGTAAATCAAATCCATGTCATGCTGAAATAGTTGGCTCTAATATACCTGTATCAAAGGCGTTCTGTTTTCTTTGTCACAGATATCAATCTGGCATTTTCTGTTAACCAGGAGAGTGACCACTTGCACATGGCCACTGGCACAGGCCAAGTGTAGAGCAGTTCTACGAGAGTAAGAGGATTTTTTAAGAAACTGTAGTACAATATCTCAAAACATACAATCATTCATGTAACTGTAAAAATTGAATAGCATGTTTTTCCTCTGCCTTCAAAACAAATAATTTTTTTGAAGAAAGTACAATACTTACTAGCTCTTATTGCTCACTGCCTTAATGAAAACAGCAGCCTATTTGAGTAGAAAGAGCTCAGTCTTTGGATTCCGTTCAACTAGGGCTTGAGTCCTACTTTAAGCCTTGACACTTACCAACTATTGCTTAGCCTTTCTGTGCCTCAACTTCCTCATTAATAAAGATGACAATAGTAGCTATCTCATAGGACACCATCGTTATGCTTAAATGAGAAGCTATGTAAAGTATGTAGAACAGTTCCTACAACAACTCAATAATTCTAAGATTTTTGTTTTTTGAGACAAAGTCTCACTCTTTTGCCCAGGCTGGAGTGCAATGGTGTAACTATACCTGGAACTCCTGGGTCAAATGATCCTCCATCCCCAGCCTCCTGAGTAGCTGGGACTACAGATGAGCACCAGCATGCCCAGCTATTTATTTAAAAATTTTTGTAGAGTAAGAATCTCACTTTGTTGCCCAGGCTGGTCTCAAACTCCTGGCATCAAGCAATCCTCTCACCTCAGCCTCCCAAAGTTCTGGGATTACAGGTGTGAGCCACTGCACCCAGCCAGATATTATAATTATTACTATTACTACTAAACAAAACCATTTTAATTAGGTAGAATGATACAATTATACCTACTTTGCAGGATGACTTAACGAGTAGGTCACATTTTAACACCTCTGACATTGGAATGTCACTTATAATTCATGATTTGTTATAACTATAATTGGTAGCATTTTAAAAATTATCTTATTGATATATAAAATAGCGGGGCATCACGCAATCCATGAGACCTTACATTAAGTAGAATATGGTATACTCAGCAGGTCTAGGGCAGTTCTAAGCATGTAACTGAAACTTAAATACATTTTAGTTCTTAAAGGTACTATGGGGAAAGAGCACTGAAATAACAATAATGCATTTTTTAAACAAATTAATTCTTTGATTTTCAAACAACTTGAAGCCAAAGGAAACTCATGATTCAAATGAATACATATGGCTCATTGTATTCAATATTTATACTTAGAGAATATATGCAAATAAGACTTTCCAATGATTAATATTAGTATTTAAGACTGATAAACTTTCGAAAGAGCAGTTAAAGGTTATCTTCTATTTTCTAACTTCAGAAATGCTTTTGTTTGAAAGGTGGGAGATAAAGTTTCAAGGAGATTAAGTCCCAATATTCCTATTTTAAATCTCTCAGCTTGTGCAGGCGGGACAGGTAAACATGAAGTGTTTAAGGATGGACGGGTCCTGAGAGATGGTAGAATATGTCTGCTACATAGCAGGTACTCAGGTTACGCTTGATCCATAAATAGAATGAAAGAATGGATAAATACAGTTGGGGAGTTCAATATTTTTAAATAAACTCCTATAAAGCAATATTTTTGCAATAGTAATTATTTATATGTTATTTTATTTTTAAAGAATACAATTAAAATGAAATGATCAATCCAGCTTTGTTTGCATAAATGGAATGAGTATATAAGAAAAACATATGTACATAATAAAATATATAGATAATAAAATCTGGAAACAGATAAAAATATTCCCTTTTTACTTCTGAGGAGGCTAAAAGCTCAAAGAAGATAACAACACACACAATAATGATAAACAATAGAAAGTGAGAAATTATTTTCATCAGCACAAGATTCATATTCCTCTCTTCCCAAGGATTATTCCATTAATAATAAACTTTTACTAGAAGTTTTGTACATGCTCACTGCAGCAATCACAGATAAGAAAAAGGAAAAAAACTTTACTTAAAATACAAATGCTCAGAAATTACAAATTTTATATTTTGTACATATTTTTGCTAAAACAAGACCATAGTATGTGTATGTATAATTTAACTAATTTTTTTTCCTCGCTAGCTATAACAAAATACATCTTTGCACATCAACGTACTTCTGTATCTATTGCCACCTTCAGTGGTCACATATTATTCCATCCTATGGATGCAACTGAAATTTATTTATAGGATCCATTCTATGGGTTCTTTTTAAAGTAAGTACTGTGAAAAATAAAGTGCATGTCTCTTTATTTCCTAAGGGTATTTTAGTATAATGGAATTGGTGGGTAAAGGGCTTACACACTTTTTAAATGTAGTACTTACCATTTTCAAATGAGTACTTTGAAAAGTAATCAGCAACTTAAACTTTAAGCAGCAGTATAAAACATCCTCACAAATATTGTGGATAGAAAACTGTTTCATTCCTCTTTTAAATTCTTATACCAGAAATGCAAAGGATTTTTTCCTATGTATATAAATAACTTGTAGATCTGGAAAAAGGTACTTTGCCCACTTTTAGAGTGTTTGATGATTTGATTTGAAAGAATTCTCTGTAAAATGAAGATGTACTTTTCATCTCATGTGTATATATAACTGATATATATAACATATCTGTTATATATGTATACATATCAGTAATATATATATATATATATCTTACGATATATAATAAACAACATAGGCCAGGCGCGGTGGCTCACACCTGTAATCCCAGCGCTTTGGGAGGCGGAGGCAGGCAGATGACTTGAGGTCAGGAGTTCGAGACCAGCCTGGCCAACGTGGTGAAACTAAATATACAAAAATTAGCCAGGCATGCTGGCACCTGCCTGCAATCCCAGCTACTTGGGAGGCTGAGGTTGGAAAATTGCTTGAACCCGGCAGGCAGAGGTTGCAGTGAGCCAAGATTGTGCCATTGGACACCAGCCTGGGCAAAGAAGCGAGACTCCGACTCAAAAAAATATATATATATATAATGAATTCCCTATAAAATGAAAACATACTTTTCATCTGAAAAAATATATATATATAATATAGTAAATATTTTTCAAGTAAGCTCTCTTATCTGACAACTTTTCGCCCACTGAAATAACTCACGGTATTTTTGATAGGGGAACGAGTTCTCTCATTAGGCACCTCCTATAATGTATATAAACCATGTTTTAAAAGCGTACGTTAAAAATAACAACGCTGTATATGCTTAACTTTGTGAGTTAAATCACTCAAATTCTCCAACTGCTCCAGCCAGAGAATTATGAGGGATGGAAAACAGCTGAGAGTCCGTTTGGCTCCGCCGCTCCGAGGGTGCCCGGCGCCCTGCAAGGCCCCGTCCCAGGGTCTGCGGGGAAGCCGGGCCTGGGGACCCCCTCCCACCCCGGGCTGAGCCCCCGCTACCTGTGCTGCTTGTCCCGGGCGTCCAGGTCTCCGCTCCTGCGCGCCAGGCAGCGCTCCACCTCCGCGGCGTCGCCTTTGACAGCTGCCCTGTGGATCTTCTGCAATTCGGAGTCCCGGATTCGGTATCCGGAACCCGTGTAGACGTGGTCTATGGAGCCCTCGGCCGTCTGGCCCCTGCGGCTCCCGAAGCCGAATAACTTCATGGCGGTGACTACTTCTCAGACCCCCAACCACCGGCTCTTGAGCGGGGGCAGCTCCCTGTCACCTTTTCACCACCCCCCTCCCCCGACCCCGGCCGACCCAGCCCCAAATCGCCTATCCAACCCCAAAGCCCCGATCCAACCCCAAATCCGCTATTTCAAATCTATGATCTACTCCACAATCCGCGATCCAGCCCGGTCCACCACAGCCTTCAGCAGCGACACTGGCAGCCTCCGACCTCTCAGACCGAGTGAGCCTCGCAAAGCCGTTGGGCGCGCGCCTGCACCGCGGTTGCTGCCAGGCTCCCGGAAGACGCTCCCTGGCGGCGCGCGCCGGCAGGTAGGGCTGCAGCTCTGGGCAGGCGCCGATGGGCTCTCCGGTTCTCCTGGGATCGCCCGGGCGGCCCCAGAATCGCAGGCGCGCAGCCAGCCCGGCCTGAGGAGGAGGGCCTGTCTGGCCTTGCAGCCCGCCCCGCTCCTCCTCGGAAGAGAGGGTGCTGGCAAGGGCCCTCCGCGGCCACCTGAGTGGCTTCGCGGATTGTCTGGCTGAACGCTGAGGCTCTGGCCCTGGAGTCTGTGTGGCTAGTGTAAGGTAGCTGGAGAGGCATGGAGGCAGAGTCAGGGGCTGCTCCTTCCCCCACCCGCCCTCACTGCTGCCAGTGCCACACGCGCGGTTTGCAACTGCAGATCTGGCACTGGCGCAGGATGGCGGAGCTTCCCTTGGATGGCCTCAGGGCCGCAGAGCGCACAGCCCACCTGGCCTCAAAGGTCCGCTCCTCTTGGACACCTTTCTGGATCCTGGGCCCTGGCGCTGGGCACTCTGTATCCACACGGATGAAACAGCGGCTGCTGGCGGGGCCGGTTGCCTGATTTTGCCGCCTGGGGGTCTGGCCTCAGGATCCACGCTACTGGGGGGCGGGCATGGTCTGGAGTGTCCAGCCACTTGCTGCCGGTGCACCACGTCTAGACTGCAGCTGCGGCTCCGATGCCGGCGTGAGCTGGCGGGCCTGGTACCTGATGTCCTCAGGGTCAAGTGCATCGCCCTCCCACTTGAGGGGTTGCTCTGACTTGGCCTCCTCCAAGAACGCAGGGGCCGCCGGGGCTGGCTCTTCGTGGTAACCGGGATGGTACTGAGCAGCAGGTTTTCACCCTGGTGCCGCTGCTGTGCGGACTGCCTGACTTGGGCGCCCAGGCACCGGCCCCAGGGTCCGCGTGGCAGGTGTGCAGGTAGGGTGAGTGGCGCGGAGGGCCGGGGGTTGCTCCGTCATCTCTGCCCGTGTGCAACTTGCAGTTTTGTGCAGCAGCTGAGGCGCTGGCACGGGAAGGTGGAGCTCCCCTGGATGGCGTCAGGTTTGCGGGCACAGAGCACAGCCCACCAGACCTGAAGGTCTGCTCAGGGGCCATAGTGGTTGAGTTCTCCATGGAAACTGGGATGGGGTGAAAGGCCAGTTCCCGTCCTTTGGCCGCCTGGCCAACTGCCAGACTTAACCGCTGCCGCCCAGGCATCTGTCTCTAGCGTTGCTGCTACTTGGGTAGAAGTGGGGGTCGGGGTGGGGCGTGGAGCTTCACCGGTTGCCAGGCCAGCACTGTCTTTGCAACATATTCAGATGGCGGCGGGCAGCTCGGGCGCCAGCATGGGCTGGCGGGGCTCCCCTGGACGGCCCTCAGGTCGCTCACAGCATTGTCCCAGGACTTCCTCCGCCTGTGCCAGGTGGGCAAGGTAGGGGGGAGCTTCCAAGGCTTCTATCCCAACTCTACCTATTTCTACCTATTTTCTCTTGAGTTATTTTGCCTTTATCTCAGTTTTATTTGCAAAAATAGTATACGCAAAATACATCGAGTGAATGCACATCAGGCATATAGAAGATCTGGCAGAAACATGTTTTCTCCTGCCCATTTCCAGTCAGTATTTGAACACAGAGGCTTCCACGGTTTTGATTCTTTCCACAAAAGGTGAGTTTTGTCTGTTTTCACCATTTATGTAAGTGAAACTATAAATTATATAATTTTTATGTTCACTCACTAAACATGCTTGTGACACATCATTTTGCTATTATTCATTAATTTTATTTTGTAATACTCAATTTTATGACTATACCACAGGTTTGAGGCCTTTGCTATTGATAGACACAAAAGCAGTTTCTGATTTGAGGCTATCATGAATAAACCTGCTACGAACAAATCAGATATACATGTTTTTCTGTAATAATATTTTCACTTTTCTTGAGTTTAAGTACATAAGAGTGGATTTTCTGGGTTATAAAATAAGTATATATTTGGCATTGTATGAAATGGGGAGACATTTTCCTAAGTGGTTGTGTCATCTTAAACTACAATGAAAATGTTTGAGAGAATCAGTTCCACTTTCTAACCAATACTTGATGATGTCAGTTGTTTTAGTGTTATCCATTCTTATGGGATATAAATGCTGAGTAGCTGTCTGCCTTCCCCCACAACACAGAAAATTGAGGGCCTAGAGGACAGTCTTATTTTCATATTTGACATCTTCTATTATTTTTTATAGAAGGGTGATATGTGGGTAGTAAAATTTTCTTTCAATTTTCTAGGCTGTCTCTGAATCTTACTGGGGTTCCTTGTCCTAAACCACATTCAGAAATTTTCACGACCGACTTCTTTTTATCTTTGTCATACCAGGCCAATGAGGGATAGCATTCCCGAGACTTAAGTACTTTGTGTGTGTGTGGTGGTCTAATAATCATAGCCTTAAAACTTTCTGGCTGGGCATGGTGGCTCATGGCTGTAATCCCAGCACTTCGAGAGGCTGAGGTGGGCGGATCACCTGAGGTCGGGAGTTCGAGACCAGCCTGACCAACGTGGAGAAACCCCCAACTCTACTAAAAATAAAAAATTAGCTGGGCGTGGTGGCACATGCCTGTAATCCCAGCTACTTGGGAGGCAGGAGCTACTTGGGCTGAGGCAGGAGAATCGCTTGAACCCACGAAGCGGAGGTTGCAGTTAGCTGAGATCACACCATTGCACTCCAGCCTGGGCAACAAGAGTGAAATTCTGTCTCAAAAAAAAAAAAAAATTTCAGACTTCTGGGAGACACTGAATTTATGAATGTGTACAGCATGTCACAATAACTTTTTTTTTTTTTTGAGACCAAGTCTCACTCTGCTGCCCAAGCTGGAGTGCAGTGGCCCATCTCAGCTCACTGCAACCTCTGCCTCCCGGATTCAAGCAATTCTCCTGTCTTGGCCTCCCCAGTAGCTGGGATTACAGGTGCTGCAACCATAGCTGGCTAATTTTTGTATTTTTAGTAGAGACGGGGTTTCACATATTGGCCAGGCTGGTCTCGAACTCCTCACCTCAGATGATCCACCTGCCTCAGCCAATGGGTGGATTGTTAACTCAAAATACGTACCATTGAATACTGAGGAAAAGGTATAGCCATCATCACCAGCAGCTGAGATGCCAGTTGAGATACCAGAAATGCCCCAGCACGTAACTCCTCTTTTAATTCACACACACACACACACACACACACACACACACACACACACTCATGGTAACCACTTCAGGATGGACACAGAAACAGCCATATTCTTTTTTGGGAGCACATTCCCCTATGACACTTAGATCCTAATGCTGACTCCAATTCCCTCCCGGGACCTCCCCTCTCCTTACAGCATGCTGGGCTTTCCCTTAGAAAACCCCATGTCATTTCCTGCAATGGAACATCCATCAGCTTCACCCACAGTGTCTGCATGTCTCTGTCCACAGCAAATGTTTTTATTACTTTAAAATATAGATTTTTACCTTAACTGGCCAAAGACTTAGGACCCTTTTTCCAAGCTCTTTTAGATGAATAAATGCAAATATTAGAGATGTGTATATGTGTATAAATATATGGGGAAAAGATGTTGCCTAGTTGTACAAATTAGCTTTAACAAAACTCCTGATTCAAATTATTTGTGAGAAGGGCGATTCTAACTCAACACACCAACAAAATAAAAGCCTTATCCCTCTGCTCCGCCAAAATATCCCATTCAGAGCCTGCGCGTGTGTGTACACACACTTGTGCACTCATCCCCACCTGACCGTATCAAATTATTATTTAAACTAGATATTTTTACTTTGTTGCATAGTAGTAATGGTTTCTGGAATGAAAAAAAAAACAGGAGAATAAAACTGTTTAAATGTATCTCCGGGTGGACGCTGTGGCCACTGCACCAACCCCGCCGGTGGCGCCGAGTACCTGCGTCTCAGGAAGAGGTTCTGGCCGGGCCTCCGCCTGAGGCCGCGCCCCTGGGACCTGTGCGAAGTCCACGTGAACGCGGAGCGCAGCATTCACCATCCCCTCCCTGAAACAGCGGTACCCGAGGCGCTCCACAGGCAGGGCCGAGCTGGGCGAGGGGGATCTCAGCCCCTGCACGGGCCGCCCTGAGCGGCGGGGACGCAGGAAGAGGTCGCTGGCTCCACCCGCCCCTACCCCAGACGCGGGACCTCGCGGCCAGCGAGGACCTGGAGCCCCCGCCCCACGGCTGCCAGGAGGCGGACAGGGGCAGTTCCTGGGGGGCTACCGCCCCGAGGCCATTCTGCCAGAACTTGAGCGACTTGGCAAGGGGCAGCGCCCCGCCCCTGAAGAGGAGCCTGTGTCCTAGAGGCAGCAGCCTGGGAGCTCCTCCGAGGAGGACACGGCACAGGCGAGTGACTCTGGCGGCGCAGCGCTGGCTTTCCCGTCTGCGGAGGAGGAGAGCTGCGGGGCTGGGTGAGCTGGACCCAGCAGCACGGCTGGCTGCTCTTGGCCTCCGATGGGGAGTGGACAGCTTAGGGGGTTGCCCTCGTGCCAGCCGGCCTGCTGGCCACGCTGGGCTTCATCACCTCCTCACTTGCCTGCACAGGCGCCTAGCACCGCAGGCCAGAGCTTCTGGCCATGCTGGTCAACTTCCCCAAGGAGCCTCCGCTGCCCGGGAACAGCAAAGCCAGGACTAGCAAGGCTACACCGCCCTGCACTTGGCAGCCATGTACCTTGGAGATGGTGAAGCTGCTAGTGGGGACCTAGGACGCCAATGTGGACATCAGGGACTACATTGGGAAAAGGGCCTCCCAGTATGTGAGTCAGAGCATCAGAGAGGAGATCGAGACCCTGGTGGGAGTCCTGGACGAGGACGACGGGGAGAACACCGCCAGCAGCGAGGGTGGGTACTGTTAAGATTTAAAAGGTGCCCCCTCCATCTCATCACCTACAAACTCTCACACGTCCTGGAAGATGGGGGGACCCTCTTCACCATCACTTCTTGGCTGAAGGTGGTCCAGACGCGAAGCCAAGGATTCCAGGGCACAGAGCCTCGGGCAGGACTAATGGACTTAAAAAACACAGGCTCAACAAAATCCACTTCACAACCCAGGTGGTTCACATCACACCCTCTTTCAGGGACCCAGAGCAGCCACTGGAAGAGGAGGAGTAGGAACGCTCTCTTAAAGGCCACTTATTCTATTCCTTCAAATTAAGACCAAAGCCCAATGTATTTAGGTAAAAATAATTTCTTTTAGAAAATGCTAAGGTTTGTCTTCTGAAATTTAATAACAAAAAAAGAACACTAGATGTCAGTAAGGAAGTGAGACCAGAAAAGACAAACTAAATTATCCTTACTAGGTTGGAATGGATGGGGTGGAGTTCCCATCAGGCTAGCATTCTGGGCAAAGCGTTTTTTTTTTGTGGGTGGGGGGGATGGAGTCTCGCTCTGTCGCCCAGGCTGGAGTGCAGTGGCGCCATCTCCACTCGCTGCAAGCTCTGCCCCTCGGGTTCATGCCATTCTCATGCCCCAGCCTCTGAGTAGCTGGTACTATAGGCGCCCGCCACCACACCGGGCTAATTTTTTTGTATTTTTAGTAGAGACAGGGTTTCACCGTGTTCACCAGGATGGTCTCGATTCCTGACCTCATGATCCGCCCATCTCGGCCTCCCAAAGTGCTGGGATTACACGCGTGAGCCACCGCGCCCGGCCGGATTTCTTTTTAAGAGATTCATAATACCTTGACCTGTGCCCCATTTCCCTCCTCCACCTGTCTGACCTGGCGTCCCTATTTCGGGAGACCAGAAGTAGGGGGAAGAGAAGGGATGACTGTTTCTTTGCTTTCACCATTCCTGGATGCCATGCAAAGGAAAGAATATTGCACTTTTATGTATCTGTTTTATTAAGTGGTTACTCTTCCAAGGACAAAAAAAAATGCAAATTGTTACGAAACTGGTAGTATTTTTAAGTGCAAGTACTACATGCTGCCTTGTTCTTTTACCAATTGCATTTGCATTTTAATGTACTACTGGTACAGCCATGGTTGAGAACAGTTTGGAGGTTCCTCTAAACACTGAAAATAGAGGTATCACATGATCCAGCAATCCCACTGTTGGGTATATACCCCAAAAATAGGAAATGAGTATATCGAAGTAATTATCTGCACTCCCATGTTGGTTGCACCACTGTTAACAATAGCTAAGATTTGGAAGCAACCTAAGTGTCCATCAATAACTTAATGTATTAAAGAAAATCTGGTAGATACACACAGTGGAGTATTATTCAGCCCTAAAAAAGAATGAGATTCAGTCATTTGCAACAACATGGAAGGAACTGGAGATAATTATGTTAAGGGAAATAAGCCAAGCACGGAAAGGCAGACATTGCATGTTCTCACTTGTTTGTGGGATCTAAAAATCAAAACAATTGAACTCATGGACATAGTAAGTACTAGGGAGCTGGGGGGGGGGAAGGCAGGGGATGGGTAATGGGTACAAAAATAGGCAGAAGGAATGAATAAGACATACTATTTAATAACACAACAGGGGGACTCTAGTCAATAATTGTTCATTTAAAAATAACTAAAAGAATGTAATTGGATTGTAACACAAAGGATACATGCTTGAAGGGATGGATACCCCACCCTCCATGATGTGATTAGTTCACACTGCATGCCTGTATCGAAACATCTCATGCACCCCATAAATATATATGCCTATTATATACTCACAAAAATGTTTGAAAATAAAAATAAAGGAACTACTGAAGGTTAGGTCAGAGTCGAAATGCAAAAATACTAATTAGAGAATAATGTGAATACAACAGGAATCCTGTTGGTGTTCTATTTGTATTGTAAACAGCAGCAGTTCAATTGTTTTGTCAAAGCAATTTCAATTTTAATCACTGAGCTAAAGAAATGGGCAACACTGACTTCCGTAATATAGGTTCCACCTAACCATCTCTAACACCGCTGTCAAGGAGGACCAGTGTTAGGGTACATTATTAACAACCACACAAATTTTTAAAAGAAAAGAACACTCTTAGCAGCCTATGGTACTTTTAAATGAACTATTGCCTCTCATTCTAATTCTCACTTGTGTTGCCATTCTAAAAGTTTGAATTTGCTGAGGGTTATATTCTGGGTATTATATAACCATTGGTTCTACTTGGCATAACCCTACTAAATGGTGCTTAGAGCTGAATTACCTACAGAAACTTTCTGGTTTAATTAGCATAAATATTAGTGAGCCCATACTTCTGTGATATAATTATTAAACCAACTTAATGATTCTCACATAAGGTGTGAATTTTACTAATGCATTCATAATCTATGCTTTGTAGCAACATTTTTCAAATGTTTAAAATGCTAAATCTTCTCAATTTTCCAATCTTTTCTTGAATCTATTAGATACCTATAGTTACTGAAAAGCTGGGTAACAAATACACCTAGTTAGAAATGGCACTGCTTTATAAAAGGCACTCAAGACGAGACTATTTCTATACTTAAATGCTGCTGGCAAGTGAATTCCTTTGTATATAAATGAAAGATACCATTCATTAAGATGAAAGACTTGTTTTAAGTGTGGTTCTTACATTTCATTCATGATAGAGTAAATGGCTTTATAATTACTTTAAAATTTAACTCACTAGTATGTTAAATCTGTTCATTGCAAGATTAGAATCAACTGTTAGGGAAACTAATTTAAACAAGCCCTTCCTTAGTCTTTTGAGTCTCATATTTGCTGAAAGTACCTACAGCTTGCAGGATAAGGGAGTTCACGGACCACAGGGTGAGTGAACCCATGCACAAATTGCAAACTGCCCAAAGCTACAACATTCAGGATTTTCAGACCTTTAGTTTTCCAAGTCATAGAAATTTGTTACGAGTTCATCACATCTTTATCTAAATGGCAACTGAATTTCTTTAAAGATAGGTTTAAAAAAGGCATAAAACTATGAACTATTATCCATTTGTGTGCCTCTATTTTTGCTTTAGAATTATGGAAGTGGACCCTGCGCATTTGGGAAACACTGTTATGCATACACATGGGTGAAAAAAAATCTAATATTGTGTAAATTAAAATACTTTTTTTGAAGTTGAAAAGCATCCATTTGTTCTAAATCTATATATATTATGTGTATCTAGTACAGAATAAGCTGTAACTTCTCATTGAGGAATCTTAGGTTTTTACAGATATGTAAAGCTAAAACAACTCTAAAGAGTAGACACTTCAGAACAAGAAGGTTCTGGTCAATGTTGAGAGCAGACACTTTCACTGAAGGTTCTGGTGAAATGTGGGTAACTAATTGCTCGAAATCTGTAATTTGCTATATAGTTAACTATTAAGTTAAAATGTCATTTACCATGCTTTTTACACTAAAAGCTTTAACTTTTCTGATAAAATAATATTTTAAATGTTCAATTATTACTTCTGAGGAAAGCTACTTCTAGCATTCTTTGTCATGATGTGCTTGTGTGCAGTAAGTGGAGCATTTTCAGCTACTTACCTCTACATTCTTCCAGTTTTTCAGTTTCTGATTTAGCTTATAAAAGGCAAATGATCAATTTAATTTGATACTCAGAATTGTGTTTACCTTTAATGGACAAATATATGTCAGATACTTTGGGGTTTATTGATATGACACTGTGTGGTTAAACAACGCAAGTATGTCCATGTGTTTCTTACAGGGTACACTTGAAACTAGTAGTGTTTATGCAGCTCACTTATGTAACTTGAAAATCTGGTACTATTGCATTCAGGACTGAAATCTTGGAGTTTAGGTGTCTTGTCTCTCATTTTGAAAGTAAGTGAAAGTTGAGAATGTAAAATCTATAAAGTTCATTTTTTTAACTAGGAAAAAAACACAAATTAATGACAGAAACCAAATTACAAATCCAAAAAGCTCAGAGAACACCAAGCAGGATGAATATTTTTGAAATATAACTAGGAATATCATATTCAAACTGTAGAAAACCTATAACAAAGATAAAATATTAAAATAAGGCAGAGGAAGAAACATATTGTCTACAGAGAAACAGACGTAAGAATTACATTGGACTTCTGTTTAGAATCCATGCAAGTAAGAAGTGTTGAAAAAAATTAGAATACAGTGGGTATTTATTATCCAAGTATTCATTATCTAAAACTGCAAAGCAAAAATAATTGTAACAAGAACATATTCACTAGCAATCTGAGCACTCATGATATTAGTGACTGTTCTGGAGAGAATTATGTCCCCCCAGAATTCCTAACCTGAAGCCCTATCTCCCAGTGTGACTGTATTTGGAGAAGGAGCTTTTAAGAAGGTAAAGGTTAAATAGGGGCAAAAGGTTAAGGCCCTAATCTGTTAGGACTGGGGTCGTCATCCAAAAAGGAAGAGACACCAGAGATATCTCTCTCTCTCTCTGCCTCCCTCCTCCTCTCTCCCTCCCTCTCTCCCTCTCCCCACATGCATTTGTTAATTTGAGGTTTTTTGTTAGAACATATATAGTGGCATTTTAATAAAGTGTTACTCTACTTAAAACACTCACACACACATATACATACAATTTTGATAAATTCTTTTTTGAGAATAAGGCCAGGCATGGTGGCTCACACCTGTAATCCCAGCACTTTGGAAGGCTGAGGCAGGTGGATCATCTGAGGTAAGGAGTTCAAGACCAGCCTGACCAACATGGTGAAACCCCATCTCTACTAAAAATACAAAAAATTAGCTGGGCGTGGTGGCGGGCATCTGTAATCCCAGCTACTCAGGATGCTGAAGCAGGAGAATCCCTTGAACCGAGGGGGCGGAGGTTGTGGTGAGCCAAGATTGTACCATTGCACTCCAGCCTGGGCAACAAGAGCAAAACTCCATCTCAAGAAAAATAAAACAAAATAAAAATTAAAAAACACAAAACTGGGATGTGTCCCTGTCTTTTAGGAAGATATAACTTTACCATTACTAAAATTGAGCCTCAGAAACATTAATCATGCTACACAAACTTAGCTGGAAATGGATACTGAAATGGAACTTTGAATCCAAGATGATTTATTTTGAATCCCATGCTAATGCCGTTAACTCCTATAGACCCTTCTCAGGTGCAGCCAGAGACACACTAGCCCACTGATGGACGGACAGACGTGGACAGGGTCCATCTCACTAAACCACCCACCACTGCCACAGCTGCCTACAACAGACACATCAGATGAGACTCCAGGCAAATACATAATTTTCACTGAGGACTTATTGGTTTTAAGAATAGGTCCTGGTGTAGAGAAGTCCCTCAACCTACTGTGCAACATGTTTTGAGAAGCGGGTAAGCTATATGTTTTGTGGTTTTGTTTCATAAATGCATCTACAAGAAGACCAGTATTGACTGAATGAAGCTTTTGTTTAAAGGGCTAAAATATGCTTTGTGGTTTTATATGCAGAAACTACTTTAAACCTAATGACTATTAATTGTATCATAGCTTGTGATGTAGTCTGCTCATGGCTTTTAAGGTAAATTGTGCCATGATCCACTGCCATTCTAATTGCTTTAATTAACAAGTCATTACCACACTACTGTTACATCTTAATTATGCATACAGACAGGTAGACTTATTTTACATATGTGAACTAATAGTTGTCAAAGCAAATGCAAATTGTATTCCGCAAGTAAACTCTCTCTGAAATTTCTAGGGATGTTCTTTAAGTGAAATTAATATTCAAACTGAAGATTTTAGTTAAAAGAACTGAGTGCAGATTAAAGTCTTGTTGTGATTTAAACATAGTCAAGAGTACAACTGTGATACTTCATGGAAGTTATGCAATAAAATGTCTCTAACCTGCAAACAAATCTATCAAGCAGACGGCACAGTACTGAATTTGAAACCAGAAATACTGGGTTTTTATATAAATGCTTCATAGATTTGTTTTATGATAAAGGGTACATAACTCTCCTAAACCTCACACCACCTCTTAAATAGGGACAGTAAGTCCACATCAACACGCCTGCCTTAGCTATTATTAAACTCTTACAGTATGATGTAAAGTGAAAGTACAATGTAACATCATTCCTAGGCCAACTTTGTCCAGTTTTATACAGAAACGTGCCAACTTTTCTGTTTGCAAGGATAATATCAAAGCAAACACCAGAAGGTTGTATCTTTGATGCATTTTTTCCAAATCATACACATAATAAACCAAAGACAAATGATGAATATTATTTCAGAAAATATAAAGTCTTCCCCTTTCTTCTTTTGCCAAGGAAGTCTAATATTTTCACCATTTTTATGCACACAATCAACTTTATTTAACCTGGAAGTTAATGTCTCATTGTTTTCATTGTTCTAAATAAACACCTTTTCCCTTGAGTATTGTTCTAAAAATTTTGAAGTCGTCTGAAAAATTTTGTTCTGATTTTTCACGGTTGTGTTGATGATATGCGAAAAGGAATACAGATGGTATTTAATTATGAACAAGAAAAGGTGTTAAATATCATTAGTCATTAGAAATTTGCAAATTAAGACCACAATGACTAACACATATATATCAGAATAGCTAAAATAAAAATAAAACATCAAACGCTGAGGAGCATGAGTAAAAACTAGAGCTTTCACACATTACTGGTGGGAATGTAAAATCGTACAGCTATGCCAAAAAGGAGTATAGTAGTTTCTTAAGAAACTAAAGGAACTCAAGTCCCCAGGCCTGCAGTCTGGGCCAAGGTCACAGGCCCTGGATCAATCAGGATGGGGTTCAAGGGCCTTCCTGGGGCCATCCAGTGTTCAAGGTGCCCTTTGGTGGCCTCATCTGCCCCTCCGCCCCTGAGCACGCCCCTCTGTCCCTCCAATCCTCCCTGTCACAGGGACGTCTGTCACAGAGCCATGCCCCACCTCCTGCTTTCTGGAGATGCCAACTGCCCTCCCCATCTCTGGGTCCTGACCAAGGTGCTCTAATGGACACCCCCTGACCCAGGTCTCAGGGAGCTGCCAGCACGATGGGTCCCTAAAGCTGAGATCCAGCAAGACACATGTGGCCTGAGGGTCCCACTCTCTGGCTGGCAGAACCCAGAGGTGGGAGCACACTGGAGTGTCCTTCAGGGCATCTTCACCCCATGAGAGGGCTGGGGGCTTTGGGAGTTTGCAGCTGGCAGGAGTGAGGGCCCAGTCTCCTATCTCTGATGCGTCCTTGGTCAAATCCTGTGCCTCAGCCTGCAGGGCCTATCGTGGTCACCACATGAATGTGTTCCCTTAGTCTGGGAGCCCCAAGCAGGCAGCACCCCCTGCCAACGACTTCAGGGCACCTGGAAGTGGAGGCTGAGAAGTCTCCCACTTCGCAGAGCTGGGCTCTGGCCCAGAGGCCTTCTCGTTGGCTCAGGTGGTCTCTCGGGCTCCTGGGGCCACAGATCAGGGGACAAACACGGGCAGCTCTGCTCTGCTCTGCCTAAAGAGAGGTGCCCAGTGAATGCAGGTTCCAGACAAAAGGTGGAGCCTGGCATCCTGCCCTGCGTGTGGGCTCCAGCCTGCTGCCATCTGGGGAAACTGAGTCATGGCGAGGCTCGAGGATGTTTCTCAGACCACACCAGTCCCTGAAGGTCCCCTGACCTCCCAATTTTGATGGACAGTAAGAAGAGGTTCCCAGGCCGCCTGCCACAGGTTCTGACTCGGCCTGGGTTAGGGTAAGTCTCCGGGCTGCTGTCCTCAAAAGCCCCATCAGGAGGCTGTGTCAGGCCAGGCGCACCGTGGTGACAGCAGCATGGACTGAGGGTTCTGGCCGCGGGAGAGGCCAGGACGGGGGGAGGTCAGGTCCAGGAGGAGGGCACTGGCCGGCACATGGTGGGGCTGGAGAGACCCTGGGCGGGGTGGTGGGAATGGCCCAGGAGGAGCTCCGGCTCCTGTGGCTGGAGTGAGGGTGTGGGCTGTGGTGGGAGAGGGGGTGAAGGTGGAGAGAACAGGGGCCCAGAGGTCTGTGCTGTAGGAAGGGTATGGACTTCCTAGTGAGGACTTTCTGGTGGGGGGCTCTCAGAGAAGAGGAGGCCGGAGGGGCTGGGGGTCCCCAGGACTGCATGCGCCAGGCAGACGGAGGGGAGGCCGAGCCAGGAGCCGCAGGCTTCTCAGTGCCAGACCAACGTCGCCCTCCGCTGGCCGTGTGGGGAATCGCGCCTAGGCTGGGGCTCCCCTGGCCCCAGGTTAGGGGGACTCCGATGTGTCCTGGGGCGCTTCCTGCCCATCCAGCCTCCGCCAGGCAGCCTGGCCCTGAATGGCTTTGAGGGCAGCCTCCGCAGCACAGGACCTGCCTCCGCCCTGTGGGGCAGATTTGGGCGTCTGACTCTGGACACTTACCCAGAGGCTGAATTCAACTCCCCAGCGAAGAGCACACTCAGACTCCCTCCCCGCTGTGCCCAGCCTGAGGGGACCCTGGCTTGGACTTGGGAGGAGAAGGCCAGAGGCCAGGGCCTGGCTCTCAGGCACTAGGTGCAGGAGAAAATGGAGCAGAGTTCCTGCAGGAACTGCCTCAGACTGCCCCCGAGGGGACCTGGCCTGGAACCCTCCCTGTGCTACCAGGCTGCTGTTGGGGCCAGGAGGGCAGGGAGAGCAGCCACCTGTACGGCATCAAGTAACACTATCAGTCAGCACACCCAACACCCACACGACAGCCACAGCCCTCTGCCCTGAGGTGGCTGCAACTGAGCAGAGTCTCCTGTCTTGTTCACCCTGAGCGCGGAGCTCCGCACAGGACAGGATCAGAGCGCAAACCAGGAACAAATGGATGAACCAAGGAAGGGGCCAGGGCAGTAGGTCCCCACCCACACCCTGAACCCTAAGGGTGGGACTCAGAGGCTGGAGACGGGCTGGCCCCAGGATCCTCTAAGTGACAGGAACCCTTGGCCACTGTTGATTGCCCCGAGGCGGGGACAGGGATGGTGGGGCTGGGGCTGCCTGGCCCTTTAAGAGGGCAGTTCTGCCCACCACCCTGAATGCCCCTCCCCTAGCTACTGGAGAAGAGATCCCGTTTCTTGGCAACAGGAAGCTCTTGGTTTACACAGTGTCACCCAAGCGACTGGGAGCCGCGTCCTGCTCTGGGACTGAGCCGTTGGAGCTGCCCCGCTGACCGCACTAGGCTGACCGCAACCGGCTGACCACACACAGTCCTCACTCCCCTGGCCCTGGTGGGCGGCAGGCACCATGGCGCAGACAGTGCCGCCCTGCGAGCTGCCCTGCAAAGAGTACGACGTGGCCCGTAACACGGGCGCCTACACGTCCTCCGGCCTGGCCACCGCCAGCTTCCGCACCTCCAAGTACCTGCTGGAGGAGTGGTTCCAGAACTGCTATGCTCGCTACCACCAGGCCTTCGCCGACCGCGACCAGTCGGAGCGGCAGCGGCACGAGAGCCAGCAGCTGGCCACAGAGACCCAGGCGCTGGCGCAGCGCACGCAGCAAGACTCCACGCGCACAGTGGGCGAGCGACTGCAGGACACGCACAGCTGGAAGTCGGAGCTGCAGCGTGAGATGGAGGCGCTGGCTGCGGAGACCAACTTGCTCCTGGCCCAGAAGCAACGGCTGGAGCGCGCCCTGGACGCCACAGAGGTGCCCTTCTCCATCACCACTGACAACCTGCAGTGCCGTGAGCGCCGCGAGCACCCCAACCTCGTGCGCGACCATGTGGAAACGGAGCTGCTGAAGGTGCCAGCACCCTTGGGTGGCCGGGATTTGTGGGCGCAGAGAGGAGGAGCCCCCCCCCCCGCAGTTCATGTGGACAAGCCACGTGGCTGCTGCAAGCACGCGGGAGCCCAGCCCTCTGCACGTGAGACCCCTGAGTCCCGAAATCTGGCCCCTTAGTGACAGGAGGCAGCTTTGCCCCAGAAGACCCCTGACTTCCAAGCAGCTGTTTCTCCTCTCCTCCTCTAATCCCTTTGAGTCCTGGCACAGTCATCCTGACCCTGGGCTCCCTGGGCTAAGCCACAAGGCACCTCCCCAGAGACCCTCCCTCGCTGGGACAGTTGCTCCCAAGGTGGAAACCCAGGTCTGGGCCAGCACTGCAGGTGTGGACAGGTAAGGTGGGGTGGGCTGGGAGCCACTGCTCCCATTCATCCTATACAGAGCCGGGGACACAAAGATCTGCACCCACAGGTCCCCTCTCCTCCATGTCCCCTATAACTTCCCAATCCACCCCAGCTTGTCTGTGGGGCAGCCCCACAGGGTGAGAGAGTAACTCAGTCCTGGCCCAGATGCTGGCTCTGGAGAATTCTCTGACCTCTCAGAGCCTGGGGCCTCCCTGAGAACCACTACAGGCCTGTAGACATTCGTGAAAGATGTGGGGTGGGGGCAGCTGGTCTCCTGCCATACCCCAAGCTCAGGCAAGAACCCTTGAGTCCCTCCCTCCCCTCATGCCTTCCCTCCTCCCTTCTTTACCCTTCTGCAGGCCCTTCCCCCTGCACTCTCTCAGTGCCTCAAGAACTCCTGCAGCTCCCGCAAACTCTCTGCCCGCAACAAGGGCACCTGCCAACTGATGGAGACACTGACAGTGCACGGAGAGGCAAACCCAGGGATAGAGGGGCGCAGGACCCGGGCCCTGGCACACAAGGAAGTACCCAGTGGTTGAGGCAAAGACCCCAATCACAGAGAAAAGGCTTGTTCCTACACACAGCAAATTAAACTGGCCAGGCAATAAGAAGAAACACAGGGTCCTTCTCCTGTTCTTGGTGTGAAGATGGCCTTTCCCAGCACAGAGCCCTGAGGGGCAGCCTGGGCGGGCATCTGGGCCCCCAGAGTTTGGGTCCTCAGGGGCTGTCCAGAGGCCAAGGGCAGGCCAACGTTCCCAGGTGCACTGAGTGAGCAGCAGCGATGACTCCTGAAGCCTGGGGCGTGGGAACTGCCGCTGAGGGACCTTCCCAGCAGCCCACAGAAGGCCCTGGAGGAAAACACCCCACTTACAACGCACCAAGGAGAATGCCCAAAAGCCCAAGATAAACCCAGTGAGAGAGCAGAACTTACACAGTCAGAGCTCAGGCCCGGCATTCAACTCCTTGTGGTTGCTCAGGTGTTGACCAAGGCCTGCAGCAGCTGGGCCTCCTGGGATCCTCACCAGGGACTGGCTCTGGTGCTCAGGGCGTCTCCTCCCTCAGGAAGCCGAGCTCATCCGGAACATTCAGGAGCTGCTGAAGAGAACCATCATGCAAGCAGTGAGCCAGATCCGGTGGGTAGAGGGCTGCCCAAGGGATGATTCCTGACCCTACCCACAGCTGGTCCTGGGGCAAGGCATTGAACGACAGGACCCTGAGACTCAGAGCCAGCAGGGGCTGCCCCAGGTCACAGTGGAGCGCAGGACTGGGTGGGGGAGGTTCCGGCGCAGCCTGAGGTTGAGTGGCCAGAGCCCAGTGCCACATCTGATCTGCAGCCTCCCAGCCTGGGCCGCAGCTCCTGGTCACTGCTGAGCACGAGGGCTGCCCGGGACAGGCCCACCCAGAACTCCCTCCTGAGGCAGGCATTGGGGCCCAGCCTGCAGCACAGAGGGTCCCCAGCAGGGCCCTCCCTGGGCACACATCAAGGCCCTGCCCCACCCCGCCCCAGACTGAACCGGGAGCACAAGGAGACCTGCGAGATGGACTGGTCAGACAAGATGGAGGCCTACAACATCGACGAGACCTGCGGGCGCCACCACAGCCAGAGCACCGAGGTGCAGGCTCATCCGTACTCCACCACCTTCCAAGAGAGGTGGGCCCCAGCTCTGCCCCTGCACTTGCCCTGGCTGTGGTCTCGCCTCCCTCTGCCTGGGGGCCCCAGCGGCGCTGCTTTCACCAGCCTGGCCCGGAGGCCCTCGCCCCCGAGGGCACTTGGGCAACTGTCTGCCCCTGGCATGAGCAAGCGACCAAGACCTCCTCAAATGTCCAGCGCGTGCACAGCCTGGCTGCCGGCAGACAGGACAGAGTAGGGTGGGGTCAGACCCAGGCGCTGGCAGGATTGCGTTTCCGCCCAAGGCCAGCAGAGGGAGCCTGACCACCGCCCACTAGAGGGCGGCAAACTCCTGGGAGCAAAAAGAGGGCGCGGGCGCTGGGTACTAGGGAAGGGGGGCTGCGGGGGCCGGAGGTGCTGCAGAGGGGGCCTCCGGGGCAGCGGTGCTGGGAACGGGGTCGCGGGGGCACGAGGGGACTAAGTGCCCGGGGTGGGTAGGGTGTGGGGGGACTCAGAGAAGTTGTGGCCAGGGGGCACTCGGGGGCAGGGAGCCTGAGGGACTGGGCTTTGTGGGGCAGCATGGGGTGCATCGGAGTCCATGCACGTCCTCCAGGAGCATGGGGCGCGGACAGGGCATGGGGGCGCAGCAGGGCTCCCAGCCTTCGGCAGAGCCTCCCCGACCCTCTCCTGGCTGTCCCCCGCCCCGCAGCGCCTCCACCCCGGAGACCCGGGCCAAGTTCACGCAGGACAATCTGTGCCGTGCCCAGCGCGAGCGCCTGGCCTCGGCCAACCTGCGGGTGCTGGTGGACTGCATCCTTCGCGACACCTCCGAGGACCTGCGGCTCCAGTGCGACGCCGTGAACCTGGCCTTCGGGCGCCGCTGTGAGGAGCTGGAGGACGCGCGGTACAAGCTGCATCACCACCTGCACAAGGTGGGGCACCCTGAACCCCGAAGACGGCCCCCTCTCATCACCTGGCCTGGGCCCTCAACACCTTTCTCCTCTGTCCCATTTATCCCGAGGGACCCCAGAAGCAAGTGTCTCCTCTCCGTAAACCTATGTAAAACCAGGTGACACTGGGTATGATCGACCGGTGTTGCCACCCCTATGACTCAGCAGGAGGAGCTGTGGGGAGGATGGAGGCAGGAGGTGGTCTGGGGAACACTGACCGCCCGGGAGGTCCCCAAGAGTCCTGGCCTGGCAGGCAGGGCTCTGAATCTAGGGTCTCAGCGTGGCCTTTACCACCTCTGAGTCCCCAGTCCTTGAGCAGGATTCAGGTCCTGGTGACCACCAAGGATGGGGGTTCTTGGACCACAGCTAAGGGACAACAGGCTTCCTGACTCTCCAGAGCCCACTGGGGGCCCCGTGCACATTGTTCCCCTCATCCACGCCTCCCCAGGGCCACTGGTCAGGACTGCCCTCTGGACACAGCCCCAAGACCTGGGTAGGACCAGCCTGGTCTCGGCGTTCTATATACCCGGGCATGGGGGCACAGGCCCAAGGAGAACTGTCCTGTCTGCAGACACTGCGGGAAATCACAGATCAGGAACACAACGTGGCGGCACTGAAGCAGGCCATCAAGGACAAAGAGGCACCTCTGCACGTAGCCCAGACCCGGCTGTACCTGCGCTCGCACCGGCCCAACATGGAGCTGTGCCGTGACGCAGCCCAGTTCAGGTGCTGCCTGGGCCTCTGAGGCAGTCCCAGGTGGCCCTGTCCACCTCCTCCCTGTGACTCTCTCCAATAAACACTCCAACACCCCGCACACACATCCCCCGCAGGTGCTGAGAGGGGAGGGAGACTTTGGGGCCACACACAACAAGCAGGCATGCCTTAAACACACAGACATACACATGACACTGGGCAGGTCATGGGTCGGGGGGCTCCCAGTGCCAGGGACCTGTGCCCACGTGGTCTCACCCCACCCTATGCTACCTCATCTTCCCGGGAGGAAGCTCCTTCAGACAAGGTGAGCTCCAGGAGGCCACAGAGCCAGAGAGGCCAGGCAGGGCCATTCCCTGCTGCCCTGAGCGTGCTGTCCACACCTCTGGTGGGAAGTATGACCTACGCCTGCGCTACAGGCATAGATGTGCCGTCCTTTTGTTTCCCTTGATAACGGATGCCCGGTGGCCCCTTCTAAGTACCTTTCTTCTTTCCCTGCCCCTCAGTTCCTTCAAGGAACTGGGGGCCTCCTTCCATCAAGTATCAGGAATGGAAAGAACTGAGCCTGGTCGGCTGAGGCCAGTCCTGTCCTGCCAGGGTCGAGATTGCACACGGGTCACTCATTCCCACTCAGGCCCACGCTCCCTGGGAGGACCCTCGTAATTTATGCTCTGCCCTAGAGCTGCTTTCCTGATGGGGTTCTTTCATGGAGTCTTCCCAGGACCTCCTGCCAGCTCCCATTGGGAGTTTTGGGTCCCCTACACCCCGGTAGGTGCATACTTCTGCCCTCCCTAGCCCCGGCTCACACCCCCCCAACACCCCCAGGCTGTTGAGTGAGGTGGAGGAGCTGAACATGTCCCTCACAGCACTGCGAGAGAAGCTTCTAGAAGCGGAGCAGTCCCTGCGCAACCTCGAGGACATCCACATGAGCCTGGAGAAGGACATTGCCGCCATGACCAACAGTCTCTTCATCGACCGCCAGAAGTGCATGGCCCATCGTACTCGCTACCCCACCATCCTGCAGCTGGCTGGCTACCAGTGAGCAGCGGCACGGTGCTTCCCCCCAGTCCCCCAAATAAACAGCGCGTTAGCTTTCTGCACAGTGTGTGTGTGTGCACGGTGGGACCTCGAGTTGCTGTCCATCTGAACTGGCCTTTGGGTCCCCTGTGAGGCTGGCTCTGCCTATGGACTCATCATCCTAACAGTTGGAGATGAGGGGTCAGAGCCAGAACCAGGAATCCCTGTGCCTGAGAGGACAGGAAGTGCCCAGGTGGGGACTGGGGCTCCACAGCACAGCTCAGGTGTGGGCGCAGACGGTGTGTCCAGCTCAGAGCCAGGCCATCCAGCTCCTCCCTCCCCACTTCCCCACCAGTGCTGGCTCCTCCATTCCTTCACCAGGGTCTTAGGACCATGGGACATCTTTGGGACCTCTGCATCTCCCCAACTCCTCCCCCTGCACCTCCAGGCCCCCAGCCTCAGCTCACATACTCCTGTGGACAGGGCGCTTACTCTGCTAGAAGCTTGTCTGGCTGCTAGGTGCACCTGCTGGGGTGATCCTCCAGGCAGGCCCCACCCAGAAGCGCCCGCTTCAGCATCCCCTCTCTGTCCCCAATGACAGTGTGTACCTGAGCTCAGCCCAGCCCAGCTCTCAGTGCCCACGACCCCTGAGGCTCAGATGGGCAGATCGGCAGGGGTACATGGAGTTCCCTCCTGGGTGTAGGCCCAGTGTGGGGAGAGGGGCCTGAGAACAGCCCAGAGTGGGCATCCACCTGGAGAGCATGTGGGTGGGGGTCCCATCTCCAACATCCAGGCCCACAGGGCTCTTGTCTCAGCCTGGAGGGGACCAGGAGGTAACAGCCCCTTCCCCCAATCAACCACAAGGACACCCAGCTGGGCAGCTCTGTGAGCTGGGTGGGGTCAGCCAGGTGGAAGTTGCTGCTGGGGGTTGCTGGGAGGAGAGGCATGGGCTGCCTTTCACGTGGGGCTAACTCAGACCTCTCTCCCCGACCTGCTAGGACCCCTCCAGAGGCCACTGCTGAACATGAAAAACACTACTGCTGTTCACTGGGGGAGGTGATAATGTTGACTGCAGGCAGTTGCCTCGGGGAGGAGCCCTCTTGGGAATCTTACTCAGCCTGGATGGGGAGAAATCTGGAAGAGGCTGTGTGTGAGCAGGCAGTGCAGGGAGGGCTTCCTGGAGGAGGGAGCCTGGCTTCCACCGCACAGGCCAAGGCACAGGGGCTGGGACCAGGGAAGGAGGTGTCTGGGCTGGGTCTCTCGCTTTATCTCGCTCTGGTTCACTGCAATAGGCTCATTGCTAACCAGGCCCGTCCCTCCCCAGCTCCAAACCCGACTATCAGGCAGGGAGGATTCTTCTACCCACCTGGCCACTCTCGGAGATGCAGACCCAGACCCTGGAGGGTGGGCCCAAAAGCTTCCAGGACCTTCTCTCCAGTGCAGATTCAGGGGGAAATGTCACTTCCTGTCACCACGGAAGCCGCACTACTACTTGTCGCAAACCACCAGTCACTACAGTAACACCCAAGCCCACTCTTATTCTTTGGGGTGCCATTTAAATTCGCCCTGGATGCTGTTACCATGGGGCTTTGACAGCCAGGAGCAGAGGCAGTGGGACACAGCAGCCAAGCCTCACCTGGGGGCTGCAGACAGTTCGTGTCCTGTCCATGTAGCTCCTCAAAGCTGCTCCAGGACACCAGGCAGGAGCTGAGGCAATGACCTGCCCAGGGAACACCAAAGAACCATCTCCCTGCAATCACCCCCAGCACAGGGAAAACCTGTAGTGAAGCAGATGGTGGTGAACTCAAAGGCCCCTGAGCTGGGGGGAGGTTGTTGGGTGGGGGCTTCACTCCCTGCCACCCTAGACACGATGGCCAGGGAGGGGTCAGGTGTGTGTGGGTGGTGGCTGCAGAGCCCTCCCTGCCTGCTGCAGGGGGATGCAGGTGGTCCAACACCATCCTGGGCCTGGTCAGCCCCGGTGCCAGCCTCAGCACAGTAGCGAGGAGTCCCCCAGGAGAGCCAGGAACCTCCATGGGAGGTGGGTGGGGGCGAGGCCCCCCCATGCTGTGCCCACCCCAGCCTCAGAGGGAGCTGCTGGCACTGTCCCCTCTTGAGCAGCAGCGCTTTTCCCGGACTCTAGGGAAGTAGCCATTAAGAGGCCCAAGAAACAATGGCTCCCTCCATGCAGGCCCCACACTCAGGCTCCCATTATCGCCCAGGCCCAGGTGGCACTGCCCAGCCCTGTCGGGTCCTCATCAGGCTCAGGACCTCCTTGTCCCACCCTGGAGGGGGTGGCTGATGGAGAGCTGAGTGTGGGGGGTGCCAGGGGAGGGGGCCTGGGAGAAGTGTTTCATCTCTGATGCCAGATGGTGGCACCAGGCTAGGAGGCACCGAGCTAGGTGCCATCCTGAGCACATGGCAGGTTTTAACTCCTTCAGGCCTCATGACAGCCTCACTATCACATGCATTTTACAGCAGGGAAAACTGAGGCCTGAGGGTCCCTGCGCCCACTGTGCTCCCACCCCAGTAACAGGTTGATGCAGGGGAGGCTAATGACAGCAGTGATGTACGTCACTCCCAGCTAGAGAGAGGCCAACGCCCCTGGCCTGTAAGCTTCATGACTCAGTGCAGAGCCAGCACCTGGGGCTGCTGGGCCAGAACTCTGAGGGCCGTCTCCTCATGCTGAATTCCCTACTGACTTCCAGATTGTCCAACCCCAACCCCTGAGGCCATCTGGACAGTGGCAGCTGCTGCTAACCCACAGGCCCCTCTGTGGAGTCCCTATCGGCCTGGCCTTGAGCTGCTACCCATGGTGGAGAGCAGGTGTGGCTTGCTCCAGCCAGGAAGCCTCTGGGCTCCTGGGGATTGGGAGAGTGGCCGGGGGTGATTCAGACCTCCAAAGTGGGCAGGAAGGTGGATGGCCCACACTGGGCTGTTCTCAGGCCCCTCTCCCCACACTGGGCCCACAGCCCAGCCACCCTGGGCTTCTAGCACAAGGATAAAGGAGGCTCCAGCAGCTCTTGCCTGGAAAAGACTGTGGTACCTCCTGTCCCCGACAGTTCAGGGAGGGAGGGGTTGCTGGGGGCTGCTGGCCCGTGGCTGTTACTGACCGGGTCAGGGTGGGAATGGAGAGGTCCAGGCCCTGACATCTGCGGGGTGCAGGTGGGATGTGCCCCAGCTGCAGCATGGCCCTCTCCCAACCCCAGCCTGTCCTGACCCTCAGTGACCCACACCCTAGAGTCAGAGCTGTGTTCTGTCCTCTGCGGAATCCAGTGGAGCCTGGACACAGCTGCCCCCCTCCGTGTTGGGGTCACCCTCGGCTGTCCCACGTCGGGGTTCCCTCATCTGCCCCCTTGTGCAGTGGTTCCTAGAGATCACTCTCACAAGCATCACATGCATGGCTCAAGGTCAGCACCAGTGCCCCTGGTGCAGTGCCCGCTGTCCAGCCCACACCGGCCACCCTGGGGGGCGCAGTGGAGCCTGCGGTAACAGGAGCCTCGCTCCTTCAGGCCCCACTCCCCTTCCACACAGGCTGGCCGCTGGACTGAGGCTCATGGGCTGCCTGCCTTGTGCTAAAAATGGATCCCCAGACTTTCTGGGTTTAATAATACAATCCTGACCTCCCCAGGGCCCTCCCCATTTTGTGGGAGCACCCCAAACATCTTCCACTGGAAAAATAGGCCACATAAGCCCAGGCATCCAGGAGCCCAAGGTCTGATGCCCAGGGAGGGAAGGGCTTTCCAAGGCTCTTCCCCCAGTGCCCAGCACCCCTGCCAGCATCCCACAGTACAGTGGGGGAGGTGCTGTTGGGTGTCCATTGGGAGCCAGCCCCAGGGGCACAATGTACAGCAGCACTTTCCTGTCGTCATGGCTACACTGCAGCCATGAGTGACCAGGGCTGTTTCTGTCCAGGAGACACGCTGTCCCGCCCCGTACACTCACCCTCTGCTCTCCCTGCCCACCCTACTCTGGCCTGGCCTGGGGTCCCCGAGCCTCAGTGGCTCAGCCACCAGCCCCGCCAGCTGCCTGCCCAAACGGATGCTCCCCAGGCCACCCAGACCCGAGGGACTGGAGAGAGCTCTTCTCCTGGCCATTCAACCACCCCTCAGCCTCCCTCCACCCTGCCCTGCATTTGGAGAGTCTCTGTGACCCATCCTCCACACAAGGAACTCACAGGAATGCCCCTCTCTTTTCAGGGACAGGTCTGCTGGCATCAGGGAGCATTGAGGGAAGCACATGGAGAGGGGGACTGGGGTCCCCCATGACTGTGCCCCAGCAGCCTCCCCCACTACCTTCCCCAACAGGGGATGCTCCCAGACACTTCTGAGCTGCCATGGGTGCCCATTTCACAGGTAGGGAAACCAAGGCTCAGATCCAGGGAGCTGCATTTATGTGCGCCTCCACCCGTCTTTCTCCACAAGCCCCAGGAGCTCAGGGGCAACAATGGGGACTATGGGGAGCCCGTGCCCTGCCTGCCCCAACCCTGCCACAGGCCCACAGGCTCCCCCTGGGGATGTGGCTGCCCACCTGCGAAGCTGTGTCCTCATCACTCAGGTCTGAGCTGTGCAGAGCTGGTTCCAGTGGCTGCAGGAACCACAGTCGCAGACCTGGAAGAAGCAAGGATCCTCCCCAAGAGTCTGCAGAGGGAGCGCATTTCTGCCCACACCTTGATTTTGGACTTGTGGCCTCCAGAACTGTAAGAGAATAAATTTCTGATGTTGTAAGCCATCACTACAGCAGCCCGCGAACACTAACGTAGCTCAATACGTCCAGGCTCCTCTCTCTGTTTGTTGTTGTTCTAGGTTTTTCTGAGACAGGGTCCGGCTCTGTCCCTCAGGCTGAAGTGCAGTGGCACAATCACAGCTCACTGTAACCTCCATCCCCTGGGCTCAAGCCATCCTCTTGCCTCAGCCTCCCCCCACAGCTGGGACTACAGGCAGTGTTGCCATGGCTGGCCAACTTTTAAATTAGGTAACCCTTCCCAATAACTTTCACGATTAGTTAACATCTTCTACCTTCCTATTTATTTTCCCCTTTTTAATACAAACACATGCCCATTAAATAAGCAAAATAGGAAAAAATTTTAATCACCCAAAGCCCTACCATCTACTTACCAGAGAGACAATAATGGCACAAGGATATACTGCCAAATTACACTAACTTTTAGTAATCCAAAGCAATAGAAAAATCTCCAGTTTTCAATTTATTCTTCTTAGATTTCTAATCAAGAAAACCTATTTTCTATACTAATGCAAATACATACAAAAGGAAAAGACACACTTATGAAGCAAAGGGATGAACTGGAGTCCTAATGTTACGAGAGGCTGGTAGTCATTTATTTGTCATCACTGAGGTATTTTCAGAAAATAGCCATGGTTCCCAGAACTTTAACAAGCACAATGATCCACTCTTAGATACTTGAAAGTCAGATAAGAAGACATCTATCCCTTAACTAGTTGTTATGCACTATATGTGAATAAAACCATATAATTTAAATTTCCTCAATTAATTCTCACAGACAGTACGCAACCTCACATCACCATGATCTTTTACATAAATGTCAATGTTCTATTGTAAATCGTGACAGACTATCTACATAGAATACTCATGATTTACAATTTGAGATTGTCAACCCAGCCAGTAACCTGTGTAGCACTGAATTCAAATACCAGAAAGAGGACCCAGATTCCCTCACCACCTAGCAGAGCTCAAGTGAGCTACACAGCCCGGTAGGAAATGGGGACTAAGTAAAAGGTTGTAAGCAGGTACTACTATAGTCAGATGAGTTTTTGACAGGTTATTCTAAAAGCACTGAGAAAAGAAAACTGTTGTAATATTCCAGATAAGATCACTTGGTCTGTAAAAGGACAGTGTCAAGGATATAGAAAAGAACCATCAAGGAATTTCAGAGGGTAACCTGGATGTGATTATATAGTACCACATCAAATGATCATCAAGCTCAAAGAAGGCACAGGGGAGCAGGAGGCTGCTTTCCCCAGGTACTGTCTTTCCCAGGCTTGCCCAGCAGTCCTGGAAACTGACATACACACACACACACACACACACACACACACACATATACACACACACACATATATATACTTGTTCTTTGCCATCTGATCACACTAGAAATGCCTGAAAATAAACCAGTTCCAGTATTAGTACAAACACTGTGACTAGTGTCCTGAGGACCGCTTTGATTGATCTCATTATCCCTGCTTTCTAATCTAACCTCCATCTCCTGGGCTCAAGCCATCCTCTTGCCTCAGTCTCCCCCCCATAGCTGGGACTACAGGGAGTGTTGCCATGTATTAAATATTAAATCTGAAAATTAAGTGAGAAAAGATTTAAAGAATGGCAAAAAGAGACAGGAAGAGAGATTTTAGGATGTTACTGCTGTGTTGGTAAGAGATAAAAAATAAATGTCTTCCTCCAGCGTGGCAATACCTCAAGGATCTAGAACTAGAAATATTTGACCCAGCCATCCCATTACTGGGTATATACCCAAAGGATTATAAATCATGTTGCTATAAAGACACATGCACACGTATGTTTATTGCAGCTCTATTCACAATAGCAAAGACTTGGAACCAACCCAAATGTCCATCAATGATAGACTGGATTCAGAAAATGTGGCACATATACACCATGGAATACTATGCAGCCATAAAAAAGGATGAGTTCATGTCCTTTGTAGGGACATGGATGAAGCTGGAAACCATCATTCTGAGCAAACTATCGCAAGGACAGAAAACCAAACACCACCATGTTCTCACTCATAGGTGGGAACTGAACAATGAGAACACGTGGACACAGGAAGGGGAACATCACACACCGGGGCCTGTCATGGGGTGGGGGGAGGGGGGAGGGATAGCATTAGGAAATATTCCTAATGTAAATGATGAGTTAATGAGTGCAGCACACCAACATGGCACATGTATACATATGTAACAAACCTGCACATTGTGCCCATGTACCCTAGAACTTAAAGTATAATAAAAATAAAAAATAAAAAAAAAAGTCTTCCTCAAGTTTACCATCAAAAAGTGCTATACATGATTTGCAAGTATTTTCTTCCATCTTGTGGGTTGTCTTTTCAGTTTCTTGATGGTGTCCTTTGAAGTGCAAAAATGTTTAATTTTGATGAAGTCCAATTCATCAATTTTTATTCTTGTTGCTGGTCTCATATTTAAGAAAACTTTGCCAAATCCAAGGTCATGACAACTTACTCCTGTTTGCTTCTCAGGATTTTATAGTTTTAGTCCTTACATTTATGTGGATTCACTCAAAATGGATCCATTTGATCCATTTTTTTTTTTGCATCGTTTTTGTACATGGTGTTGGGTAAAGGTCCTACTCCAGGTTTTGCATATGTTTACATATCTAGTTGTCCCTGGGCCAGTTTTCAAACTTCTTTCCCCACTGAATAATCTTGGCACCCCTGTCAAAAATCAGTTGGTTATATATGTATGGGTTCATATCTGACTGTCAATTCTATCCCACTGGTCTATACATCTACCCTTCTGCCAGTATTATATTGTCCTTATTACCATTGTCTTGTAGTAAGTTATAAAGTCAGTAAGTATGAGTTCTCCTACACTGTTCCTCATTTTCAAAAGATTATTTTGGCTATTCTCAGTCCCTTACAATTCCATATGAATTTGAGAGTCAGCTTGTCGATTTTACAAAGAACTCATCTGGGATTCTGACAGGGATGAAGTTAAATCTGTAGATGAGTTTACGGAGGACTGCCATCTTAAATGTTAAGCCTTCGGTCCATGATCATGGGATACTTTTACATTTATTTAGATCTTCTTTCACTTCTTTCGACAATGTTTTATAGTTTTCAGAGTACAAGTTTTACACTTCTTAAATTTATTAGTAAGTATTTTATTCTTGTTGATGCTATGATAAATGAAGTTGCTTTCTTAATTTCATTTTCTGATTGCTCATTGTGAGTATGTAGTACTCAGTTAAAGTGTGTCAAATACTATTGATTTTTGTATATTGATCTTGTATCCTGCAACCCTGATGAACACAAGGGATTTGTATCTAGAATACATATGGAAGAATTACAATTCAGTAAATAAAAAGACGAAACAACCCAATTAGAGATGGATAATTCAAGAATGGATAAACAAACTGCAATACATGCAAACAAATGGAATATTATTCAGCAATTTGAAAAATAAGCTATCAAGCCATGAAAAAAACACAGAAGAACCCTAAATGTATACTGCTAGGTGAAAGAAGCCAGTCTGAAAAGGATACATACTACATGATCTATTACATGACATTCTGGGAGAGGCAAAATTAGAGAGAGTGAAAAGATCAGTAATGACCGGGGGTAGGAGAAAGAGGAGGAGGAGGAACGAATCAGTGGAGCACAGGAGATTTTTAGGGCAATGAAATTGTTCTACATAATACTGTAATGGTGGGTACATGACATTATACATTTGTCAAATCCAAAAATTTATGAAACACAGAGTGAACCCTAATGTAAACTATGAACTTCAGATATAAGTATCAGTTCATCAAATCTAATAAATGTAGCACAGTAACGCAAGATGTTAAGAGTCGGGAAGACTGGGCGGGGGCATTGTAGGGGAGCATATGTGAACTCTCTGCACTTTTCTATTTTTTCTAAAACTGCTAGGAAAAAAGAGTCTACTATGTTTTTAAAATAAAATGATCCCTAGCAGGAAAAAAAATGGCAAAAGATCTCAACAAATATTTCTCCAAAGAAGATATACACATGGCCAATAAGCATGCAATAAGACACTGGACATTACTGTCACCGTGAAAATACAAATCAAAACCACAGTGAGATACAATTTCACATACATTACAATGGCTACAATTAAAAAGTCACAGTGCTTGTGAAGATGTGGAGAAACTGAAATTTTAATACACCGCTGGAGGGAATAAAAAATAATGCAGCCATTTCAAAAAGTAGTTTGGCAGTTCCTCAATTAGACAGTTATCACGCATCCGAGCAATTCTGCTCCAGATATACACCAAAGAGAAATGTCTACACAAAAACTTGTACACCAATGTTTATAGCAGCATTATTCGTAATGGCCAAAAGGGGTTAGCAATGTCCTAAATGTCCATCAACTGACAAGTGGATAAACAAAATCCAGTGTATCCATGTAACAGACTATCATTCGGCCATAAAAAGTAAGTACTGATACATGTTATAGCATAGACAAATCTTGCAAGCATTATGCCAAGTGAAAGAATCCAGTAACAAAAGCCCGTATGATATATAATCCCATTTATATGAAACACACGCAATAGGGAATCCAGAGACAGAAAGATTGGTGATTTCCAGCGCTACAACTGCGGGGGTGCAGATGAGGGATGTGGAGAGATGGAATTGAAAGCTAAAGGGCACAGGAGGCAGGGTGTTGTGGTCCATGCCTGTACTCGTATAGCTACTAGGGAGGCTGAGGTGGGAGGATCATTTGAGCCCAGGAGTTCAAGGCTGCACTAAGTATGATTACACCACTGTACTCCAGCCTGGGCTGGTTGACTGAGCAAGACCCCATCTCTTAAAAAAATAAATAAATAAAAATAAAATAAGGTAAAGGGCATAGGATTTGATTTGGTTTTTTTTGAGGTGGAGAAACAATTCTAGAATTGATTGGAATGCTGGTTACCAACATCTGTGAATATGCTAAAACCACTGACCTGTATACTTCAAGTGGGTGAATTACATGGTATGTCAATTACCAATAAAGCTGTTTTAGAAATCCTAGTATTTGCTGTGCTGTTACTGTGGCAAAGTACCACATGGCAATAATTGCACAGCCAGCCCTACCATTACAGTATGACACAGGAAAACTTAAAACTGCACTTGCGATCAAGCTAGATGCAGAGCATATTAGCACAGCAAAAAATAAATGACTACACTAAAGACCCATCCTTCAAGGATTACAGAATTTAAATGCTGAAAAGGAGAGTACAACTCCTCTGTTTTTTTAAAAAAGGTAAGAACTCATAACTCAGTCACTTGTAAAATTCTGGATTGCTAAGAGATTTTCAAATAGAATTTAAAAGAAAACACACGACCAAGACAATAATGAAAATCTATAGATAAATTTACTATTACCTTTAGCTTCTGAACATACAGCCAAAAATCCATCTTCTGTCACTGCTTTAAACGAAGGTCTGACTCCTCATGTATCTCTGCCCAGGAACACTTTCTTATTGGCAGAATCCAGTAAAACAAATGCAAACACACCATCCAACACACAAATTGTTTGCTCAATTCCTCCTTTGTCATAAAGACGAAGGATTATCTCACCATCCACTTTGGTCTGGTATTCAAATTCAAAATAGTGTTGCACCTTAGGAAGCAATAGCAAAACCAAAACGTTATAGACTCCTTGTGCATTCACTAATAATTTTTTATTGCAAAGTTGCTTCAGTATTTCTGGAGCTCTAAAATTATTTCATGCACTTTGGTGATTTAGGAGAATCATAGCATTATCCAACTAGGGTTTGCTTCAACTCATAATTCTGCAAATTCTGTTCAACATAAGGCTGAACCCATGAAAGTTTTAGGTGCAGTCTGATAAACAGAATATAATGGGAATGTACCAGAATAGCAACCTGTAGAGGAATGGAAATGCATATTATATACATACTATGTATGTGATACATAAATATTTATGTATACGCAGATTGAGTATCCCTTCTCTGAAATGTTTGGAACCAGAAGTATTTTGGGTTTTGGAATTTTTTTTGGATTTTAGAATATTTGCATCTACGTGAGGTATCTTGGGGATGAGACCCAAGTCTAAACGTGAAGTTCACTTATGTTTCATATATCTTATACACATAGCCTAAAGGTAATTTTATATAATATTTCAAATAATTTTGTACAGGAAACAAAGTTTGTGTACACGGAACCATCAGAAGCAAAGGTGTCACTATCTCAGCTACCATGTGGAAAATCTGTGGCTGTCTGACATCACTGACCACCATTTCTGACTCCGAATTTATATGCTACTGATGAGCAATCATTTTCACACACTTATTCACACAGAAGTAAAAAATATGACATGCCATTAATACAGTAAAAAATAATAAGCAACACAGTAGCATCACCAGAATACCTGCATCAGCTGTTAAACAGCTGTACAAACAATGGCAGGCTTTCAGGCTCCACCTACAAGGTTGTGTTTTGATTAAACGGTTACTGTACATTGTATTTTTTTTCTTTTTTTAGGTGAGAAGAAATATCAGAAGAGCTGAGCAACTAAGGAGGTGAGTCCTCTGAGACTGAGGTGGCATTCTGCCAGATGGCTTTTTATAATGTTTCTCCAGAGTCATCTGCCTCATCATCAACGGCTTTTGTCTTGGAAGTCTCTCTTTAATTTTATAAACTGACGTGACCTCTTGTTCTGTTATGAATGCAGGTAGCTCTAGTCCTTCAATATCTTGAATATCTCTATCACACATTTTCACCATGTCATCCATACCTTTACACTACAGTCCAATTTCTCCAACAGCTTGACTTTCTGTGTTATAAGCGTTTCTACTTTTCCTTATCATTGCTGCTCGTAGGGATATCTACAGGCCTTATTGACATTTTCAGTATGTTAACACCACAGAGCAGAGAATAAGCAAAAATACACAACGGGTAATGCACTTATGTCCCATCTGTGGGGATCCTGCCATTGGCGTGTCCAGCTTGCACATGTGCCATTCTGTGACCCTTTGTGGGCGTGCTTGCATGGGGAAATCTGAGCACGTGTAGACAAGTTATACTGCAGCTGAAGGGGGCTGAGAGGGTCTTTTTTCACTACGGAACGTCAAATAAACTGTGTGTTGTACACCTGCATTTTGACTGGGACATCAAAATCCACACGTAGTGTCATGTCAGTGCTCAAAAAGTTTCAGATTTTGGAGCATTTCAAATTTCAGATTTTCAGATTAGGGATGCTCAACCTCTAAAGTTAAGGTAATAGGTTGCTTGGTTGCCATGACACTAAAAAATGTGTCTTCTGCAACTGTAAACTTTGGGTTTGAGAAGACAGTATTGGCTAAGAAGTTCCTCCAGTTCAGCTTCAAAGACCTAGCTATAAAAATGCAAAGCAAAGGGACAAACATTATTTGGCATCATTCCCTGAAAAATAAATGGCTCCATCACAATAACAGATACATGATCCAAAACAAAGCTGCTTGTCCTCAGGGGTGGATGACAACGCCCAGTGCTTCCACCACTGCAGTAGCATTAAAACTACCCCTCACTGAGAGATAAAATGATGGTGGCGCTTTATTAGTCTGCATGTCCCAAAGGAACAGCAAAGGGACTGTCTGCCACTGCATGCAGAGTAAGAAGGTTTGATTAGGATACTCCCCAATTCTGACACTCTCCACCATCACTGGCAAACTATGAGGATGAAAAGTCCTTGATGTATTACTGTTTGTATGTCATACTCACATTTTTGGCTGACATTAGAGAAAGAAGAGGTTTAAATCAGGTGGAAATCCTAGGTTAAGTTTAAAACATGTTTTCAAATCTCAAAAACTAAACCTATTATGTATGTGCACGACCCATAAATACGCTTCACACTCCATCCGGCTCACTCCATAATTTGTGAACCTTTTGTCTGTAAGCCCTCAATGAACGGTCCAAAAATGGGCTTTGCCTCCAGTGACTATAAAGCCACTACCTGGTCACCACTCTCTGCTCTATCAGGGATGATCTGTAACTAGCAGGTGGGGTCTGGAAACAGTCTTCTGCTGACTGTCCTGGGCTGAACTGCCTGAAGGGTAAGTGACCATAAAGCATGGAAAACTGTCATTAGCTGAAAAAAATAAACTCAGCACCTAGGACAATAGATACATGCCATATACTCCAAAATAGATGACGGGTCTCCAACTTGTTTTCTGCCTCTTAGGAGCTTATAAAACTAAGGTCACAATTAGTGGGGAAGGGAGGAGACAGATGATCTTCACTGCCTTAGTTATAAACTTGCTTTGGTCTATGGTGATCCTGTGTTAAACTGTGAAATAGAATCTATCATCCTGGCTCTCAGAGGCCCTTGACTTCATCCTTTTAGTGCTTTTCTTACTTATTTTCAAACCTTCACGTCTCTCACATTGAAAATCCCAACTCTTAATACCCTCTCTAACAAACTACCCCTTCCCACCAACCACCACCACCTACCTCACTCTATCATCTAAATCTGTTTCGAGATATAAAAATCTTAGTAATTTATATCTTAACACAAATTACATACTACCTCTTCAAAAAGCAAGTTAAGCCTGATTCTAATTGTGGGATGAAAAGCTTTTTCCCTATGAAGAAATTTTAAATATCATCAAGCATGTGGAGAGGTGCTAGCGAGGGCATGGAGCAAGGATCAAATTCCATAGGCGATTGTTTTCTCTATTTTTGTATAAAAATGTCCTTGCCCCAATTACAGCCTCCACCAAGTAAAAAAAAAAAAAAAAAAAATTTGGTGATATTAGCAAGCAAGTTTCCCAACTCTCCCTTGCCCACCTCTTTGGCCTAAACTCTGCAGGTGATTTATTTAAAAAAGAGAAGCGTCCTTTGGGTAACGGATGTATCACTTCCTACTCTCTTAAACCAAACTCCAAAGCTGCATCTTAGATAAAAGCCCTCGAATCTGGCCTCCTGAAGTCATGCTGTCATTTAACTTGGCTCCAGGCCCCCGATACTCCCCTGCAGGGAGAGGGCCTGCTCTTTGCCCCAGCCTGTATCCCATTCCTACTTTCTTTCACTCAGTCCCCCTCCACATCCAGCACACCTCTGGCTATATTTTATTAGTAGTAGTAAACTTTATTTTTTATCAAAAAGGGGTGGGGGTATTTTTGAGCTTATGTTGCAGAATACTTTATATAAGCCTACAATATACATTCTGTTCATTAGATTTATAGCTGCGCCAACTACATAAGCTGAGACGCTTGGTAGAAGCAACAGAACAAACTTCTCTAGTTTTGCAAATATAACATTTGACTAATACTAATTTAGAATGGAAATTAATTATTTTCAAAATATTTAACTTCTTGTAACTTTTTAGCAAAAAAAAAAAAAATACACTACTGTCCGAGTAAAACAGGGCACTTCCTATTTAAGGAGAAAGCCAAGCTGATAATGCCATCATACCGCCTAGCATTCTCATGTATATGACACTGATTTGACTTAGAAAGAAAAAAGTTTTAATACTCTCTTCTACTTCCCACTAGCAGGCAATTCCATTCTTGCCTTTCCTTTTCACCATTTCTTCTACGATCACCTAGAAAAATGATGTCTGGTGCATATTAGGCCCCTAATAAAGGAATAAAGAAATGTGTGAAAGGAATTTCTTGAATAACTATTTCAAAACTTTTTGAGCAAGAAGACTATTATTAAGAGTGTTCCCATGAGCAGGCAACAAACAATGACAAAAGCTATTATTCAGAGATAAAAATGTCCAAAACATAGATAGGATATAAATCTCTATCAGTGCATGACAGGTATCTATCAAAAAGTCTCAAAAAAATACCAAGAAACATCACAACCAAATGCATGAAACTTGAATGAAATCTGGATCAAAACAAACAAAAACCAGCCATAAAGATATTCTTGGTAGCACTTTGAGAGGCCAAGGTGAGCAGACTGCCTGAGCTCAGGAGTTCCAGACCACCCTGGGCCCCCGTCTTTACTAAAATACAAAAAATCAGCCAAGCTTGGTGACAGGTGGGCCTGTAGTCCCAGCTACTCAGGAGGCTGAAGAAGGAGAATCACTTGAACCTGGGAGGCAGAGGTTGCAGTGAGCCAAGATCACAACACTGCACTCCAGCCTGGGTGACAAAGTTGAGACTCTGCCTCAAAAAAAAAAAAAAAAAAAAAAATCCTCCAGACACTTAGGGAAATTTAAGTATAAACTGGATATTAGGTGGTATCGTGGTTTTTTTTGTTTTTTTTTGAGACAGAGTCTTGCTCTGTCTCCCAGGCTGGAGTGCAGTGGCTCAATCTTGGCTCACTGCAAGCTCTACCTCCCGGGTTCATGCCATTCTCCTGCCTCAGCCTCCGGAGCAGCTGGGACTACAGGTGCCCACCACCACACCTGGCTGATTTTTTTATTTTTGTATTTTTAGTGGAGACAGGGTTTCACCGTGTTAGCCAGCATGGTCTCAACCTCCTGACCTCGTGATCTGCCCACCTTGGCCTCCCAAAGTGCTGGGATTACAGGCGTAAGACACCGCGCCTGGCCAGGTGGTATTATGGATTCTTAGGTTTAATAATGGTATTGATGTTATGTAGAAAAATGTCCTTATTCTTAGGAGATAAATGCTTATATATTTAGAAGTGTCACAAAATCTGCACCACACTCTCAAATGATTTGGCAAAAAATGTGTGTGTGTGTGTGTGTGTGTGTGTGTGTAGAAAGAAAAATCAAGCAAATATGGCAAAACATTAATGATTATTCAATCTAGGTGCTCACTATTCTGTTCTTTTCTGTATGTTAGAATTTTTTTCAAAACAAAAAGCTGGGGAGAAGGAGAAAAAATTCTAAGAGTCAAAAAAACTGTGTAATCCCCATTTTTATCACTTTTTTTGTGACCAAGTCATTTCAATCACCATTTTATTGATCAGTTCCCTACCTACATACTTAGAGCAAATGAGATAACACAGAATGCTTTGCAAAATAAAAAGCATGATACAGAATATATAATATCATCGTAACCAACAAGCTCTGAAGTTTAATCGCATCCAGACATCTGGTTTCTTTTTCCTTACCTTCTTATGGTTGTAGATTTCACCATTGTAACAGAGCCACGTGTATGGATATTTCTTCACTTAAATTGGCTGCATTCCAAACAGCGGGTCAACTACCACCAACCGGTGAAATCCAAAGCAGCAGCTAGTGTATCCATTGACATTCTCAAAACAGAATGCATCTGGACCCCGTTTGCAATCTTCATAGCACACAGACACTAAACAGAAAGGCAGTCATTGCTGCCAAACAGGACCCAAATGCCACACATGGTGCAATGAAGCTGTAAGCTCCCTATGGAGAGAAAAGTAGACAAATCAAAAATATTCAATACCCAATCCAAGTCTGCATTAAATCTTGATTCCAAAAATGTGCATAAACCACTTCAAAGACTAAAATTTAAACCATCTTTTCTATAGCGATCTCCCATTAGGTTGACAGGCATACGGGAGTAGAGAATGATTTAATTTACCTACAACTATTCAGAAAAGATAGTGACCTCTACATTCAACCAGCTACAGCAGCTTAGCACCCAGCCAAAGCCTGCATCTCTCCCACCTTAAGATTTAGTGGTTGGCTAGAGTTAGCAGCATCCAGGCCACATCTATCTCTACATTCTAAGTTTGCTTCCAAGATAGAGAGACAAATGCAGGCTGGCTCCAACCTAGCCAGAGATCCCAGCCCCACTCTCTGCATCCCAAAATCGCTCAAAGATCCGAGAGACTTTCCGGATTTCTACAGTCTCCTCTGCGGTTCCCTTGACAGTTAAACGCCCTCTCTTTACCTCAACTAGCTGCAGGTAGAATATAATGGGTACAAAAGAAAATCACTGTAAGTGTAATATGAAGACACACAGCTCTTTTAAGCATTTCATTATATTAAATCTAGCTTACTTCTAAGTGATTTATTCAGATGTGACTGAAGAAAGTCTAAAGGGAAAAAAAGCAATTTAATTTGATAAATTATCAATTATAGCCAAATTATTTGGCTATAACAAATTAAACATTTTAAGTTGACAGAAGACACAAAATGTTTAAACATTTATATTATACAATGTTTATATAAATTAAACATTATAGCCAAATTATTTGGCAATAACAAAATTAAACATTTTAAGTTGACAGAAGATACAAACATTCTAAGTTGACAGAACATATAAAATGTTCACTATCAAAATGTCACAATGTCGCAACTGATAAAAGTGTTCTCAAATATTTCTGTCTCAAACTTGCATTGTTCAGTAAGCAAGCAAAATAGGTGGGACATATACAGCAACAACATCCCTCAAAAAACAACTTGGCTCATTCCTATAAGCCAGGCAGCAAATACATCATCCTTACATATGTTAATTACCTTCCAATTTCAAATTCTCAACTGTGAAATAAAGGGCTATTTTATTTGGCTGCTGCCAACTCAAAATGACTGTTTTTATTAAAACAACTCTAACTTGAAAAATATTTGGTGCTTTCTAAAAAACTGCAAATTGCAGCAAATGGCCAGATAATTTGGGATAAACACCCTACAGAAAAAATATATATTCAAGTTGCATAAGTCACTTTGTGCAATCCTTTGAGGATATTTCATTTATATCTAAATGAACCACAGGTTTAGCTGGCTTTTCCGGAAAACCAGAAGCAAATAATGTATGATTATAATGAAAATCATCTCAAGCAATTTGGAAATGAAATACCACATGTCCTATGCTGTCCCTTCCATACACTTGACAAAACAGCCTATAACAAATTTACTTTGAGATTTAGCAGGAAAATTCCATGAGATTTAAATGAAATGACTACTAATAAGCCATCTGCCTTTGACTCTATACCAATTAAAAACGGGTTAGGAAAGTGCTTTGAAAATCAAGTGTGTTCATCAGGGAATCATTTACCTAAGTCGTCTTAACACTGCTTAGTGAATATTAAGCCTGATATAGTAAATACACGCTAACCACTAAACTGAAGGGGAAAGAGGGAGAACAAAGAGGCATGTAAAGTACACTTGCTTTTTCTAGTAGGAAAAAGCCAATTAGAACTATCATCTAGGGCCGGGCGCGGTGGCTCACGCCTGTAATCCCAGCACTTTGGGAGGCCGAGGCGGGCGGATCACGAGGTCAGGAGATCGAGACCATCCTGGCTAACACGGTGAAACCCCCGTCTCTACTAAAAATACAAAAAATTAGCCGGGCGTGGTAGCGGGTGCCTGTAGTCCCAGCTACTCGGGAGGCTGAGGCAGGAGAATGGCGTGAACCCGGGAGGCGGAGCTTGCAGTGAGCCGAGATCGCGCCACTGCACTCCAGCCTGGGCGACAGAGCGAGACTCCGTCTCAAAAAAAAAAAAAAAAAAAAAAAAAAAAAAAAAAAAAAAAAAAAAAAAAAAAAGAACTATCATCTATTATTTTTATTAGAATCAGTCTTGTAAGAGGGCAAACTTCCTACTGCCCCTACCTATTCTATTTTTCTTATTTCTTCCTAAACTAGAGCTGTGCTGTCCAATAAATATGTGAGCCGCATATGTAATTTTAAATGTACTAGTAAGCCCCATTAAAAGAAAAAAGGTGAAATTAATTTTAAGTATACTTAATATGTCCCAAATAGTAATCATAGTAATAATAATTTTAACAAGTAATCAATATAAAAAATCATCAAGCAGGTATTTTTACACTGTTCTTCCTACTCCAACGACAAAATCCAGTGTATTTAACACAACACATCTCAGTTAGGACTAGCCAGCATTTCAAGTGCTCAACACTTACAGGTGGCTAGCGCCTACTGAACTGGACACTGCAGTTTCAGTGCATTGAATTTCTATCCCACTTAGCGCTACTTAAAACTTCACCCTCTCACCTGACAATTATGCTAAGATCTCAGTAAGTAACCAACTACAGGCAGTTTCAAGCCCCACTTTACCTCTGATTACTCTTACAGCAATGCAATGAATCATGATTTAAAATTTAAAAAAAAAAAAATTGCTGTTAAATTATTAGTCAAGCGCCCAGGGCAATGGACAGCAAAGAAATAATGTAGGCCACGGGCCGAGATGACAAAACGGTCCTTTTACTTAAAGCTGTAACAACAATCTGAAGCCAGCCCTGTAAAACAGACATCCATTGAAAAAGGCATGCTAGTTCTTTTGCCTTTTTGTGTACTTGGCCTCCCGTGTCCCTAAACAGACCTCTTCTCGGCAGGCTTTGCTCAGCAAGTCACTTGTTGAGTCTTGCAGTCTACAGAGGGGGTGGGGAATGGCAGGGGCTGGCATAGGAGTGAGAGGGGAGGAGGCAAGGTGAGGGGGGCCAGGTGAGGAGGGGAGCAGTTGAAGGGGAGTTCAAGACCAGCCTGGGCAACATGGTGAGACGCCCCCTGCTCCCCGCCGCCACCATCTTTGGTCTCACTAACATACAAACATGCACAAATTACATTTAAAAATTAAAAAATTGTCTAAAAAGTGAAATATTTACATGGATTATGTTTATATTCATTTTGTAGAACTATCGATCCCATGGAACTGGGAACTCTTTACTCTTCCAACACAACATTTATTTAGCCACAAATAAAAGAAGACCAGTGATATAGCCTGTACACAAAAAATAAGAAAACACTGGTTAGGCTGGGGCAGGGGTGGGGGGAAGAGATCTACAAAATTAAAATTTTATTGGGAAGGATCACTAATTAGAATCAGAACAATTACTGCTTTAAAGTAGTTAAGAACAGAGCACAAGGAACCCAGAGAAGAAGCAGATATGATTCAGAGCAGAGCTCACAGAGCAGATGGTATCTGAGCTGAGGCTGATAGAATAACATTAATAAGGGCATTCATGGCCATTTATCATCACTTAACTGCAATGCATTTTGTATAAGTTATTTCTACTCTTCATATCAACCATGGAAAATAATAATTATTCTTCTCTTTTCAAGTTAAGGAAGTGGTAAGTGGTCTAAGAAGATAAATTAACATACCAACACCAAACAGCCCAAGTTCAGTGACTCAAGAGTGCCCGTGTCTCCCCAAGAGGTTGCTTAGCAGGCAGACGAGGTAGAGAGAGCCCTTCCAAGAAGTGACAGTGAGATGTAAAAGGTCTCAGTGTGCCTCTGAGAACAACAGAAAGCAGTACGTAGACCAAGAGGGAAAAGCCACAGAAGAGGCAGGGATTTCCTCTTAAGAGAGCAAGAATAAACAGAGCAGGGCTGAAGGAAGCCATGGAAAACGGGCAGAATACCATGCATTTAGCAAGAAAAAAACAACTTTTACTTTAGAAAAGGGGAAAGAATGGTGGTGGTCTAGGTAAGCCTAGAAGAAGAGGAAAGGGCAGTGGAGAAAAAATAAAAATCTATTAGTCAGGGTTCTCCAGAGGGACAGAACCACCAGGATACACGTATATGTATAAGGGAGTTTACGAGAGAGAATTGGCTCACACAGTTACAAGGCAAAGTCCCACAACAGGCTGTCTGCCAGGTAGGGAAAGAGAGAAGCTAGTAGTGGCTCAGTCCAAGTCCAAAAGCCTCAAAACCAGGAAAGCCCACAGTGCAGTCTTCAGTCTGAGGCCGAGGGCCTGAGAGCCTCGGGGAAGCCGCTGGTGCAAGTCCCACAGTTCAAAGGCGTAAGAACCTGGAGTCTGATGTCCAAGGGCAGGAGGAAGGGAAGCAAGCGTCCTGCACGGGAAGAAGAAAAAAAGAGAGCCAGAAGCCTCAGCCAGCAAGGTTATCCCACCTTCCTCCGCCTGCTTTGTTCTATACAGTGCAGCGTGTGTACACCACTTCTGTGATATTGTTCCTAATATCCATGGGAAGAAAGGGTGATATTACTCCCAACAGCGCATGGGAGTGTACACCCCGTGATATTCCTAGTATGCAGGGGCGGGAAAACGATGACATTACTCCCAAAATCGCAGTGTGTGTACTCCCTGCCTTGTGATATTGTTCCTAATATTTAGGGGCTAGTGGATGATATTACTCCCAATATCGCAGGGGGTGTACACCCCCACCCCGTGGTATTCTTCCTAATATCTGGGGTGGGGGAGAGGATATTACTGTCAATATCGCAGGGGGTGTACACCCCTTCTGTGATATTGTTCCTAATATCCAGGTGGGGAGAGGATCATATCACTTTCAATACCGCCAAGTGTGTACATCCCCCTTGTGATACTGTTCCTAGCATTTAGGGTACAGTGGATGATATTACTGTCAATATCACAGGGGGTGTGCACCCCCCCGTGGTATTGTTCCTAATGTCCAGCAAAGGAGAAAACACTACTGCTCCCAATGTGGTGGGGGGTGTACACTTCCCATGCAATATTGTTCCTAATATCCATGGGGGGAAAAGATATTGGGAACAATATTACAAACAATATCACAGGGGGGTGTACACACCCTGTGATATGAGGTGTAATATCATCCTCTCTCCCCTGGATATTACAAACTATATCACAGAGGGGTTTAAACCCCCTGCGATGTGGAAAGTAGTATCATCCTCTCCCCCACTGGATATTACAAACAATATCACAGACGGTGTACACGTGAGGTGTTTATGATATTGGGAGTAATATCATCTCCCCCAGTGGATATTATGAACAGTATCACAGAGGGGTGTATACACACACTGACTTATAGGGAGTAATATACTCCTCTCCCACCCTGGATATTACAAACATCATCACAGAGGGTGTACACACAGGGTGTTTACGATATTGGAAGTAGTATTATCTCCCCTATGGGTATTACGAATAATATCGCAGGGGGATGTACGTCCCCTGTAATATAGGAAGTAATATCATCCTTTCCCAGCCTGGATATTACAAACAATATGGCAGGGGGCAGTACACCCCGGCGATATGGGTAGTAACATCATCTCCTCCCGCCGTGGATATTACGAACAATATCCTAGGGGGTTGTACACCCCCTGCAATATGGGTAGTAACATCATCCTCTCCCCCACTAGATATTATAAACAATATCTCAAGAAGGGTGTATACTTCCTGTGATAAAAGGAGTAATATCATTCTCTCCCCCCCCCCCAGAGATGATATGAACAGTATCTCAGGGAATTGTTCTCCCATGCTATATGGGGAGTAACATCTTCATCTTTCCCCTGGATATTAGGAAAAATAATGCAGGGGAATGTAAATCCCCTGTGATATGGGGAGTAAAATCATTCTCTCTGGCCGGGTGCAGTGGCTCACACCTGTAATCCCAGCACTTTGGGAGGACGAGGCAGGCGGATCACGAGGTCAGGAGATCGAGACCATCCTGGCTAACACGGTGAAACCCCGTCTCTACTAAAAACACAAAAAATTAGCCAGGTGCGGTGGTGGGCACCTGTAGTCCCAGCTACTCAGGAGGCTGAGGCAGGAGAATGGCATGAACCCGGGAGGCGAAGCTTGCAATGAGCCAAGATCACACCACTGCACTCCAGCCCGTGCGACAGAGCAAGGCTCTGTCTCAAAAAAAAAAAACAAAACCAAAACAAATCATTCTCTCCCTCCCTGGATATTATGGACAATATCACAGAGGGGTGTACAACTAGTTTCTAGAATATATTTGAGGAGGGTGATGGGCGGTGTGTGCGTGCTCATGGCCTTAATTCAATTAAGCACTCTGCTCTCAATTTATTGCTAAATCCTCCTTGAGCCCTTAGATTTCTTAAAGGTTGTCCTGAGATTTTTCTGGGTGTAGAAAACGTACCCATTTCTTGCCACCTCATGGGCTACACCTTGACCTAACGTTTTTATGTAGATACTTGTGCTTACCCTGCGGCCTTTCCAGAGTTTGCTGAAGATGGAGGTATATAGGCTGGGCAAGAGGTGGTGAGGTAAATTGGGGTTTATCGATTATAGAACAGGCTCCTTTAGAGGGATATAAAGCACCGCCAAGTCCTTTGAGTTTTAAGCTGTTGCTTGTAGTGTTCTGGCAAACAGTTTTGTTGATCTAACTATTCGAGTTTAGGGTTAAGCATAACGAGGTATCTACTCCCAGTTTGGGTCTTAGCTATTTTGTCTTCAGAATATTAAAGGCACCTTCGCAGTTATTTCAGCTTGGGTTTTTTACAACTTTTTTACAACTAATTTACAAACTTTCAGGTTTCTAAATATATAAATGAACCGTAATATAAGCCTCAGCCAACACAATGCCAGTTAGGCCTCCTACTGTAAAAAGGAAAATAAATCCCCAGGCTCAGAGCATTGCGGGGGATCATTTGATATTCCCGCCATGAAGTGTAGCTAGCTAGTCAGCTAAAAACTTTGACGCCAGTAGGAATAGCAATAATTATAGTAGCAGAGGTGAAGCAAGCTCATGTATCCACATCTATCCCTACTGTAAATATACAGTGGGCCCATACGATAAACCGTAAGAACCCAATTGATCCTATAGCTCACACTAGGCCCATATACCCGAATGGTTCTTTTTTTTCCAGAATAATATGTTACAATGTGGGAAATTATCCCAAAGCCCAGTCGGATGAGGATGTAGACTTCAGGGTAACCAAATAATCTGAATAAATGCTGATATAAGATAGGATCACCTCCGCCAGCCAGGTAGAAAAAAGTAGTACTAAGATTGCGGTCATTTAACAACATAGTAATGCCGGCGGCTAGGACTGGGAGACAAAGGAATAAAAGAACTGCTGTAATTAGGACCAATCAGATGAAGAGGGGTGTGTGATATTGGGACATGGCTGGGGGTTTTATATTAACAATTGTGGTAATAAAGTTAATAGCCCCTAAAATAGAAGAAACATCTGCCAAGTGGAGTGAAAAGATAGTGAAATCTACAGAGGCGCCTGCATGTGTTAGGTTTCCTGCTAAGGGAAGAGAGACTGTTGAGCCGGTTCCAGTGCCGGCCCCTACTATAGTGGATGCAAGTAATAACAGGAAGGAGGGTGGGAGGAGTCAGAAGCTCATATTATTTATGTGGAGAAGTGCTATATCGGGGGTGCCAATTATCAGAGGGACTAATCAATTGCCAAGACCTCCAATTATAGTATTACTATAAAGAAAATTATGACAAATGCATAAGCTGTAACAATGACATTATAAATTTGATCATCTAGTAGAGTACCTGGGTGACCCAGTTCAGCTCGAATAAGGCTTAAAGCTGTATCGACTATCCCTGCTCATGCACCAAATAATAAATACAATGTCCCGATATCTTTATGGTTGGTTGAGAATAGTCAACTGTCGGCGAACATAAATGAAGTGAGAAAAAAGGGTAAAATGACTTGAGTAGGGCTTACATCTACTAGATGTACATCTAAAAACAGAGTCTGTACATCTGAAAACAGAGGTCAAGACCTCTTTTTACCAGTCCCGAGATGATTTTCATGTTGAATTGTAAATTCAAAGAAGCAGCTTCAATCCTGCTTCTCTCACCTTTTTTTCCCCAGCGGCTGGAGAAGTAGATTAAAACCAGTTGACTAGGGAGTTTAGCTGTTAAGTTTTCGTGGGTTTAAGTCTCATCAATTTAGTAAGGACTTAGCTTACTTACAGTGATTGATTTGTATTGAACTGACCAAGGGTGATCTGTATCTGAGAAAGTACACTTCAGGGCCACCACACAACAACTGTTCAAAAAGGCCTCCGATATGGGATAGTCCTATGTATTATCTTGGAAATATTTTTTCTTCGCTGGATTCTTTTGAGCATTCTACCATTCTAGCCTAGCCCCTACTCCAGAATTAGGAGGACACAGACCCCCAACAGGTATTTCTCCCCTCGACCCCCTGGAAGTACCTCTCCTGAATACATCTGTATTACTTGCATCAGGAGTTTCAATTACTTGAGCCCATCACAGCCTAACAAAAAATAATCAAAAACATATAATCCAAGCACTACCTATTACAATTATATTAGGTATTTACTTCACCCTCCTACAAGTCTCAGAATACTTCAAAGCTGCCTTTGCTATTTCTGATGGTATTTGGTATTTATGGCTCAACATTTTTTATAGCTACAGGCTTTCACAGACTTCATGTCATTATTGGATCAATATTCCTCACTGTCTGCCTTCTCCGCCAATTAAAATACCACTTTACATCTAGTCATCACTTTGCCTTTGAAGGTGCTGCCTGATATTGACACTTCATAGATGTAGTATGACTATTCTTGTATGTTTCTATTTATTGATGAGGATCTTACTCTTTTAGTATAAATAGTACCATGATTTCCAAAGTTTCGATAGCATCCGAAAAACAGTAATTCACCTAACATTAACCCTAGTAATCAACACTCTATTAGCCCTGTTACTAACAATTATTACATTTTGGCTCCCACAACTTAATATATATATATAGAAAAAAAAAATATATATATATATATATATATATAATAAATATATATAGAAAAATCTAGCCCTTACGGATGCGGATTTGATCCTATCCTCTGCCCACATTCCCTTCTCCATAAAATTCTTTCTAGTAGCCATCACATTTCTTCTATTTGACTTAGAACTCGCCCTACTACTACCCTTACTGTGAGCCCTTCAAACAATCTGATACTAATAATCCCTGCGATATGTGTAGTGACATCATACTTCCCCCCCTGGGTATTACGGCCAATATCAGAGTGGAGTGTGCATCCCCTGCAATATGGGGAATGACATTATCCTCTCCCCACTGGATGTTACAGACAATATCACAAGGGGTTTACCTTCCCTGCGATAAGGGGGAATAATATCCTCCTGCCCCCGCTTGGATGTTAGATATATTTACAGGGGGGTGTCCACCCCCTGCAATATGGGGAGTAGTAATATCCTCTCCCGCCCTGGATGTTATGGACAATATATAGGGGGGTGTACAATCCCTTTGACATGGGGAGTAATATCATCCTCTTCCCCTTAAATTTTACGAACAGTATCACAGGAGGATGTACACCCCCTGCGATATCTGTAGTAGTATCATCCCCTTCTTCCCTAAATGTTACAGAGACTACCACAGGGGTGTGTACACCTCCTGAAACATGGGAATAATATTTTCTTCCCCTCTGGATGTTATGGACAACATTACAGCGGTGTGTACACCCCCTATGATATGCGGAGTAATATCCTCTCCCCCCGGATGTAAGGGACAATACCACAAATGGGTTTACATCCCCTGTGATATGGGGAGTAATATCATCCTCTTTCCTACTGGATATTACAAACAATATCATACGGGGATGTACAACCCCTGCGATATTAGAAATATCTTCTAATCCACTGAAAATTATAAACAATATCACGAGTGTACACTCCCTGCGATATTGGGAGTAATATTATCCTCTCAGCCCCTGAATATTACGAACTATATTGCAGAGGTGTTTACACCTCCTGCCATATTGGGAGTAATATCATCCTCTAATCCCCTAAAAATTACAAACAGTATCACAGGGGAGTGTATACTCCCTACGATATTGGGAGTAATATCATCCTGTCCTCTTCTAAATATTATGAATAATATTACAGGGGATTTAACACGTCTTGCGATATGTGGAGTAATATCCTCTCCTCCCCTAAGTATTGTGAACAATATAACAGGAAATTGTACACAACCTGCGGTACTGTTTGTGGTATCCAGTGGGAAAGATGATGCTATTACTCCCCATATCGCAGGGGGTGTACACCCCCACTGTGATATATTCAATAACATCCAGAAGTAATATTACTGACAAAATCGCAGGGGGTGTAAACCCCACCTGTGATATTGTTCCTAATATCCCGGGGAAGAGGATGATATTATTCCCAATATTGCAGGGGGTGTACACCCACCCTATGATATTGTTCTTAATATCCAGGAGGGAAGAGGATGGTATTACTCACAATATCAAAGAGGTTGTACAGCCCCCCCGTCACAGTTTCTAATATCCAGGGGGTGTATCCAGCCCCCTCTTGTGATATTGTTCATAATATGTAGGGGGAAGGACCATGATATTACTGTCCATATCGCAGCAGGTGTACAACCCTTCCCCGGGATATCATTCCTAATATCCATGGGAAGAAAGAATATTACAATATCGCAGAAGTTGTACACCCCCTCTGTGACATTGTTCCTAATATCAAAGACGCAAGTGTATGATGTTACTCCCAAAATCACAGGGAGTGTACACACCCCGTGATATTTTTCCTAATATCTAGAGTGAGAGAGAGCATTACTTCCAATATCGTAAGGAGTGTACACTCCCCCCGTGATACCAGGTGGGGAAATGTTGATATTACTCCAAATATCACAGTGGGTGTACACACGTTTTGCCATATTGTTCCTAATATCAAGTGGGGGAGAGGATTATATTACTTCCAATATATTACTCCCCCCCATTATACTATTCTTAATATCCAGATTTGGAGAGGATGATATTACTCCCAAAATCTCAGGAGGTGTAGACCCCTTCTGTGATATTGTTTCTTATACCCAGGGGAAGACTAGATGATATTACTCCCAACAGCGCAGGGTGTTACACGCCACCCCCCATGATATTGTTTCTAATATCAAGTTGGGGAGAGGGTGATATTACTCCCAATAGCGCAAAGGGTGCACACCAGCCCTGTGATATTACTCCTAGTATCCAGAGGGGGAGAGAATGGTATTATTTTTAACATCGCAGAGGGTGTACACCCCCCTTGCGATATTGCTCCTGATATCCAAGGGGCAGAGGATGAAATTACTCCCAATATCACAGTGGGTGTACGTCCCCCCGTGGTATTGTTCCTAATATCCAGGGGGTATAGGATGGTAGTAGTGTAAATATCACAGAGGGTGTACACCCCTTCTGATATTGTTCCTAATATCCATGGGGGGAGTGGATGATATTACTTCCAATATCACTGTGCGTGTACACCACCCTTGTGATATTGTTCCTAACATCCTGGGAGGAGACGACGATATTACTGGCAATATCGCAGGGGGTGTGCATTCCCGTGATATTGTTCCTAATGTCCAGCAAGGGAGAAAGTATTACTCCCAATATAGCAGGGGGTGTACACTTCCCATGCGATATTGTTCCTAATATCCATAGGGGAAAAGGATGATATTACTCTAAATGTTGCAGGAGATGTAAACCGCCCCTGTGATATTGTTCTCAATATCCATGGGGGGAGAGAATGGTATTACTCCCAATATCACAGGTGGTGTACACACCTCCTGTTATATTAATCCTAACATCCAGGTTGGGAGAGAATAATATTACCGACAAAATCGCAGGGGGTGTACACCCCGCCTGTGATATTGTTCCTAATATCCCGGGGAAGAGTGGACAATATTACTCCCAATATCGCAGGATGTGTACACCCCCTTTGTGACAGTGTTCCTAATAACCATAGGAGGAGAGGGTGATATCACTCCCAATAGTGCAGAAAAGGTACAGCCCCCCACTGTGATATCATTCCCAATGTCCAGAGGGAAGAGGATTATATTACTCCCAATATCACAGAGGGTGTACACCCACCCTGTGATATTGTTCCTAATATCCATGTGGAAAGGGTATAAAGTTACTCCCAATATCTCAGGGGGTGTACAACCCCCTTGTGATATTGTTCCTAATATTCGAGGGAGAGACAATGATATAGCTGTCCATATTGTAGGTGGTGTACAACCCCCTGGGAATTTGTTCCTAATATTCAGTGGGGAAGATGATATTAATTAAAATGTCACGGGGGGCATACACCCCCTTTGTGGTATTATTCCTAATATCCAGGGAAAGAAAGAATATTATTCCCAATATCGCAGGGGATGTACACCCCTCTTTGATACTGTTTCTGATATCCCTGGGGGAGTCTATAATATTACTGGCAAATCACAGGGAGTGTACATCCCCCGTTATATTGTTCCTTATGTCCAGCAAGGGAGAAAATGATATTAATCCCAATATGGAATGGGGTGTACACACCCATGAGATATTGTTCCTAATATCCAGGGAGGGAAAGGATATTATTCCCAATGTTGCAGTGGTGTATAACCCCCCCGTGATATTGTTCCTAATATCTAGGTGGGGAGAGTACAATATTACTCCCAATATAGCAGGAGTTGTATACTGCCCTTGTGATATTGTTCTCAATATCCATGGGGAAAGAAAATGATAGCACTCCCAAATATCACAGGAGGTGTACAACCCCGTGATATTGTTTCTAATATCCAGGTGGGGGGAGGATATTACTCCCAATATTGCACGTGTTGCACAGACCCCCTTTGATATTGTTTCTACTATGCAGGGGGTGGGGGGAGAAGATGATATTGGGAGTAATATCACCCTCTCTCCCCGGGTATTAAAAGCAATATTCAGGGTGGTTGACACCTCCTGCAATATTGAGTGTAATATTATCCTCTCCCAACCTGGATATTAGGAACAATATCACAGGGGCGTGTACACTCCCTTCCTTTCACCATATACAAAAATCAACTCAAGACGGATGAAGGACTTACATAAGACCCTAAACTATAAAAACCCTAGAAGAAAACTTAGGAAATATCATTCTGGACATAGACGCTGGCAAAGATTTCATGATGAAGATTCCAAAAGCAATTGCAACAAGAAGAATTGACGAGTGGGACCTAATGAAACTAAAGAGCTTCAGCACAGCAAAAAGAAATTATCAACAGAGAACACCCTACAGAACAGGAGAAAATATTTTCAAATTACACATCTGAAAAAGGTCTAATACTCAGCATGTATAAAGAATCAATAAGCAAAAAACAAACCCACTACAAATAGGCAAAAAACATGAACCCCCACATTCACCATCCTCAAGTCCGTGTGCAACTTCTTCCTGGATGCTGGACAAGGACTTGGGTACCAAGGGCACTGAATGGGTTAACACTTAAGCTGTCTGTGGATTCTTTTTTCAAAAGATGACGTACATGTGGCAAACAAGCATATGAAAAAATACTCAACATCACTAATCATCAGAAAATCAGAACCATGAGATACTATATCACTCCAGTCAGAATGGCTATTATTAAAAAGTCAAAACATAACAGACGGTGGTGAGCTTGCGGAAAAAAGGGAATGCTTATACACTGCTGGTGGTGATACAGACAGGAGGCAGGGAAATACTGGATAGAAGAGGGCGGTTCCCTGGCAAAGCCCTGCCCACAAGCCTGGAAACCCATGGCCCTAAATGGGAACAGGCATTCCTGCTTTTGCACCCAAAAGTTGTCTTTCAGCTTACCATGCCCCTCTACCTTGTACCCATATAAACCCCAGACCCCAGGCTCCAGAAGCAGACAAGCCGATGAGGAGATGAACAGAAGAGCAGAACTGCAGAATGATGTGGCAGAAAGAAGAGAAGGAGCATCTGAATGCCAAGAGGAGTTTGGCTGGCAGTGGTTGGAGAGATCAACCTCTGGATGGCAAAGCTCCTGGGGAAGATCATCTTCCCATTCCATCCCCTTTCCAGCTCCCCATCCATCCCATTGAGGGCCACCTCCACCACTCAATAAAACCCCCACACATTCACCATTCTCAAGTCTGTGTGCAACTTAATTCTTTCTGGATGCTGGACAAGGACCTGGGTACCAAGAGGGCACTGAACGGGTTAACACTTAAGCTGTCTGTGGATGACAAAGCTAAAAGAGTGCACTGTAACACATGCCCACTTGGGCTGTGGGAGTCGCAGGCACCCACCCCTAGACGCTACCATGGCCACTTGCCCTGGCTTTTGCACCTGCCTGTCTGCATGCTCTCCTGCCCAGTAGGGGTTTGACAGCGCACACGGTGGCCAGACAAGCCACACCCCTGTTGCACATCCTGCCAAGGGGAGTCAGGGAACTCTCCAGTTTCATCAGGAATGCAATTAGTTCAGCCACTGTGGAAAGCAGTTTGGAGATTTCTGAAATAACTTAAAACAGAACTACCTTTCAACCCAGCAATCCCATTACTGGGTATATACCCAAAGGAATATAAATCATTCTGTCATAGACATATGCACACATATTTTCATTATAACACTATTCACAACAGCAAAGACATGTAATCAACTTAGATGCCTGTTAACAGAAGACTAGATTAAAAAAAAAATACACCATGGAATACTACACACGTATAAAATAGGATGACATAATGCCTTTTGCAGCAACATGAATCGAGCTGGAGACCATTATTCTAAGTGAATTAATGCAGGAACAGAAAACCAAACACACACTGCATGTTCTCACTTATAAGTGGGGGCTAAACATTGAGTCCACATATGTGGACACAAAGAAGGGAACAATAGACACAAGGTCTACTGTGGGTGGAGGGTGGGGGGAGAGTGAGGATCAAAAAACTCCCTATTAGATACTACGCTCACTACCTGGATGACTACGTAATCTTTACACCAAACCCCACTGACACACATTTTACCCACATAATAAACCTGCACATGTACCCGCTGAACCTAAAATAAATGTTGGAAGGAAATAAAGTTACAACCAACTCTTGTACTGTTGTGAGGAAACAATCATATGTGTTGACAAAAAATCAACTACTAATAGATTTATAATAGTATATATGTAGCAGGAAAATATCAGATATAACCTATGTACCCAAAAGTATGACTTAAAAACAGCATGACAGTCTTTATGAAGGGATATTGTGCAACTACCAGAAGCATATTTTCAGAGATTATTTATTAACATACGATAATGACTACATTGAGTGGTTTTTAGAAGCATGAATTGAAACTATGTACAAGCATGACTTTATTGAACTTACAAATAACATTACACACACATTTACATAATTATAAGTATGCTTATACGTTAATAATTTTTACTTATTTATATTCATATGTAAGGCCAATAGGAACTAATCTCTATATCTGAGTGATTATTTCATAGATAATTTATGTTTGTTCTGTAAAAATATAAACACTGTTATGGCTCTTCCAAGTATCCTGAAAGGATACAGCTTATAATTAAACAACAACAATTTTAGAAATAATTATTTTAGATGAGGCTATGACGAATCTAGTTTCATTGCACACTTTAACTTTGGAACATTTCATGAAGCGTCCCTTGATCACGACTCTCATATTCAGGAGTTTTTTGAGATCAAAATGGGACAATCAGTATGAATCCATTTCTTAGACATGCAAATGGATAACTTCAAATAACAGTAGTGATTTAATCAGCGTGCACAGTTGCTCTGGGACAAAACTTGGAAATGAGCATATTTTTAGATTCTTAATGTTTTACACACTTTAGCAGTCCACAGCACCATTACATACTTATTTTTCTACTAAAATACCTTGGTAGAAATTCACAGTAGAGATCAGGCTTGTCCTTCATACATTAACTAATCAAGTAGGAAAATGCAAATGAGAACACAGTGCCAAACATAGGCACCACATGGAAACAAGTATGAGGCTGTCAGGAAGCCATTTTTGTAGCTTTGTAGCCCAATTATATTTTTCCTAATGTATTGCACACAAAACTTGGGGGAAAAAAAAGAGGCAGAGAGAAAACAGGTTCTATCAGCCCTGTCTCACAATCCACAAGTTCATCCTATCAGAGGAGGAACTATGTAAAACAAATTTTATTGATTGAATGTCCTATTTAATCGCAAAACTGTATGAGAACACGCTTGTGACTTATTTAGCAGCTTGTTTGCTTTCCACTGGCTTCACGAGTGTCCTCTGGAAAAAGAAAGTACATTTGGAACCCTGTACACCTTTTCTTTCTCCAGTACCCTCTTCTCACTTCCATCACTAAGGTGATAGAAGCAACTAGGGGCAATGCATTTGTAGCACACCTGAGTCAGAGGTATCCGCCAGGGGAAGGATCAGACCTGATTGAAAGCACGTCGTTGGAATTCGGAGGCTTCCAGTAGCTGTAACGTAAACAATGATGTTTACTGTTCCCTGCCCTCCACTTTGATCACTCTGGGAAACGTTTTTTTAAAAAATCAATTGTATTGAAACATAATTTACATAAAATAAATACTCCTATTTTAAAGTGCACAGTTTGCTGAATTTTGCCAGATGTAACCTCCCAGGTGTATAAAATTGATTAAACTGATCTTTCAAATAATAAATTAACCTTGCAATCTTGTTAGAAATTTCATTTGCTCACAGTTTATTATCCATTCTATGTACTGCTATATTCAATTGGTTATTATGTTTTAAGAACTTTTGAGTCTATGTTTATGAGGAATAAATATCAAAGTTGTATAATGCCTTTGTCTCGATTTAGAATCAGGGCAATACTGGGTTCATAAAATAAGGCAGTAAGGGTCCCTTTAATTTTTTTTTTTTTTTTTTTTTTTTTTTGAGACAGAGATTCACTCTTGTTGCCCAGGCTGGAGTGCGATGGTGCAATCTCGGCTCTCTGCAACCTCTGCCTCCCAGGTTCAAGCTATTCTCCTGCCTCTGCCTCACGAGTAGCTGGGATTACAGGCATGTGCCACCATGTCCGGCTAATTTTGTACTTTTAGTAGAGATGGGGGTTTCTCCACGCTGGTCAGGCTAGTCTCAAACTCCTGACCCCATGTGATCTGCCCGCCTCGGCCTCCTAAAGTGCTGGGATTACAGGTGTGAACCACTGTGCCCGGCCCTTAAATTCTATTTCTTAAAAAGAGTCCGTTCAAGATTGGCATTATAGATACTCCTCAACTTACAATGGGCTTGTCTTAATGAACTCATCCTAAATTGAAAATATTTTAAGTCTAAAACGCATTTAATATATTTAACCTACTGAATATCATGACTTAGCCTCGCCTACCTTAAACTTGCTCAGAACACTTTTATTAGCCTACAATTGGGCAAAATCATCTACCACAAGGCCCATTTTAAAATATTGAGTATCTCATGAAATTTATTGAAAACTATTCTGATAGTGAAAAACTGGTCATATTGATGCTCATCATTAATGTACACACATGAAAGCACCATTATCAAGTCAAAAGAGCACAAGGTCAAACCACTGTAAGTTGAGGACTCTCTGTACTTTCTTAAATGTTTGATAGAATTCACCTAAGAAACCATGCAGCCCGGAATTCTTATAGAAATTTTTAATTAAAAAAAATTCTTCAATACATAGAGAAGCTATTATTTCTTTCTTTTTGCATCAGTTTTAAGAATTAGTTTTACAAATAATTTCCCATGTTATTTGTCAAATTGTATTGGCCTAAAGTTTTCATAATTATATTGATGTCTATAGGTTCTGTAATTACAAACTATTTAATTCCTGTTATCTAAATTTTGTAGCTTCTCTAATTTTTTTCTGTGATAAATCTTGCTAGCCATTGTTCATTAAAACATTTTTGTCAAAGAACCAATTTGTGGGTGTATTAATTAGCTCCACCTTTGGTTATTTGCTATGTTGTTGCTTTTTTATCTTTATCTCCTTCTTAATTTGGATATACTTTGCTCTTCATTTTTTTAGCTTTTTAAAAAAGAACCTAGAGGTCATTGATTTAAGCCTTTTATTTTCAATATTACATCTAAATTTACCTTTAAGAAATGATTTATCTGCATCCCATGTTTTAAGTTTTTAAAAATTTTTCTTTCAGTTTAAGCTATTTTGTGTGTGCGTGTGAAACTTTTCTTGGCCCATGAGTTTTTCTGAAGTATTTTGTAGCTTAATGTTCAAATGTTGGGGTATTATTTTATACATCCTAGTGTTGTCCATCTCTGGTTCATGAAACAATCCATGTTCTCCATTGCACTTAGTTGACATGTCTCCATGTCTCTGGAGAATTCCTCAGTCTTTGTAAAATGCTTTTGAAGAATACTGGCAGTTATTCTGTAGAACGCCCTTCCTCGATTTCAATTTGTCTGATGTTTTCTCATGATTAGGACTAAAGTTACACATTTTGTCTAAGAATACCATAGAACTGATGTTTTGTCCTACTCAGTGCATCATATAAGAAGTTACATGAAGTTCATTTACCTTATTATTAGTAATGTTAACTTTGATCACTTGGCTAAGGTAGCATCTCCACTTTGAAGTTACTATTCTGTAATTATCCTGTGGGAAGATACTTTCATATTATGCAAATATGTTCTTTCCCAACATATATTCACCACTAATCTTAGCATCCCTCCAAGGTTCTTTCTTCCTACAATTACTATGATATTTGCAAAATGATGATTCTTGCATTTTATGTCTCCTACATTTAATAAAATCTTACTGTAATAAAATACTGCCCATTCTCCCCCTTTGGTTTATATTTAATGTATTATTTATGTCAATATGGATTCATTAATTTTTTTTTATTTTTGAGATGCAGTCTTGCTTTGTCGTCCAGGCTGGAGTGCCAAGGTGCGATCTCAGCTCACTGCACTTCCACCTTCCGGGATTCAAGCCATTCTCCTGCCTCAGCCTCCCAAGTAGCTGGGACTACAGGCATGTGCCACCATGCCCAGCTAACTTTTGTATTTTTAGTAGAAGCGGGGTTTCACCACACTGGTCAGGCTGGTCTCGAACTCCTGACCTCAAGTGATCTGCCCGCCTCGGACTCCCAAAGGGCTGGGATTACAGGCATGAGCCACTGCACCCGGCCTGGATTAACTGAAAATTTTCTTCTGTAGATTGTAATATATTACTATTGTTATTTATTTTATTGCCCCAATTTTCTCAAATTTGGCTATGTAACTTTATTCAAAGTGGATTCTGTTTCCTTTTCACATTTTCCCCGTTTTGTATTTCCTTACTTTCTAGCATGACAAAATATTTCAAACTAATCTTCTATTTTCCCTGCCTAATCCTGATGTCAAATATGTTCCCAAGGAGCCTTGGTTCCTTTAATTGGAGAATGGTTTTCTCATTGTTACTGGGATGATGTTTCTAGGCCCTTTTGTTAGAGGAGCTAGAAAATGCATGTATGTATACTCACACATTTATACACATCTATATGTATACAATTATCCGTCTGTACATATACTAAAAACAATGACTTCATATAATACTTTTGATTCCAATCCAACACTACAGGATGCATTATAGCCTTTCTCCTTCCCTTATTTGTAACTCCATGCTCTGATGGTAGAAAACCTGGCTCTCATCAGACCACCATCACGAACGTCACCGCTAACTATCCACGCTAGAAAGTTCATGACCAACAGACTACTTCCGAGGAAACAAATGCTCACTGATGTCCTTCACCTCGGGAAGGCAACAGTGCCTAAGACAGAAATTCGGGGAAAACTAGCCAAAATGTACAAGACCACACCAGATGTCATCTCTGTATTTGGATTCAGAACTAATTTTGGTGGTAGCAAGACAACTGGCTTTGGCATGATTTACAATTCTCTGGATTATGCAAAGAAAAATGAACCCAAACACAGACTTGCAAGACATGGCCTCTATGAGAAGAAAAAAACCTCAAGAAGGCAATAAAAGGGAACGCCAAGAACAGAATGAAGAAAGTCAGGAGAACTGCAAAGGCTAGTGTTGGTGCTGGCAAAAAGCTGAAGGAGTAAAGGTGCTGCAATGATGTTATCTGTGGCCATTGTGGATTTTTCATGAGATTAATAAACCAAAAAGAAAAAAAAGAAAGCCTGGCTCTCATCCACAGTATATTTACATTTTGTTCAATCCTAGCATACACAAAATTTCACATTTGCAAACTCATACCCTTGTGAAAACACATTTGTAAACTATAGTGAAGTATTTGTGCAGTTTTGTCTTTAGCCTTAAAGATACAGTCAAGAACTCTTGCTTTTTTTAAGTTACTTTGTTTAGCTCTTTTGTGCCCCAATTCTGTGTGGTTCTAATAATAATTTGTAAGAGTTGAGTTCATTTGTTACTGTTTGTATTCCATTCCCCCATATCTGGTAAATTTAAATTATTTATTTGAGGGCATGTGAAATATTATAACTCTTAAGAATTAGAGCTAAGAAAAATGCTCAGCAAAGTGTCATTCTTCCCTCTTTTGTGCTATTGTTTCTATTACCCCATTCTTTCCACCCCATTCACACTCACCCTCTGTAGGTAAACAATCTGTTTCTGGATTTTATTTCCCTGTATTTATTTTGCACAAAAGATCATACATGCATATTTCCTTAAATCCTATCCTTTTCTACATGAAGCATAGTACACTATACATACTTTTTGCACTTTGCTCTTGCTTTTAACACTAGTGCATTATATTCATTTTAAAAGTTAAACATAGTTTTATGAACTCTAATAACATTTTTATCTTCTAGTTTCAAGATCCTTCACATTTCTGATTTTGTTTCTATTGTCTAATTTACTCCTGATTATGCTTCACATTCTCCTGCATCTTGGCATGTCTAGGAATTTTTTTTTTAATGCTGGAAATGTGAGTGGTTGCACTGTTGTTTTTTTCCTTTAAAAATGCTATACTTTCCTCTGGCAAGCAGTATGAGTTACTTGTATCAGTTTGATCTTTTAAGGCCTCTTTTTAAGCTTTATTATGGTTGGCATACAAACAGGCTTCATTCCTGGTGTACTTTAGCTCGACTACTAAGGCATAGTCCCGTGAGCTATCACCAGGGACTCTCAGTAGCCAGATTGCATATATCTTTCCTCTTTGTCTCAACTCTGGGTATTATTCAGGTTGCATATTCCTAGTTATCTTATGCCAGTCTCATGGACTTGAACTCTATGCACGCACTGATTAGTTCTCAGCAAAAATGCAAAGGGTACTCCAAGGGTATTACAAGAGCTTCTTCTCTTCATACTTTCATCCTTTCTGGAGCTCTGCCATGCACCCTCTGTCTCTCCAGTCTCTGGTTTCCTCAACTCAAAAAGCCTTTGAGGTTCTATTTGGGCTCCTTTCTGTGCCTGTGATTCAGAAATTGCAACTATGCAGAAAACTGTGGTGATCATATAGCTGGCCTTGTTTGTTTCCTTTCACTGTTTTGTTCCATTGTTCAATACCTGAAACTAATTGATAAATATATTTGGTCCAGTTGTCTAGTTATTTACTTCTAGTTATTTACTTCTAGTTATTTGCTTCAAGAAAAGCAAGCTTGATCCTTGTTATTCCATCAGACCTGAGGGCAAAAATTTGGTCATTCTTATCAAATTGTAAGTTTTTGATATCAAATTATAAGTAGCACTCACTGGCCAGAATGCCACCTTTGTGCAATATAGGAACAGCTGACCATTATTTAAGGTACTTTGTTACCATCTTCAAATTGCAGCAGTAAGTAATATACCAATCTATTATATGATGACTCTGAGGTAAAGAGTGCCCCTGGAGCTGTGCAAACTACAACTTGCATGATCATGAACTGCAACTCTGGAAGAATTCTAGAAATATGGAGAAAAAAATGCTGCTACATGTCAGCTGGCAAAAGAAAATGGGGTAATGATCACACTTTTTCATTAGAGGCTAGAATGGCTTGAAGGGAGTCTTAAGATAAATTAGAAATATGTCAACTACTAAAGGAAACATAATTCAAGAAGCATGACAAGCTGGTGAATGTATACACTGAGAAGTAGTTATGGAAGACCAAATGACTGGATGCTTGACACTAAACCACAGTGTGTGATACAATCAAGAAATTAGAAATCATCAGAATGTATGCAATTACACATTATTTGTACACAGATATGATATGTATATTTAGGGTATGTATCTACAAAATAATACATAATAGTCCCTCTATCTAGAAAAAAACCACTTAAATAAGCAACAGGAAAACTACTTAGTGGGAAAGAGGAAACAAAACCTGAGTATGAGAGTATGGAGGATCTATTCTCTTGACACTCACAGGGATGATAGATAAGACATTGAGCTAAGACCTTTTTTAGACTCAGTAGCAATTAAATAATTCTGTCTATGAGACAGTCAAGTTCCATGCCTTTTCATCTTCTAAAGCCTGCCTGTATTCCATGACTCACAGCCTCCTTCCAGCTTTGAAGCCAGAAATCACATCACTCTGACTTCTGCTTCCATCAAGTCTCCTTCTCTGACTCTATTTCATACCTACCTCTTTCTCTTATGAATATTCATGCAATTACTCACCTAGGTCATCTTCCTATCTCAATCACATATGCAAAAATCTTTTACCATGTAAAACAACAAACATAGTTTTAAAAATATTTGGGATATAATTACATGCTCAAGTGTTCTATGAGGAGTATTGTGTGCCTCTACAGCGTATGCTAAATTAAATGAGTATCTTCCAAGGACTTCTCCAGAAGTGGAGAATAAAGTATAGTCCCTGAAACCTGTGAATATGTTACCTGACATGGAAAAGGAGATCTTGTAAATGTGATTAACTTAAGCACCTTGAGATAAGATTATCATGGATTCTTCAGAGGGCCCAGTATAATCACAAAGATCCTTTGAAGAGAAGGAAGGATGCATAGGAGAGTCACAAGGAAATATGAATAGTAGGAGATTTAAATTGATGTGATCTAAAGAGGACTCAACTTGGTGTTGTCTCATTTGAAGCTGTGGGCAGCAGGGCCATGAGCTAAGGAATGTAGTCAGCTCATACAAGCTGGAAAAGGTATGAAAACAGATCATTCTCTAGAGCTTCCAAAGGAAGCCCAGCCCTGCTAACACTTTAATTTTAGACTCATAGAACCATTTAGACTTATGAATTCCAGAACCAAAAGGTTAAAAATTTACATTATTTGAATCTACTAAGTTTGTAGTGATGTGTTACATCAGAAATAAGAAAACTAATACACATGAACAAGAATATATCAGAACGATTAGTATCAAGTATTAGGAGTGGTAAAATCAACCTCAGACAGAGGTTGCAGTGAGCTGAGATTGTGCCACTGCACTCTGGCCTGGGCGACAGTTGAGACTCCGTCTCAAAAAAAAAAGTATCCCTGATCCTAGGACAAATTCCTTAAGCTCTCCTATAAACTGCATAACCAGAACCCCTCACTGCAGACATACCTAGACAAAGCATCCTCTGTCTCCTTTCTCCCAATAAGATGAAGGGCAGCCCCCACTGTGTGTACATCCCCTAAGAAATGCTTTGGGCTCATCATCCCAAAGTTTAGAGCTTATTTCTTTGGAATACTAACCACCTCCATCTCAGAACAGTCTGGGGCAGTCCCTTGTGGAAATTCCCCTGTGGTCACCTTTAGGGCAACTCCAGCTAAGTGCTAGACTAGAGGAAGAAGTCGGGGAGTCAGCAGAATTTTAAGGAATGGGCTGGCGCAAAGAGGATCCCACTGGGAGATCCTGAGATGCCTGCAAAGGTCTATGTGGGCTTTGTTGCCTGCCCCTCCCTGATGCCTGTGGGCTGCCCCGGGGATGCTGAGATGCTCCAAAATCTCCAGCGGGATACAGAGGGCCGATGGAGGGTCTGAAATTGCAAACAGTCAGTAAGGAAGTCCGGTGCTTGGATAGACAGGGAAAGGATTGGTTGGCATCAGCCATGGGCGGCCTGCCAAGAAACAGGCTAAGCTGGGGGCCCAGAGCAAGGTGTCAAGGTATGCAAGGCTCTTGGGAAACAATGATGAATAAGATGATATCCTCAAGGGACACAGGGTCTAATAGAAGACATAATTATACAGAAAGATGATTCTGGTTTCTATGTTCTATGCTGGAGTAGAATTACATACCAGGGACTGAGGTGGGCAAAAAAATGGAGTGTTTAATTCTGGGTATGGTAGTCTGAGAAAGTTTCCCAAAAGAGAAGGCAGACTGATAATAATTATCAGTGAGAAATGTTTCAATAAAAGTGGCTGCCAAATGGAGGGAGGGATTTCCCCTCTGAGGGAGTTGGGGTGATGGTAGGAGTGGTGGACTCTGGAAAGCTTCACAGAAGAGCTGATGCGGTAGGCTTTGCAGGATAATTATGGGTGTGTAATTTTGAAAAGCAAAGGGAACCAACCTGGCAAACGGTTGGCAGCACAGAAGTGTACAGCGAGTTTCGTAAATGGTGTGTAGTACAGTGGCTAGGATGTAGGTGTAGGACGGAAGTCTAGTGTAGTGCCCAAGTGTAGGGGGCTTTGATTTTTATATGAGGGACTGTGACTATTACAGCAGGTCCTTGAATAATGTCTTTTCATTCAACATCATTTTATTGTAACGTTGATGAGAAAAAAACAATTCTCAGCCAGGGACTGTCTGTGTGGTCTTTCCACATTCTTCCCAGGTCCCTGGGGGTTTTCTCTGGGTATTGCAGTTTCCTCCCACATCTCAAAGATGTGCCCGTTATGTGAACTAGCATTTCTAAATGGTCCCCATCTGAGCCGTGTGTGTGTGTGTGTGTGTGTGTGTGTACACTCTGACATAGGATGGCATCCTATCCAAGATATAGGGCTGGGCTGGTTCTGCCTAGCGCCCTGAGTTGCTAGGGGACACTCTGGCCACCCACGACCCTGAACTGAAACACGTGGGTAAGTAATAATCTTACTTGTTTTTGTCACTGGTAATTAACAGGTTTTTCCCTGCTCTGTAGTAGTTGCAAAGCAAGAAAACCCAATGAGAAACAAAGTCAAACAGGTTTTCTTCCTGGCTGAGCACGGAGAAGAAAAGACTTCTTGCTCTAAAGACACTCTCCCCCTGAAAAATAGAAGGTATGGGGTTTTGAAGAACTGGGTACAGGGAGGGAGAGCAATGTTAGCATGTGCAGGGTGGGACTCCAGGTGCACAGGTTCAGTGCATAAACATACATCCTTATGCAACCCACGACACAAAATGGCAAGATTTTTTGGGGGGAAGGAATTTTAGTATTATAGTGATATGTTCATGATCTGGGCTGGTCGCTCTGGCTCATGCCTGTAATCACCAGCACTTTAGGAGGCCAAGGTGGGTGGATCACCTAACGTGAGGAGTTTGAGGCCCGCCTGGCCAATGTGATGAAACCTGGTCTCTACTAAAAGAAATACAAAAAAAAAAGTTAGCCGGGCTAGGTGGTGCACACCTGTAATCCCAGATACTAGTGAGGCTGAGGCAGGAGAATCGCTTGAACCTGGGAGCCGGAGGTTGCAGTGAGCCGAGATGGTGCCAACTGCACTCCAGCCTGGGCAACAGAGTGAGACTCTGTCTCAGAAAAAAAAAAAAAAAGATCTAAAAGCAACTAGAGGTCACCTGTTCAAGTTTGTGCTGGTTGTGGTTGGGGATGTTACCTCCTTCTAATATCTGGTTGGGGTGGAGCAACTCTGGTGCTGTTGGGCCATCTGGTTTCTTTATGCATTTGTGCCTACAAATAAAGAAACTAAAGACAACACAGTAAGAAAAAAAACTTCCCCAATTATTTCATCAGGGCGGCCCTGGTAACATTTTCATTGATTTTTTTATCTTTTTTTTTTTTTTTTGAAACGGAGTCTTGCTCTGTTGCCCAGACTGGAGTGCAGTGGCTCGATCTCAGCTCACTGCAACCTCCACCTCTCAGGTTCAGGCAATTCTCCTGCCTCAGCCTCCCAAGTAGCTGGGATTACAGGCACGTGGCACCACGCCCAGCTAATTTTTTGTATTTTTAGTAGAGACAGGGTTTTGCCTTGTTGGCCAGACTGCTCTCAAACTCCTGACCTCAAGTGATCCTCGTACCTCAGCCTCCCGAAGTGCTGGGATTACAGGCGTGAGCCACTGTGCCCAACCTAATTTTTCTTAAATGTATGTAGAGCTCACATTTATTTCAGAGTTTAATACTGGAAGTGTTCTGGGCCTAAGTTTGGTGATGTTTTCGTGACCAGAAATATGCCATGGAAACAACTATTTCTATCAATTAGGCTATGGTAAAATTGGCGTAATTACAAGTCACAGTTTTCAAGAACATATTAAATCCTCACACTATGTGAGAACTTACTGTATTCAATAGGCAATGGAGAGTCAGAAAAGTTTAAGCAAAAATGTGTAATTCTTCTATCAGAACATAATTGATAACACATAATTTTATGAAACATCATGTTTATAACAAAGTTTTTAAATTATGTAGATATTATTAGGGTTGTGAAGATGAAGACTATATAAGCCCATTTATTTGCAAATCAGCACATAAACATAGTAGGATTAACAATATAAGCTGTAGCTTATGCTAAATGTTGGTGGCAGCAGACAATAAATTATGGAGAACTTCAGAGGACACTAAGGTTGGATGGGATCTTGGAAGTTTTTTTTTTTTTTTTTTTTAATTGATCACGGGATCTTGGAAGTTTTACAGGTCAATGCCACTCCATCTATTGGCTGAGTTTCACTAGGTTAATACATGAACAACAAAAAAATAACCTAGATCAGAAGTTAAACATCATTTTATTGAGTATCTGCCACGTCTGTGCCATTGCAGTGTACTAGGTGCACTTATGAGTCCTCTACTTACAAATTGCTTTTCACAAAATATGAAACTCCAGGCAAAGGTTCAGACATATGACATTTGTTTTTAAAATCTGTATACAGCCTTGTATCCTTTTTCCTTTCCTTCCTTTTACCCTTTTTAAAATGTGCTATGGGTTTTATCTTAGACTAACATCTGTAATGTTGCTATACGCCAGGATTAAGTTGCTGTGTTTGATGAATCATAAAATGGTATAAAACTTCAATTAGTGTACTTTTTAAATAAAGTATCTATGAATGTATCCAGCAAAATGCTTATGATTTGAGTATTCACAAAATATTAGTTTTCTCTGGATCTAACAATAATGTGAAAACCCAAAATGAATATAAAATATTAGCTAATAGATTTCAAAGTATTCTAAAAGCACAAAAAGTATATGACGTTATTACTTTCATATACGTAAAACATTAATTTTTAGTCAACATAAACATCAACTTTACACCTAAACTTGTATTAATTCAATTAAGAGTAAATTTAGTATCCTAAAGTCATCAAATATTAAAAAACAATGTATTCTGACTTGGAATATACATAAAATTAACTATTTTCAGCTGAGCACAGTGGCTCATGTCTGTGATTCCAGCACTTGGGAGGCTGAGATAGGCAGACTGCCCGAGATCAGGAGTTTCAGACCAGCCTGGCCAACATGGTGAAACCCTGTCTCTACCAAAAATACTAAGTTAGCCAGGCATGGTGGAGCCTGCCTGTAATCCCAACTACTGTGAAGGCTGAGGCAGGAGAATCACTTGAACCCAGGAGGCAGAGGTTACCGTGAGCCACGAATGCACCACTGCACTCCAGCCTGGGTGACAGAGTGAGACTCCTATCAAAATAATAATAACTATTTTCTGCAAGTCCCAAGATAAAATAGCATTGCAGAATACCTAATAATCCTGAGTTTGGTTTTCTTGGTTTTATTTTGTTTAGTTTTGTTCACCTTGACCCGGTGGGCTGGTGGTTCTTAGGTGCACCAAGGTTTTCATTTCTCTGTTCAAGATTTTAAAATCTTAATGTGGTAATTTCTCTAATTTTTTTTGACAGTTACGTCCCAGGTTGCAAATTAAAATAAAATTCCCATTTTACTAAAGCCCTTGGTTTATTAATGATTTTATAATGACTTAATATATAATTTAATGAGTAATGAGGGGCACTACATTTCAGAAATCAACACTGAAGAACTTATTCATGGACCCAAACACCACCTATTTCTCAAACACCTATTAAAGTAAAAATACATATAAATAATTTTTAAAAATAAACACTAAAAATAAAGTGAATATGAAAAAATATACATCCAGGTTTAAAAAAAAACTATTTCAGTTAAACAACAAATACTTTTTGGGGGGACTCAACTCTACTACAAAATTATTTGTTGTTTATTATAATTAATAATACAGGTAAAAATGTATTTAAAAATGAAAATATAGTAAAAAATAAAAAGATATTAACAAATATTGGTATACTGGTGAAGGCCAGGCTCAATGGCTGTTTTCCAAAGTGGTTACACCAGTCGGGTTTGGTGGCACACACCTGTAATCTCAGCACTTCCGGAGGCTGAAGCAGGCAGATCACTTGAGCTCAGGAGTTTGACACAAACCTGGGCTACATGGCAAAACCCCATCTCTACCAAAAACTGTAAAAATCAGCCACACATGATAGCATGCACCTGTAAGTCCCAGTTACTTAGGAGGCTGAGGTGAGAGGATCACTTGTGCCTGGAAGGTCACAGCTGCACTGGCCGTGTTCATGCCACTGCACTACAGCCTGGGCAACAGAGCAAGATTTTGTCTCCAAAAAAAAAAGTTGGTAACAATGTGGAATAATTGGAACTCACATACATTACCGGTGGGAACATAAAATGGTGTCATCAATTTGGGTGTTTTCTTGGCATTTGACTTTTTTAAAAATCAAGATATTGTCTCCCTATGTTGCCCAGGCTGGTCCTGAACTCCTGGGCTAAGACAATCCTCCAAACTCAGCCTCCCGAATACCTGAGATTAAAGGTGTGAGCTACTGTGCCTGACTGGTGTAACCACTTCGAAAAACAACGTGGCAGTTTCTCAAAGGCTAAATGTATAGTAATCACATAATGCAACAATTTCACTCCTGGGTGTAAATCCAAGAGAAATAAAAATATATTTTCACACTAAAACTTACATATGAGTGTTCATAGCAGCCTGACTCATGGCGGCGAATACACAGAAACAACACAAATGTCCATCAACTGATGAATGGATAAACATAAACTATTACTCAGCTATAAAAGGAAAGACATACTGATACACACTAACCTGAAAGAAATTTGAAAACATTGTGCTAAGAGAAAAAAAAGCAAACCACAAAAGATCACACATTGTACAGTTCTATTTCTATAAAAGGTCCAGATTAGGCAAAACTACAATGACAGAAAATAAATCAGTGGTTGCCTATGAAGACACAGGAACATGGGGGAAGTAGGAGGTAGCGGCTAAGAGGTGAGGGTTTCTCACTCATAAGTGGCTAACTCGTAAGTGGGTAATCACTTCTAAGAGAGACTATGGTGATGGATGCCAGCTCTGTGAATATTCTAAAAACCAGTGAATTGTATACCTTTTTTCTTTATTTAGAGACAGGGTCTCCTTCTGTCACCACGCTGTAGTGTAGTGGCGCCATCTGGTCTCACTGCAACCTATGCCTTCTGGGCTCAAGTGATCTTCCAGTCTCATGTCCCCAAGTAGTTGGGACTACAGGCATGAGCCACCACACCCAGCTAATTTTTGTATTTTTGCTAGAGATGCTGTTTTCTCATGTTGCCCAGGCTAATCGCAAACTCCTGAACTCAAGCAATCCACCTGCCTCAGCCACCCAAAGTCTTAGCATTATAGGAATTAGCCACTGCGCCTGGCCTGAATTGCATGCTTTGATAAATGAATTGCATGATATGTTAATCATATTTCAATATTATTATTATTTTAAAAAGGGCCGGGTGTGGTGGCTCACGCCTGTAATCTCAGCGCTTTGGGAAGCCAAGGCAGGCGGACTGCCTGATTTCAGGAGTTCAAGACCAGTCTGGCCAACACACTGAAACTCCGTCTCTACTAAAAATACAAAAACATTAGCTGGGAGTGGTGGTATGTGCCTGTAATGCCAGCTAGTCGGGAGGCTGAAGCAGGGGAACTGCTTGAACCAAGGAGGTAGAGGTTGCAGCCAGCCGAGATCATGCCACTGCACTCCAGCCTCCGTGACAGAGCGAGAGTCCGTCTCAAAAAGAAAGAAAAAGAAAATGGGCGTTGAACACAGGTGGCTCCCACCTACATATAATCCAAGCACTTTGGGAAGCTGAGGCAGAATGATCACTTGAGGCCAGGAACTTGACACCATCCTGGACAACATAGCAAGATCCCGCCTGTACAATAAAAAATCAAGAAGTTAGCTGGGCATAGGGGCAAATGTTATGTTAGTCCCAGCTACTTGGGAGGCTGAGGTGGGAGGACTATCTGAGCCCGGGGTTTCAGGCTGCAGTGAGCCATGATCACGCCACTGCACTGCAGCCTGGGTGACAGAGCAAGACCCTGTCTCTAGGGGGGAAAAAAAAGAAATGCAAGTTTTTATCACCTACTGAGAGTAATCAACGTTCAGGAGGAACAGAGAAGAACAAAAGACCACTGAATGGTTGAGGGTGGGTTGCTGGTTAGGCTCAGTCACTAGCTGAGTAGTATCTGAAAAATTTATTAGTAAAATTACGGCGCTAGGGGTGAGTCATGCAGTCGAATGATGAATACTAAATCCAGTACAAACGCCCACGTTCTTTCTTTACATGAATTCCAGTGAAAAATTCCTAAGTGCCTAAATAGTAAGTAGTCAGAAACGATGGCAGCAGTGGTTTATTAAAGACTGAAAAAAGAGGCCGGGCGCGGTGGTTCATGCCTGTAATCCCAGCACTTTAGGAGTCCAAGGCCGGTGGATCACAAGGTCAGGAGTTCAAGACCAGCCTGGCCAACATGCTGAAACCCTGTATCTAATGAAAATACAAAACTTAGCCGGGCGTGGTGACATGCACCTGTAGTCCCAGCTACTTCAGAGGGTGAGGCAAGAGAAATGTTTAAACCCGGGAGGCAGAAGTTGCTGTGAATCGAGATTGTGCCACTGCACTCCAGCCTGGTGACAGAGCAAGACGCCGTCTCAAAAAAAAAAAAAAAGAAATGGCATCTTCAAGAACCACAAGAGAGTTCCACGCTGAAGAAGCTCTAATTCTGCATTTGCTCAACTATTGATTTGAGTTAACCAATATGACACTATCTTAGGTAAAGTGTACAAATAACTCAATTTCATCTCCTCGTTAATAACTGATTAGGTAGTTTAATATCAATTCTGATTTTTAAAAAGCCAATCAGAAAAAGAATTATGGAACCAATAAGAGGTTTGAATAGTTACAAACTGTTCAAAGGCGAATTCAAAAAACCACTCAGGTATGAGGCCATAAAGTATGATGAAATGAATTTCATTAATGTATTTTAAAATAAACCGATTAGACAGGCAACAACAGCTGGGCACGGGTCTCCTCACCTCCAGCAACACAAACCCAATCACTCAGCTATGGGGTTGCAAAGGCTGCATAGTCACAAAGAGACTGGTCTGAGTTGAGATTTCTTTACTTGTATTTGTATTCTAAGACAGGGTCTCACTCTGTCACTCTGGCTACAATGCACGGGTGCACTCACAGCTAACTGCAGCCTTGGGCTGCAGGGATCCTCCTGCCTCAGCCTCACCATAGCTACGACTACAGATGAGCACCACAACACCCAGATAATTTTTTTTTTTTTTTGTAGAAAGAGGAGCCTTGCTATGTTGCCCAAGCTGGCCTCAAACTCCCACCCTCAAGAAATCTGCCCACCTCGACAACCAGAGTAACTGGTTCTACAGGAAAATACCACTATCCCTGGGTAATTATATTTTATTAATTTTTATTTGCATAGACAGGAGGTCTTGCTATGTTGCCCAGGGTGGTCTCAAACTCCTGGACTCCAACAATTCTCCCATCTCTGCCTCCCAAAGTGCTGACACTACAGGCATAAGCCACTGCACCTGGCCCGACTTAAGATTTCTTTAATCTAGCATCCCATACTTCATATAATTGGGAAAATCGGTAGTTTTTTTTTAATTACTTAGTATTTCAACAAGAATCAACCATCTCTCACCATTGCCAGGACCCTGGTCAGAACCACTATCATCTCCTACCTGGATGTTGCCACAGCTTGGCCTCCCTGCTTCTACCCAAATCTTCCCACAATCTTTCTCAACTCAGCCACCATGGGATGCTTTTAAATCAGTAGACAGTTCATGTCACCTCTCTGCTCAGAACCCTTCCGCATCTCCCATCTCAGACAGAATAAAAGCCAAAGCCCCAGCAATAGCCTCCCAGGGCTTACACAATCTGTACTGATCTGAGCCCAACAACTCCCTGGCCTCCTCCCCTACCTTCTCTCCCTCTCTCTGCTCCACAGGGCTCTTTCCTGAGCTTCAAACACACCACGGAGTTCCCTCTTAGCATCTTTATTCTGTTTGTTTCTGCCTACAATTCTCTTCCCTCAGTACCTTGGCCAGCTCCTTCCCCTCCTTCAAGTCTTTGCTCAATTTTCACTTAGGAGGCCAACCCTGACCACTCTGTTTAATATTGCTATGTGTCCCCATTCCTGCCATGCTCACTCATTTCTTTTTACTTTCTTTTTTTTTTAAGATATAATCTCGCTGTGTCACTCAGGCTGAGGCACCATGGCACCATGGCACGATCACAACACACTGAGACCTGGAACTCCTAGGTCAAGAAATCGTCCTGCCTCAGTGCCTCTAGTAGCTAAGACTACAAGTGGATGCCACCACGCCCGCTAATTTTTTTTTTCCATGTAGACAGGGTATCACTTTGTTGCCCAGGCTTATCTTGAACTCCTGGGCCAAAGCAACCATCCTGCCTCAGCCTCCTAAATAGCTGGAATTATAGGAGTGGGCCACTACCCCTGGCTTCATGTTCATTTCTTCTTGCTGCTGTTACAAACTACCCTACATTGAGTGGCTTAATACACCACAAATCTACTACCTAACAGGTCTGGGGGCCAGAAGTCCAAAATAAGTCTATTAAGGCTAAAGTCAAGGTGTCAGCAGGACTGCATCCCTTCTGGAGGTTCCAGAGAGAATGTGTTCCCTTGCCTTTTCCAGTTGCTAAAGCCACCCCTATTCTTTGGCTCATGGCCCCTAACTGCATCTTCAAAGCCAGAAGCAAAGCATATTCGAATCTCCTTCTGTGACCTGTGCTTCCATCATCAAATCTCCTTCAATTCTGACTCTCTTACCTCCCTCTTTCACTTATAAAGACCTCTTGTGATTGCTGGACACAGAGGCTGTGGTTCACAACCATAATCCCAACAGTTTAGGAGGTCAAAGCAGGAGAAACGCTTGAGGCCAGAAGTTCAGAACCAGCCTGCGAAACACAGTGAGACCCCCTCAATTAAACAACAAAAAGAAGTAAGAAAAAATTAGCTGGGCATGGTGGTATGCATCTGTAGTTTCAGCTACTTGAGAGGTTGTGGTGAAAGGATCGCTTTAGCCCCAGAGTTCAAGACCAGCCTCAGCAATATTAACAAGATCCCATCTCTACAAAAAAATACAGAAATTAGCTGGGCATGGATGGTGTGCACCTGTAGTCCCAGATGCTTGGAAGGCTGAGGCGGGAGAATTGCTTGAGCCCAAGTGTTTGAGGCTGCAGTTAGCTACGACTGCATCATTGCACTCCAGATTGGGTGAAATAGACTCTGTGTCCAAAAGAAAAAGAAAACAAATACACATTTGGTTTCTGCCCCTCGTCTTGGCACAGAGCTTCTCAAGTTCTTATAAAGGCCTTGGTGATAAAGATGATAGGAGCATTTTTTGTTTGACTATTTGGTCTTAGTCCCAGGTTTCTAACACAAGAGCCTCTAAGACCTTTGGGTTCACCATAGTACGAATGCATTTGGTGATATTACTGAGATGACTGGGTGACTGAAAGCTCCTAGACAGCTTCAGAAAAAGGGCTGGTTGCCAGAAGAACAAACCATGCGCTTGATTAGAGGCTTGGTGTCAGCCTCACCCACTGGGCTCCAGGAAGAAATAGCGGCCTAAGACTGACTTAATCACCAATGGTCAATGACTTCATCTATCACGACTGCTTAAAGAAGCCTTCGTAAACGCCCTCAACAACTGGATTTGGAGAATGTCTGGGTTGCTGAACACAAGGGAGATACCAGGAAGGTAACATGCACAATAGAGGGCATGGAAGTTCTGTACCCCTCCCGACACACCTTGCCCTGTGTTTTATTTTTTGTTTTTGTTTTGAGACAGGGTCTGGCTCTGTCTCCCAGCCTAGAGTGCCGTGGCACAATCGTGGCTCACTGTGACCTATGCCTCCCTAGCTCAAGCCCCGTCCTCTCATCCTAGCCTCCTGAGTACCTAGAATTACAGGCACTGAGTAGCTAGAACTATAGATCACTGCACCTGGCTAATTTTTAGAAAAATCTTTTTGTAGAGATGCGTTTTCACCATGTTACCCAGGCTGGTCTTAAACTCCCGAGCACTTAAGCGATGCTCCCACCTCAGTCTCCCAAAGTGCTGAAATGAGCCACTGTGCCCAGCAGGTACATCTCTTTCACTGGCTATTTCTGAGATATAGCCTTTAAAATGAACCAGTAAAAGAAAGTAAATTGGTGAGATGCAGTGGCTCACGCCCATAATCCCAGCATTTTGTGAAGTTGAGGTGGGAGGATCATGTGAGTCCAGAAATTTGAGACCAGCCTGGGCAACATAACAAGACCCCATCTCTACAAAAAATAAAAGAACTTAGCCAGATATGCTGGTGTGGGCCTGTAGTCTCAACTATTTGGGAGGCTGAGGTGGGAGGATCACTTGAGCCCAGGAGTCCCATGCTACAGTGAGCTTTGATCACACCACTGCATTCCAACCTGGCAACAGACTGAGACCCTGTATCTCAAAAAAAAAAAAGGAAAATCTGTTTTTCTGAGTTCTGCAAGCTGTCGGAGCAAATGATTCCACCCACCAATGGGGTCATGAAACCCTGTTTTCTAACTGGTTGGTCAAAACTACATGTAACAACCCAAGACTTGCAATTGGCATGTGGAGTGAGGGTAGACTCCTGGGACTGAGCCCCCATCCTACAGGGTCAGCACTAACTCCAGGGAGTGTCAGGATGGAATTGTGGGATACCCAGTTGGGATCCAGATTGTCTGAACATCAGTGTAGAAACTCCACACGCACATTTGGTTAGAGGTGTTTAACCCTAACTACTGTTCACGAAAAGGGTCTACTCATTAGAACTGAAAATCATAAAATTGTAAGTTCTACAAAAATAAATCAACCTTATCTACTGGCCAGTCCTACCAAACTACAGAATGTGAGAACAGAAGGTCTAACCGTGGACTCGAGAGCTGACATTAGGAATGTCACCATCATCCTGCTCTCCAAGGACTCCTCATCTTCAACAGACTCCTCATCTTCAATGGGCAGGGTGGAAACTGCAACTTGTGCCATGATCCTTGCACAAGAAAAGCAGTAAGAAAGTGAGTGTAGAAATCCAGTGTCCTAAACTCACATCCAGAGCTGTGAGTTTTTCACCGGCTGGATAATTCACAGTTTTCTTGAATTAGGGGAAAAATAAGACTCAGAAACTAGGAATTCCTTTTGCCCAAAACTCTCATCAGATAGAGAATCCATCCACTAACTTTCTATCTAGTATTATTTCCATAAGTTAGATCAATATCACTCCCAAAACAAATGTACATGGCACCCAGAATCTGTGCATCTGCCAAGTAAAAGAGGAGGCGGACGGGCACAGTGTCTCATGCCTGTAACCCCAGCACTTTCGGAGGCCAAGGTGGGCAGATCACTTGAGGTCAGGAGTTCAACACCAGCCTGGCCAACATGGTGATACCGTCTCTACTAAAAATAAAAAAAATTAGCCACGTGTGGTAGCACGTACCTGTAGTCCCAGCTTCTTGGGAGGCTGAGGCAGGAGAATTGCTTGAACCCAGGAGGCTGAGATTGCAGTGAGCAGAGATCGCACCACTGCATCTGAGCCTGGGTGACAGAGTGAGACTCTGTCTCAAAAAAAAAAAAAGGAGGGGGGAAGGAGGTAAGGCACCTTACAACCCAGTGATGGGCTACCACAACTCAACACAGCAAAGAGGTGCCAAGCTCCCTTTCTCCCCTGCACACCCCGACACAGAAGAGTTGGTGCAGTGGAATGAGGCTGGATGGAGAGAAGTTCCTCTTCTTTCCTTTCCTTTTTTTTTTTTTTTTTTTTGAGATGGAGTCTCACTCTATCACACAGGCTGGGTGCAGTGGCGCGATCTCGGTCACTGCAACCTCCGCCTCCCGGGTTCAACCAATTCTCTGCCTCAGCCTTCCGAGTAGCTGGGATTAGAGGCGCCCACCACCACACCCAGCTAATTTTTGATTGTTTGTTTGTTTGTTTAGTAGAGACTGGGTTTCACTATGTTGGCCAGGCTGGTCTTGAACTCCTGACCTTGTGATCCACCTGCCTTGGCCTCCCAAAGTGCTGGGATTACAGGCATGAGCTGCTGCACTCAGCCAAGAAGTTCCTCTTCTTACTGAAAAAATAGATCACAGGGCATCAAGTAACACATGAAATTCTTTATAATAAGCAGTATTATTTTTGGAAAACCTTTCCTAATATTTTGGTATCAGCAAAAACCCTCAAATTAATTTCAAACACTATAAAAATACAATACATAAACAGAAAATATTAACTGTCAGCAATGCTATAGAGAAATTGGAAGCTGTATGCATTGCTTTTTGGAATGTAAAATGGTACAGCCCACTGTAGAAAATGGTTTAGCAGCTCCTTAAAAATATTAAGCAGAGAATTATATGATCCACCAACACCCTTTAAGTGTATATACCCAAAATAACTGAGAGCAGGGACTGAAACAGGTATTTGTACACCCGTTTAACAGCAGCATTATTCACAGTGGCCAAAAGGTAGAACCAACCCTAATGCCCATCAGTAGGTGAATGGATAAAGAAAATGTAATATATACATACACAGAGTATTATTCAGTCATAAAAAGAAAAATATCTGGCCAAATTCAGGGGCTTACACCTGTAATCCCAGTATTTTGGGAGGCCAAGGTGGACAGGTCTCTTGAGCCCTGAATTTTGAGACCAGGCTGGACAATATGGCACATTTGGTTAGAAGTGTTTGACCGTAACTACTACTCAAGAAAAATATCTACTCATTGGAACTATAAATCATAAAATTATAAATTCTACAAAAACAAATCAACCTTATCTACCACCCAGTCCTACCTAATTATAGAATGTTAGAACAGAAGGTCTCACCGTGGACTCAAGAGCTGATATGAGCAATGTCACCAGCATCCTGCTCTCCGCGGACTCATCTTCAACGGACTCCTCGTCTTCAACAGACTCCTCATCTTCCATGGACTCCTCATCTTCAATGGGCAGGGTGGAAACTGCAACTTGTGCCATGATCCCTATGCAAAAAATAGTAAGATATTGAATGGTAGAAATCCAGTATCCTAAACTCACATCCAGAGCTGTGAGTTTTTTTCACCGGCTGGCAAATTGTTTTTTTGCATCAGAGAAAAAAATAAAACTTGGTAACTTGGTATTCGATTTGCCCAAAACTCTCATCAGATAGAGAATTCATCTGCTAACTTTCTATCCAGTATTATTTTCCATGAAGTTAGATGAATATCACTCCCAAAATAAATCCACGTGGCAACCAGAATCAGTGCATTTCTCCCAAGAGGAGGTGGCCAAGCGCCCACATCTGTAATCCCAGCATGTTGGGAGGCCGAGGTGGGTGGATCAGGAGGTCAAAAGATTGAGACCATCCTGGCCAACATGGTGAAACCCTGGTCTCTACTAAAAATACAAAAAATAGCTGGATGTGGTGGTGTGTGCCTATAATCCCAGCTACTTAGGAGGCTGAGGCAGGAGAATCACTTGAACCAGGGAGTCAGAGGTTGCAGTGAGCCGAGATCGTGCCACTGCACTGCAGCCTGGCGACAAAGCAAGACTCCCTCTAAAAAAGAAAAAAAAAGAAAAAAACAGTAAAATACAAAATGTCTTTTTCTCCTAACCTTCTTAGCCTTCTGCTGGTACTTCAATTTCTGCTGGTACTGCTTGGTCATTGCCCTTTAAAGAATGATGGCTTCCTAAAAAGAAAATAAACAACATACAATAAACCAATAAAAACTCACATTGAAAGATAAAAAATAATCTAGGTGACGATGCAAGCACTTTCAAGACATAATAGGCCAGGTGCGGGGGCTCACACCTGTAAACCCAGCAGTTTGGGAGGCCGAGGAGGGCAGATCACCTGAGGTCAGGAGTTCGAGACCAGCCTGGGCCAACATGGTGAAACCTCATCTCTACTAAAATACAAGAAATTAGCTGGGCGTGGTGGCGTGTGCCTGTAATCCCACCTACTCGGGAGGCTGAGGCAGGAGAATCACTTGAACCCAGGAGACGGAGGTTGCAGTAAGCTGAGATCGCGCCGCTGCACTCCAGCCTGGGTGACGAGAGTGAAACTCCGTCTCATGAAAAAAAAGAAAAAGACATAATAAACACAAAATATGATTCTATTAACTATTAATCCAAATAACGTTTTCTAATTCAGAAGAAATATATAACATGTCTATTTGGTAGCTTGAAAACATTATTTTAAAATACAAATACAATACACCCAAGTAGGCTTGGGAATTTAATATTAATTACTCTAACCACATGATAAAATTACTGGATATTGGAATCTGAAGAAGCACAACTATGCTTCAAGTACCATGCTCATCTGTCACTGACACACACACATACACAAGTGTGAATGCTTGCTTTGCTCAGACAATTAACTGTAAATAAGCTCAGGGTTTGCTGTGGAATGTTCCCTGCTTTCCATTTTCACTATGGTGAAAGTTATGGAAACTCAATCTCCATAATTTAAGCAAACCTGTACTTTAAGTAACTCATAAGTAAAAATTTAAGGTACTACCCTTTAGTGTCAAAAACATTTTAATCCAGGTAACATAATCTGTCTGCTTCTAAAAACTGGCATATAAAGCAACAGGTCTATTAGGCAGTCACAAGGTAAACAGGCTCATCCTACTGGAACAGAAGTTTTACTCACAAATATGAAAGAAATAATCTAAAATATCAGAATGCCAGTTAGGATTAAGACCACAAGCTGCCCCCAGTACACATCCTCTGTCCTTAAAGATCTGAACTACTAACATGGAAAAGATTGAAAAACACTGTCTTCAAGTATAAATAAAAATATATTACATTTCAGTAAGAATACATTGTTTAGGGGGAAGGGAAGCAGATGCTCATCTATTTTGTCCTATCTATTGATAACTAAATTCAGAAGCTGTACTAAAAGTAAAGTAAAAGTTATTAATACATCTCTTAATTTTTAAAGAGCAATGATTACAGTCAGAAAAACTCATTTGGTGGCTAGTATTCTTGAATTAAAAGTGCCATACTGAAGTGAAATCTTTTTGGTTTTCAACATCTACCTTTTTCATGGCACAATTACTTTGGGATTCTTTTCCACTTACTGCATATTGTGAAAACTCACCTGAACTCAAAACTCTAGGTAAATCTATAAACCTGTATCTCAGAATCCATGTTTAATTCATTTGTAAAGTATACTTTCTCTGCACACATTTCCTCTCTCCTTTTAACCTTAATATTCGGATTTAGGGAGCATTAAGTTCCTTGACTGTAAAGTCAACAAAAAAAAGAGATATGAAGTCAAAGGAATGGGAGATAATGTACAAGAAGGCAGTAGTTAGAAAGTAAAATTTCAATAAAGAATAACAGTTAAGATGGTTGTTCATGTTATTACCCAAATGCCAGGAGTTTTGTCCAGGTCCTCCTGCTCACGGGACAGAAAGCCAGTCACTGAGGTGACAAGTACTGCCAAGGAAGAAAGCTTTAACCTGGTGCTGCAGCCCAGGAGCTGGGAGCTCAGTCCCAAATCCATGGGCTTGACTAATAGGAGCAGGAAAGAAACATAACAATGTGTGAGAGAACAGAAATTAGGGAAGGGCAGGAGGCATGTGGTGCTGTGATCTGGTATGTTTCAGTTATCTGATACTTCCTGAAGGTCTTTTTTTGAGGAGAGAACTCAGATAAAACAGATCCAAGTTTCAAGCTTTAACAGCAGGGTCAATTTTTACGTTCATCCAAAAAAAACACATCCATCAAAGTGGGTGCATGATGCACTTACCCATTCAATTGTGTCAATGTAAGCAATGATTCTGTAGTTCCTCTTTGTTCTTCCAAAATCTGAAATAAACAATTGAATTTATATTATATGCTAAACCTAAAGAAAATACATCTTGTGCACTTGAGGCCAGAAGAGATAGAAGTAAAACTTATTACTAATAGCCTATGAGAGAGTCAACTTTGGGAACACTATAAAAAACTCAAAAAAAGTAATAAACGCATAAAACTTACAGATTAACAGGTGCTATTTCAGAATTCTTCTAAATACCAAGTATCGACATGACCTTATCAATATTTGCATTACCAACCATACAATAAGAACCTGACTTCTGACTATACTGAGATAAGGGATAAATGTGTACTTTACCTTAAATGGCAAAGTGCATCATGTACCCACTTCGAGATTCACAACAGGGAAAACTGATTTGAAAAATTGTTGCTTGTGAAGTTCATTTGTATGTTAAAAAAAGGCCAATACGTTTTCCATTTTCCACATAGAAAACGAATACTATACTTATAAATACTAAAACACAGTCTGTGGAATACAAGGAACCATTAAATAGAAACGGTATGTAGGAAAATGGAAATGAAAAGATTATACATTGCAAAGACTTCAGTAGAAGGAGTTTTTCGTCAATATCATCAGCTTCAGAAGGGCCTGCTTTGGGATACAAAGACAATACTTCAACAGTAACTCCCCCAAGCCAGACGCAGTGACTTATGCCTGTAATCCCAGTAATTTGGGAGGCCAAGGCAGGCAGATCTCTTGAGGTCTGGAGTGCGAGACAAACCTGGCCAACAGGGTGATACACCGTCTCTACCAAAAAATACAAAAATTAACCAGGTGTAGTGGTATGCACCTATATACAGTCCCAGCTATATGGGAGGCTGAGGCCAATGTACTCATTTTTTCATTCCTGCACCCAAGAAACTGCAACCAATCTACTCTGTTAAGAGCAGAGATAAAGGGTTTAGACTCCATATTACATGTAAAATAGAAGAAACGAATCAGTTTAGTATGAACTTGTATGCACTGTTGGAGAGGAAAGTAGGTTAAGAAGCCATTAAGATACATGAAGGAAGATCAAATGTCAAAGAAAACTAGAAATTCAGATTTATTTATGTAGCTCTAGAAGGAAGAACCAGGAATGGTGGAGAATGAATGTAGAAAACATTTTTAGTGAATAAAAGCATGAGATGATAACACAAGCAGCCACCAATGGAACAAACTGATGTGAAACAGTGGATTTGCCATCACTGAAGCTATCCAGTCTCTGACTGTTGCAGGTATTACAGAGCTATCAAGAGTTTTAGTAGGCGGCTGGGGTTCCTTTCAGATCTAACATGCCATGATGCCAAAATGCTGTACATGCTCTCATCTTTTTCTGGCTCATTTTTTTTTCTCTCTTCAGGTTTCTTAACCTTTTAACTACTTCCCTGTATTAATAATCACGTAAACCATGCACTCAGTCTTCTGAAGTAAATTTCTTTATCTTTCGCTTCACAAATAAACATCTTTGATGGATGCAAACACCGCAGGAAAGCCACCTAAGCAGATATGACTTCTCAACTTTTTTTAAAGTGATTTCCATTCATCGCTAATTCCAAACAAAACAATTGCAAACTATCATAAAATTATTAGAAAGTGAAAATGGGAGGCATTGGTTAAATATGTGTTTAGTATGCTTCACCATGTCCTCAAACATATTTAAAAAGTTAATTCACACTTCTTTAAGTGCATTGGGGGACTTGCTTTAGATTAAGAAATATGTTAACTATTTCAGGACACTAAGGACCTTACAAATCTGAATTAGCTCAGATTGGCTGCTATCTCCTCAATTATTTTCTGATAAATAAGAAACAAACAGTAAATAGCAACTTCCACAAAATCTACCAGTAGTACACAAGGGCAGCCAAACTTCAAAATTCTTGCCACTCAAACTCTAGATGGTTACTATTTACTAAAATGTAAATAATAAAAAGACTTTTCTCAATCTTGTCCTCCAGAAGAAAAGCCATGAAGTTCAAACACTAACCAAACAAAGGGTAACCAAACAAAGGGTAAGGAGAAACATTTATATATTGGTGTTCCTTTTGTTAGTGTCTTCACATACAACACTCCTCAATTTTAAACAGCACTTTCTTTCAGAAGACAAAACCAAGACAAAATGGTAGAAATCAAAGGGTTACAGACTTTGATTTAAAAGGCATAACCTTTTCAAAAATGAGAGTTATCGATGGATCACTTACGAGAACAAATTCCCTGGCACTAGGATAAACAGAGGTTGGAAAACCATCTTTCCAGGTGCTATAAAACAGAATCCTCTCATGGTGCAAGAGTCCTAATTCTAGGGGTCTAGGATTATTTTTATTATTATTGTTACCTTTCCCGTTCTGGAAAATCTTCAAGACTCTCTTGTAAATGTCACCAACCCAGTAGGTTCTACAGAAGCAATAAAAGAAAAACATACCCAAAATAAGTTTCAATTTTGAAAACATTATACACACGCGCACGCACACACACTCGGTAAAAGAATAGGTCTAACATTGACTATAAAACTAACCAGGAAATACAAAGCCTAGCATTGGAAAATAACAGAATATTGATTGAAAATAATATTCTCCTTACAGTAGAAACTCCTTGTATAAAACTCCTTCAGTAAGGCTTCACTAAACAAAACTATACAAATAACAGCACAACATAGAATTTGAGTGCTAGTACTTTTTGCTAAAGTTTTGAAGCTGAATACACTTTTTTTAAAAAAAAAAAGCATTAAAAAAAGGGTGTATAACTGGCACAGCTTATGCAGTAAAGACAAAATTGAATTCAAATTTGTAGACTCCTTTACAAAGAATGGACTTAACCCTACATTCAAAAACTGGTGAATAAATACACATTTATGTACTTTATAGTAAACTGAAATGCCACAGATTTAAAAAGAAAATCATTTGCACATCCTCTGGAGTTAGTACAGCTAAGTCTCAGGCTTAAATAGTGGGCAATCACTCTACTTGTTAGTAGCAGTCTTAGCCAGAGAAGAAATTACTGGTTCTAAGAGTTTACAGAACAAGGATGACATATTTTTCAAGGAGCAATAAATTTGGGAAGAGCAAAATGGAGTACTATTAACGTAGTCAATAATTTTAAGAGGATGAGATCCTCTTCTAGTCAGATTTATTTTTTAAAGCTAGTAGCAAAAGAAACAAATAAATCAGCTGGCCAGAGTAATCTGTCTGATTCAAATCAAAGAAAACTAAAAAGGCCATGCCATTTCTATTTTCTTGAATAGAAAAAAGCTCTTAAGGAAAGAGAGAGATGTCAGGAACTATTAGTGATGACAGTGTATAACCCAGTAAAAGCCTGGCCATCATTTCATTCCTATGCACACAATTCCACATTTCTCCTTGTTCTCAGTCAAAAGCAGGAACCACTCAAAAACCATATGGAGCAGTTACAGAAGAAAACAAAATTTTTTGTTAACATGGGTCTTACATTCTTTAGATACCTAACTTTAAGATAAATGGATAACATATTTAAAACTCACAAGTAAGTGGTCAAACAACTCAAACACTAGAGAAGCAATTCTATGAATATAATAGAAAACATCTCTCTTGTCATTCGGTAACTTAGCAGAGAAGTAAGAACATCAAATGTCCTTCATACATACTGAGAGATGCTAAGAAAAATTCATAAACACTGCTGGCAAACCAAGAAAAGGCAGAAGAACATGGTTTCTTAGATTAACAAAAAATGCCTTGAGAGCACGTCTGTTAGCTTTCTTTCAAAACAAGGCAACTTTCATCTCAGAATAGGATACTTTAATTCATCAAATACTTCCCATAATAAAATCACAATATATACTACATTCAGGTCATGGATACTTTATCTAAAACTATACAGAAAGTAATTTAATTCGGAAGGCTTTTAAAAATATTTCAGTCTCAAGATCTTCATCAAATATAAAATACACATGTTTAATAACACTGAAAGGTTGGTCCTGATGGAATTCTATTTTATCAATTCTAAAAGCCAGGTTTTTTCACATACTACATTTCTGAAACTGGAATACATCTTTTATAATGGAGATATCTTACCATAGGTCTTGACTAGAGAAGAATTTTCCCAGAGAAGATGTACATCTGCTTCTGCTGTCATCTGGGAACGCTATCAGCCCGATACCATCTGAATTAATCCTTTGGGGCAGGCCTTTGTAGACCACACTGGTGGTAAGGCTGCACACCCAAAGCTTAGGGCTTGTGGTTCAAATTCTGAGAAATTTTTTTTTTTCCATTCTCTATGTAGTGTCAAGGTTGAGACCTGCATGTTTCTTTATGGTCCCTTTTCTGGATGGCCAAGTTAATTTCTCATTTATCCCTGGGTGTACCAGCCTTGTGGGTTAGGTCTCCTACTGAACTCCCTGTCCTGAGTGTTTTTTCCTTCTTAGAGGTATATAATGTAATAGCACTTTTTAAAAATAATCTATGACATCTTAGATTCAATGAAATATGGTACATTAAGCTTCTCAAGTCTACTGAGTAGGCTCCAGAACTTCTACACAATGACTCATTATACTGCAAACCTCTTTTATTCTCTTTAGTATTTCCTCTTTAAACCGTTAGCTTTACATACTGCAGACCAAGAGCAATGTTGTACTGCATTTCTACAAAGAACTTTATTAACATGTACACTGAAAAAGTCAGAAAATAAAATGTCTAGTTATAATTTATTTCTTCAAATTCCCAATACTTATAATGGCATATACATTTCTAGTTGAAAAAACAAACTTTTAGCTTTTTCCTCGAAGTATCTGAAACCCTAAAATTTAGAAAGCCAAGTTAGTTTTTAGAGAAGACATACATGATTTGACTCCCAGGACAAAAAAGTAAACTCTGTACTACTTAGTTATAATAATTCTACATAAAACGGCAACTCAAAGTACTGTAAAAAACAAACAAAAAAGACCAATAGTAATAATTCTAACTAGACCTAGAATAGCCAAAAAAAGTAGTCATTTTTTTTTTTTTAGACAGAATCTTGCTCTATCACCCAGGCTAGAGTGCAGTGGCACAATCTCAGCTCATTGCAACCTCTGCTTCCCGGGTTCAAGTGATTCTTGTGCCTCAACCTCCTGAGTAGCTGGGATTACAGGCTCCGCCACCGCACCTGGCTAATTTTTGTATTTAGTAGAGACGGGGTTTCACCATCTTGACCAGGCTGGTCTGGAACTCCTGACCTCGTGATCCACCAACACCTGGCCTTACGTAGTCATCTTTTTAACAAGTCATTACAAATTCTAATTTGATTTTGTGTCTCAGAGGTCCAAATGATTCTGCATTTTAATATTTCATTCAGCACAGGACACAAAACTGAAATTCAATAAGCTATGAGATAAATAATTCCATATCAAAGAAGCATATAATTTTCCCTTAAATATCAAAATCTTGATAATTGATTTCATTCTAAAAATTTAACAATGTCCAATAGCAATACATTCAAAGGAGAAGATGCCAAGTACATTGTAATGCAAGAGTAAAAGAAGGATATGAGAAAAATGACCTTAAAATTATTCAAAGACATGTTTTCAGACAATCCTACAACCCAGAACTGAAAAAAAGCCATTTCACTTGACCAGGTTGACATTACCTACTTAGCACAAAGAAACTTTTGAGGTGTTCTGGTTTACATCCACTTGTAGGAAAGGCTACCAATTGACAATAGCTTACATTTATTAAGCATGTATCTTCTTAATATCTATAACTACCCTGTAAGGTAATGGCCATTAGTATATTATTTCATAGATGATAAAACTGAAGCTTAGAGGTGTCAAGAAACTTGACCATGGTCATTCAGCTTCTGAGATAAGAGTGGCAATACCAATCTATTATCAGCTGGTCATTACCAGTATTTGTTGGACATTTACTATTACTGTCTCAGCTGCTATCGGGTTTTGGGGAAGCAAGAATGTTAAAGTTCAATAGAGGAAGAAGGAGATACAAAACTCAGTACAAAAGTTTTTATAAGAGCTCCACAAAGGGCTTAGGGGGGCACAAAAGAGAGGAATGGGTAGAAAAGCAACGTGTCAGTTGACTTATGCAAATAAACTACTGAACGTTTCTTTAAGTAAAGAGCATCCAAAATTTATTTCCTGGTCAATATACTTTCTCTGGTTTTTATTCATGAAAATCTTTTGATGTATACTACAGATTTCAGAGAATATGGGTCCAATTTCAGAGTATGTAAACCCCGTCCCCTTACATTTATAGCACACATTTATGCTTATACACAACATAAGCATAAAATCTAGGTTATCTTGTCGCATCATTACTACTGTTTCAATGTGGTTGGGAGAGGAAGGTTTACGTTAAACACAAAATGTTCCTCACATGTCACTTGACTTGAACTGTTCCCATCATCAAGAAAAATTACGGTAAGAATGAAAGGAGTTTACTTTTCTCTGTGACTGTTCTAAAGAAGCAGAGGAGCGTTTTAAGTTTATCTGGTTTCCTTGATGAACGTCCCTCAAACAACCTAAAAGAGTTGAAAAATAAAAGAGAGTGGAAGATGACTTAAAATGCCTTAATGATTCACAAAACTACATCCATATTGCTACCACATAATAAAAAGAAATAATTGTTCCAGAAGACAATTCTGTAATGATAAGAACTAGAAAATTCGTTTAGATTCAAACGGCATCTGGAGAGAACTGAAACCAACTAGAACCAGACTTCTCCAAAGCTGTTCAAACCAGACAGCATTTGCTACCAACCACATTTCTCCAACCTATATCTTCCACCACAAAGAAGGCACCATGCACCATCTAGCCCTCCCAGTCAACTGTGGTCAGTCAGTGCAGTCAATGGCTAATAACATTTATAATTCATAATGTTACTAGTTTGGTAAGTAACAAAAACAGTATCTGAAAAAAATCATCTGAGTGTTTGTGAGGAAATTAGAGTGGAGGGGAATGGGGGAAGGGACACAGGCAGGTATAACAAGATATCAGGGCTCAACAATCCTTGTTAATTATACTAGATTCTTTTATGGATTGAATGTTTGTGCCCTCTCAAAATTTACATATTGAATCTTTAAACCCTAATGTAGCTAAATTTGGAGACAGGGCCTGTGAGAAGGTAGTAACAGTTAAATAAGGTCATAGGGGTGGGACTCTAATCTGATAGAACTGGTGTCATTTTAAGAAGAGAAGGTGAGACTACGGTACTCTCACTCTGCCACATGAGGACAAGATGTTAGCAAACCTATAAGCCAGGAAGAAAGCCCTCATCAGGAACCGAACCAGCAGCACCCTGATCTGCAGCTTCTAGCCTCCAGAACCGTGAGAAAATAAGTTTCTGTTGTTTAAGCCACCCAGTTCTATGGTATTTTATTATGGCAGCCCAAGCTGACTAATAGAGATCCTTGGCATGGTAACCAAAACAGTGCCTACCCTGTGTCATCTAGTTTTCAGCAACCTGGACTTGGATTACTTAATTCAGTTTCCTTTGAAATGATGTGGCATTGTTATTGGTAACACGTAATTCAGTTTATTCTGAGAAAAGCAGGGCTTTAAAAGCATTATCACCCGAGTAAGTAGTTCACTAAAAGATTTCTAACACAAAAGCATGCTTTTGAGTATAAGATCTAGCTTTCCAAAGGCATTTAAAAATTATAGAGACTCAGTGGCCATGAATGATGAGGTACTCTTCATCTGCCTCTAGTCATGTGCTCTAACTTTAAAACCAGAGACCCTTCAAGTAAAGTCCACGTTAGTAAGTGCTGAAATGGGTAATTATTTTTCATGATTACAAGAGTAAGCTTATGTAACTACGCTGAGAGAAAAGTTAATTCCATGAGAAAATCCTATTGAGTAACTGAAATAAATTAGGAAAAGGAAATGCAGTTTTCAAATGGTTCCGTTTTCAACGATCTGAAATCTCTATTCAGGGTCAATTTCTGGAAAAACAGTTTATATGAGTATTTATTTCATAAAAAGAATACTTATGTAGGCTAGTATTTTAACAAAATCTAAAATCAGATCTCTTTTTAAAAAGTTTAAGACATCCTGTGTGATAATTTTTATTTATTTAAAAGAACCTATCCTTCTAAAATATTTAATACACATACTCTTATAATCCAGTCGCCAGCTTAAACAGGGTACAGATTAAATAAGATAGTATTTCTAAATTGATTCCGAATGGATTAAAACTCAATAAAATGGACATTTTATTGAGTGAATGGAGAGAGCTAATACATCTGGCAAGTCAGTTAAGAGAGCTTCTGCCATTTTTGTTGACATGTAATAGTGTAATAAAGTCACATGTAATACCATAAAGCTCTGTAAAGAAATTTTAACCTAGCCTATTTGTTTAAAGGAGATGTTAACAATTCATGCTCCCTTGAACCACTTCATTTTTGCTTTTAGGACAGGAGTGTTCATTAACACACACAATCAATTACTAAAATAAATATTATCAAGCAGTAACCAAAAAATTCAACGTAAGGCTATCATACCCAAACTCAAAGATCCAGAAGCCAATTTAACTAATCCATGCCTCCTTGGCAAAAGTGTATGGATATTACCTTTTCCTTGTGATAGTAAAACCTACCCATTTTCTTACCTCACCCAGTATCAGGTTTCATGTTTCCACAAATAAAGCAGACAATGAACATACTGTGTAGAAATCTTGAGCTCTTAATTAAAAAGTACTCACCGAGTTGTATCTAAATAATTGGCTACAATGATCTAAAACACACAGTTATATCTGGATCATTTGCTACAATTATCTAAAACCACTTTATTTACATCTTAGTATTAATCACAGGACAAAAACGCTAATATTTTCAGAACTACAGCCAGTGTTGCTATCTGGCGCAGGCAACATGTCTTCAAAACCCCATGATACTATGTGTTTGCCCCCAAGTAAACAGGAGGGAGATCCAGGCGCCCCTTCCAAAAGCAATAGCTTAGAGGAGAGAAGGAAAATCAAAGACACTGAGACGATTCATGTTAGCAAAAAGTGAACCTGCCACCCCAAACAGCAGAAAACAAAATCTGAAAACTAAGATGTATAATATGTTATGTATTATTCACAAAATTTATTCACAATATCTTTAAATAATTACAAAACCGTGTTTCTGAAAATGTTACAATAAAATTATATGTGTGTAAAGTGTATCTATTTTATGTGTACATTTGTGTGTGAGAGAGAGGGAGGGGATTATGAATTAGGAAGAGTATGTACCAAAATATTAGAAGTAGTTATCCTTGGGTAATGAGATTATGAATGATTTTCACTTTCCTCTTCATACCTTAACATCTCAAAATTTACAATCAGAATTCATTATAAGCTATTGTATTTTTATTTATTTATTTATTTTGTGAAACATGGTCTCACTCTGTCACCCAGGCTGGAGAGTGCAGTGGCACGATTTCAGCTCACTGCAACCTCGGCCTCCCAGGCTCAAGCAGTCCTCCCACCTGAGCCTCCTGAGTAGCTGAGACCAATCAAAGTTAAGTTTTCTTCGGTTTAAAGTAACTTGTTGTAATTATGTTGTTTAGCCTCATGGTAACCAGAAAGCAAAAATCAATAGACACCCTAAACATGAAAAGCAAGTTATTGAAACACACCACCAGAAAAAATTACTTTACTACAAATAAAGACCGGAGGAAAGGCAAGGAGGAAAGTAAAAAAAGGAAGAAATAAAAAGAGAGATCAGAGAGAAAAAAAAGAGGAAGGGAGAAAGAACAAAAGAAAAAGTAGCAACACAATCAAAAAAGAAGTAAAATATGGCATAGTATGTTTTTACCTGTAATAATCCTGAATATACATGAAGTAAGACAGAGTGGCTGAATGGATTAAAAGAAAAGACCCAATTATGTACTGCCTACAAGGAACTCAGTTCACCTATAAAGACATACACAAAGTGAAGGGATGATAAAAGATATCCCATACAAACGGAAACAAAAAAAGGAGTAGCTATACTTAGATAAAATAGCCTCTAAGTCAAAAAAAGAAAAAGATCATTATATAATGAAAAAAAAAGTAGCCGTTAAATGCACATGCAACCAACACTCAAGCACCTAAATACAGATGCAAATATTAACAGGCTTTAAAGGACAGATGGACTGCAATACAATAATAGAGTACGTCAACACTCCACTGTAATCAACACCCCACTATCGTGAACGGACAGATCATCCAGACAACAAAACATCATCAGTTAAACTGTACTCTATACAGAATGGACCTAACAGACATTTACACAGCCTTTCACTCTGCAACGGCACAACGCTCATTCTACTGAGTGGCACACATCGATTATTCTACAGGACAGACTATGTGTTAGGCCAAAAAAAACAAGTCACAACACATTTTTTTTTTTTTTTTTTGAGGTGGAGTCTTGCTGTGTCTCCCAGGCTGGAGTGCAGTGGTGCTATCTTGGCTCACTGCAAGCTCCGCCTCCCGGGTTCACGCCATTCTCCTGCCTCAGCCTCCCAAGGAACCCGCCACCACGCCCAGCTAATTTTTTGTATTTTTAGTAGCGACAGAGTTTCACTGTGTTAGCCAGGATGGTCTCGATCTCCTGACCTTGTGATCCGCCCGCCTCAGCCACCCAACACATTTTTAAAAACTGAATTCATATCAAGTATCTTTTCTGACCACAATCGCATAGTATTAGAAATCAATAACAGATAGAACTTTAAAAACTGTACAAACATACGGAAATTAAAATACACGCTCATGAACCGATAAACGAAATGAAAAACAAAGAAAATTAAATATTTATTGAAACAAGAATAGAAACATAACAAATCCTGTGGGATGCAGCAAAGGCAATTCTAAGAGGAAAAGTGCATAGCTATAAATGCCTACATCAGGAAAGTAGGAAGATCTCAAACAGCCTGACAGTACACCTCCAGTAATGAGAAAAACAAGAACAATCAAATGCTAGAATTAGCAGAAAAAAATATCATAAAAATTAGAGAAGAAACTTTAAAAAACAAACAATACAAAAAGTCAATGAAACAAAGAGCTGGGGTGTTTTAGAAAAAAAATCAAAATTGACAAGCTTTAACTAGATGAAGGATAAGAAAAAGAAAACGAAATCATAAGACTTACAATCGATAACCCTGAAATACGAAGCATTTTAAGAGGTTACTAAAAACATCTATATACAAATTGAAAAATCTAGAAGTGAATAAATTTCTAGACACATAACAAATTCCCAAGATAGAATGATTAAAAAAATGAACAGACCAATAATGAGTAATGCAATTAAAGCAGTCATATAAAGTCTCCTGGCAGAGAAAAACACAAGAATCATGGTTTTCCTGCTGAATTACCAAACATTTTTAAAAGAGTTAATATCGATTTTACTCAAAATATTCCCCATAAAATGAAGAGAAAGAAAGGCTTCCAAATTTGTTCTATGAGGACAGCATGACCTTGGCACAAAAACCAGACCAGAACACAACACAGAAAGAAAACCACAGGCTTTCCCTGATGAACAGAGGTGCAAGAAATCCTCAACAAAATACTTCAAAACTGCATTTGACAACACAATAAAAAGATGATCTGCCATGACCAAGTGGATTTCATCCCAGGAATATGAGGATGATTCAATAAACACAAATAAATATGCGACATCACATTCAGCAATCAAGAACAAAAACCCTATAGTCATTTCAGTAGACGCTGAAAAAAATAAAAATCAACATTCCTTCATGATAAAAACTCAACAACATGAGTACAGAAGGAACATATCTCAGCGCAATAAAGGCCATATATGACAAACCCACAGCTAACATAATAAGGAAAAGTTAAAAGCTCTTCCTCTAAGATCTGGAACAAGTGTGGCTACTTTTACACCACTTTTATTCATCATAGTACTGGGAGTCCTAGCTAGAAAAATTAGACAGGAGAATGCAATAAAAGGCATCCAAATTGGAAAAAAAGGAGTCAAATTGTCTGTTTCCAGGTGACATGAACATATATAGAAAGAACCCTAAAGATTCCACAAAAAACCTACTAGAAATAATAAATTTAATCAAGTTCCAAAATACAATATCAAAATATAAAAATGAATAGTACACCAATGCACCAATAGTGAAATACCTAAGAAAGAAATCAAGAAAGCTATTTCATTACAAAAAAAATGGTATCTAGGAATAAACAACCAAAAAGGCAAGAGATCCCAAAATGAAAACTTCATAAAACATAGATGAAAGATATTAAAGCAGACACAAGTAAATGGAAAGATATCCCATGTCCATGCACTAGAAAAATGTTAAAATATATATATCACCCAATGTGATCTACAGAATCAATGCAATCCGTGTTCGATTACAAGACATTCTTCATTGAAATTGAAGAAGAATCTTAAAATTCACATGGAAGTTCAAAATACCTCAGATAGACAAAAGAATCTGGAATAGAAAGAAAAGCGGGAGGCATCACACTACCTGATTTCAAAATACACTGCAAATCTATAGTAAGCATGGTACTATCAAAACAGTATGGTACTATCAATAAAAGGGGTGGGAGAGAGAGAGGTGAACGAATGACAGACAAGTGAAACAGAATAGAGAAATCAGAAATAAATTCAAGCGTTTACGGTCAATTCTTTTTTAACAAAGTCCCCAAGAACACACATTCGGGAAGGACAATCTCTTCAATAAACTGTACTAGGAAAACCCAACACCCACATGTCCAAGAATACATCTAGGCCATTACCCTTACCGTATGCAAAAATCTACTCAATATAAAGATTTAAATGCAGGACCTGAAACTATTAAACTACCAGAGAAGAAAACAGGATAAACGCTTCATGAAATTGGTTAGGACAAGGAATTTTCAAATAGACATCAAAAGCACAAGTAACAAAAGCAAAGATGTAATTACATTAAACTTAAAACCTTTTCTGACACAGAGTTAGCAATCAGTATAATGAAGACAGAACCCAGAGAATGGAAGAAAGTATTTGCAAACTATGCATCAGGCAAGAGGTTAATACACAAAATATCTAAAGAACTCAAACTACTCAAAAGTGAAAATACAAATAATCTTATTTTTAAAAATCTACCCAAAACCTTTGTCCCCCACCATTTCCCCACCTTCTTTTCCCGACCGCATTTGGCCCTCTCCCTCTCACCACCATTTCTCTTCCTCTACCTATCCCCAAACTTTCTCACCGTTTTCTCCCCACCATCATTTTGCAAAGCCTTCTCTACGCTCCCGCTCACCACGCTTTTCCCCATCCATCTACCCAAACACTTTCTCCCATTTTTTCCCACCGTATTTTCCCCTTCTCTCTGGCCACCCTTTTTCCCCCTCCCGATGTCATCACGCCCTTTTGCTCCTTCAGCTACGCAAAAACATTGTCCCCCATCTTTTCCCAAAACCTTTTCCCTACTCCTGCTGCTCACCATCCTCTTTTCCCCCTTCATCTACCCAAAAACTCTTTTCCTCATCTTCTTTCCCCCCGCTCCTCCTTGCCACTCTCTTTCCCTTCTCCATCTACCCAAGAACATTTCCCCACCATCTTTTCTCAAGGCCTTCTCCCCACTCCTGCTCACCTCCCTTTTCCCCCTCCATCTACCCCCCAAAATTTCCCCATCTTTTCAGTCTTCCCCCCCTTCCCACTCGTCCTCTTCTCTCCCCTATCCTGCTTGCCACCCTCTTTTTAGCCCTCCATCTACCCCAAACTATTTTCCCATCTTTTTCCCAACCTTCTTGCCCTGCTCCCTTCTCGCCACCCTCTTTTCTCCTCCTCTTCACCCTCTTTCCCCCCTCCATCTACTCACTTTTTACCTACCATCTTTTCTTTCTCCACCATCTTTCTTTTCTGCCACTGTCTTTTCGCAAAACCTTGTCTTCCTCCCGCTGGTTACCCTCTTTTTCCTTCCCCCACTTGCTATCTTCTTTTGCTCCTCTATCTACCCAAAAACTTTTCTCCCCACCCTCTTTTCACAAAACTTTCTCTCCCTACTGCTCGCCCGTTGTCCCCCCTCACCACTCTCTTTCCTCTTCCCAATTGCCACCCTCTTTTCCCCCTTCATCCACCCATAAACTTTCTACCCACCGTCTTTCTGCAAAACCATCCCTCCCTCCCGCTCTGCACCGTTTTTCCACCTCCATCTACCCAAAAACTTTTTTCCCCACCATCTTGTCCCCATCGTCTTTTTGCAACGCCTTCTCCTCCTCGCTATCCTTTTTTCCCTTTGCACTAACACCACACTCTCTACCCACCTCTATCTATCCCAAAACTATTTTCATTCTCCTACCCCTTCAGCCGCGCTGCAATCTCCATCGCCACCACCAACCGCAGCAAGGCGAGTTGCGCCGCAGTGCTCAACAGGAAAGTACGGAAACCTAAAGAAACCCTAACCTCTCTTCGGCATTACATATATACTGAGGTTTTGCGCATGATGGTTCCTGGACTGCATGTTCTGATTGGATGAGAAAAAAACTCCAGGCTTACTCGGATTGGACTTTATTATCATGTTCTGATTGGATGAGAGCAAGTCTTAAGATAACCAATCACAGCATGAAAATAAAGTCCAATCAGAGTAGGCCTAGAGGTTTTTCTCTCATCCAATCAGAACATGTAGTCCAGGATCCGTAACCTCAGTATATAAAGCATGCGGAGGGAGCCACACGTCATTTTTGGCTTTTCTGTATTGGTGTGCGGGGCTGCTACGTGCTCGGCTTAGAGAATTAGAAGGGTCCGTCTCTTTTTGCCCACTGGAGTCTGGCACTTGGGGCACTGCCTCCCTGTTGGTGGTGGTGGTGATGGAGCTGTAGGAGGGAGGCTAGCAGTGGGAGCTTCTCCTGCTGGGCTGGAAGACAAGCAGAAGGAAGAGGCACCACCGCATGCTGGAGGCTGGAGCCACGGCGGCTTGCCTCGCTGCGGTTGGTGGTGACATCGGAGACCGCAGCTACGGTAATACAAAGCCGTGTCCTCGGCTCTGAGGCTGTTCGTTTGCAGATACAGTGAGTTTTTTGCATTGTGTCTGGAGGTGGTGAATCGGCCCTTCACAGAATCTGCGTAGTATATGGTACCACCACTGCTAATAACTGAGACCCACTCCAGCCCCTTCCCTGGAGCCTGGCGGACCCAATCCATGGTATAGCTACTAAAGGTGAATCCAGTGGCCTCACAGGAGAGTCTCAGGAACGCCCCCAGGCTGTACCAAGCCTCCCCCAGACTCGACCAGTTGCACCTCAAACTGGACACTTGCAAATAAAGAGACATCCTGGTTAGAAATTGCCACACATATTCACTGTTTCTCTCACTTATATCCACTCACACTCTAACTCCCTAGTTTTCCATGAATCACCTTCTAAAATAGCAACAAGGAAAACTCAGCTCAGCCCGAACTCCATGGTGAGTCCTCTGTGTTCGGTGCTGATCACCAAGTGGAAATGCCTTGGAGTCCCGGGGTTAAGGCTCCTCTCTCAGAGCTGCAGGGTCGGGTTTGGGTTGGTTTTCATCAGTAGAGGGAGGGCACTAATTTCGTATCTCCAACTATATAGCAAGTGCTAGGGTGGGACACTTGAGAAGTAGGCTGTATCCAGATAAGAAGCTGTTACCCGCAGAAGTTGGCTGGTAATTATGGTATTTGGAAAATACGCTGTCTTATTAATGAAATTGTGCTGTGATAAACATTTTGCCTTTATCACCCTATTTCATTTTAAAATAATTGTGTAAATTATGTTCTGTAGGAGTCAATATTTTTTCATTTACAGATGTGGAAGTAAATCCACACACGGAGGGGGCTCTGTGTGTATCTAAGAGCTCATGTCTAGGATGAGTGAACCCTGGTATCTAGCCCTGTGCTTCTCATCACCGGCTCCGACTGCTCCCTAAGCCAACTCCAGTACAAAGCTGGATGTGTCTAGTGTTTTTTTTCAGAGCCCACTTTCCGTAGTAAGAGCATGTGTGGTTTTGCTGCACTCCAGCACTCATCTGAAAATACGGGGAAAACTAGGGTCCAGGCACATTAATTTTCAGGTACTTCTGACATTTAACATATTTGTTCTGTCTTTCTATTACTCCTTGTCTAAGGTTCCATTTGTTTGCTTGTAATACAATTTATGAGGCTTATTTGAAAGATAATGCATTTCACATATTTAAAATGTACAATTAATAAACATGATAGAACTGTCATCATTATCAAGAAAGTGTACATGGGAATTCTTCTCAACATTTCCTCTTGTTCAGCTATATTCCTCCTCCTTTCCCCTTCCCTTCTTCTACCAGTTTCCCGGGCAACTACTGATCTTCATTATTTTATGTTAGATGCATTTTTATTTATCAGGATTTATAACAATGAAATAACATAGTATACTTACTGGTTTAGCTTATTTTACTCAACACAAATACTTAGATATTTTAGCTTTTTCTTGTGTGTATCAGGCATTTATTTATTATAAATGATAGGTAGTATTACAGTGAACACATTTATCGTAATTTGTTTTCGTATTAAGCACCTTAACAATATTTGCATTTTTTAATTATACTTTAAGTTCTAAGGTACATGTCCATAATGTGCAGGTTTGTTACATATGTATACATGTGCCATGTTGGTGTGCTGCACCCATTAACTCGTCATTTATGTTAGGTATATCTCCTAATGCTTTCCCTCCCCCTCCCCCAACCCCACAACAGGCCCCAGTGTGTGATGTTCCCCTTCCTGTGTCCAAGTTTTTTCATTGTTCAATTCCCACCTATGAGTGAGAACACGCAGTGTTTGGTTTTTTGTTCTTGTGATAGTTTGCTGAGAATGATGGTTTCCAGCTTCATTCATGTCCCTACAAAGGACGTGAACTCATCCTTTTTTGTGGCTGCATAGTATTCCATGGTGTATATGTGCCACATTTTCTTAATCCAGTCTATCATTGATGGACATTTGGGTTGGTTCCAAGTCTTTGCTATTGTGAATAGTACCGCAATAAACATACATTTGCATGTGCCTTTATAGCAGCATGATTTATAATCCTTTGGGTATATACCCAGTAATGGGATGGCTGGGTCAAATGGTATTTCTAGTTCTAGATCCTTGAGGAATCGCCACACAGTCTTCCACAATGGTTGAACTAGTTTACAGCCCCACCAACAGTGTAAAAGCCTTCCTGTTTCTCCACATCCTCTCCAGCACCTGTTGTTTCCTGACTTTTTAATGATCACCATTCTAACTTGTGTGAGATGGTATCTCATTGTAGTTTTGATTTGCATTTCTCTGATGGCCAGTGATGATGAGCATTTTTTCATGTGTCTTTTGGCTGCATAAATGTCTTCTTTTGAGAAGTGTCTCTTCATATCCTTTGGCCAATTTTTGATGGGGTTGTTTTTTTCTTGTAAATTTGAGTTCTTTGTAGATTCTGGATATTAGCCCTTTGTCAAATGGGTAGATTGCAAAACTTTTCTCCCATTCTGTAGGTTGCCTGTTCACTCTGATGGTAGTTTCTTTTGCTGTGCAGAACCCCTTTAGTTTAATTAGATCCCGTTTGTCAATTTTGGCTTTTGTTGCCATTGCTTTTGGTGTTCTAGACATGAAGTCCTTGCCCATGCCTATGTCCTGAATGGTATTGCCTAGGTTTTCTTCTAGGGTTTTTATGGTTTTAGGTCTAATATTTAAGTCTTTAATCCATCTTGAATTCATGTTTGTATAAGGTGTAAGGAAGGGATCCAGTTTCAGCTTTCTACATATGGCTAGACAGTTTTCCCAGCACCATTTATTAAATAAGGAATCCTTTCCCCATTTCTTCTTTTTGTCAGGTTTGTCAAAGATCAGGTGGTTGTAGATGTGTGGTATTATTTCTGAGGGCTGTGTTCTGTTCCATTGGTCTATATCTCTGTTTTGGTACCAGTACCGTGCTGTTTTGGTTACTGCAGCCTTGTAGTATAGTTTGAAGTCAGGTAGCGTGATGCCTCCAGCTTTGTTCTTTTGGCTTAGGATTGTCTTGGCAATGTGGGCTCTTTTTTGGTTCCATATGCACTTTAGTTTTTTCCAATTCTGTGGAGAAAGTCATTGTTAGCTTGATGGGGATGGCATTGAATCTATAAATTACCTTGGGCAGTATGGCCATTTTCACAATATTGATTCTTCCTATCCATGAGCATGGAATGTTCTTCCATTTGTTTGTATCCTCTTTTATTTCATTGAGCAGTGGTTTGTAGTTCTTCTTGAAGAGGTCCTTCACATCCCTTGTAAGTTGGAAACCTAGGTATTTTATTCTCTTTGAAGCAATTGTGAATGGGAGTTCACTCATGATTTGGCTCTCTGTTTGTTATTGGTGTATAAGAATGCTTGTGATTTTTGCACATTGATTTTGTATCCTGAGACTTTGCTGAAGTTGCTTATCAGCTTAAGGAGATTTTGGGCTGAGATGATGGGGTTTTCTAAATATACAATCATGTCATCTGCAAACGGACAATTTGACTTCCTCTTTTCTTAGTTGAATACCCTTTATTTCTTTCTCCTGCCTGATTGTCCTGGCCAGAACTTCCAACACTATGTTGAATAGGAGTGGTGAGAGAGGGCATCCCTGTCTTGTGCCAGTTTTCAAAGGGAATGCTTCCAGTTTTTGCCCATTCAGTATGATATTGGCTGTGGGTTTGTCATAAATAGCTCTTATTATTTTGAGATACGTCCCATCATTACCTAATTTATTGACAGTTTTTAGCATGAAGGGCTGTTGAATTTTGTCAAAGGCCTTTTCTGCATCTATTGAGATAATCATGTGGTTTTAGTCTTTGGTACTGTTTATATGCTGGATTACGTTTATTGATTTGCATATATTGAACCAGCCTTGCATCCCAGGGATGAAGCCCACTTGATCATGGTGGATAAGCTTTCTGATGTGCTGCTGGATTCGGTTTGCCAGTATTTTATTGAGGATTTTCGCATCAATATTCATCAGGGACATTGGTCTAAAATTCTCTTTTTTTGTTGTGTCTCTGCCAGGCTTTGGTATCAGGATGATGTTGGCCTCATAAAATGAATTAGGGAGGATTCCCTCTTTTTCTATTGATTGGAATAGTTTCAGAAGGAATGGTACCAACTCCTCCTTGTATCTCTGGTAGAATTCAGCTGTAAATCCCCTGGACTTTTTTTGGTTGGTAGGCTATTATTGCCTCAATTTCATAGCCTGTTATTGATCTATTCAGGGATTAAAGTTCTTTCTGGTTTAGTCTTGGGAGGGTGTATGTGTCCAGGAATTTATCCATTTCTTCTAGATTTTCTAGTTTATTTGCATAGAGGTGTTTATAGTATTCTCTGATGGTAGTTTGTATTTCTGTGGGGTCGGTGGTGATATCCCCTTTATTATTATTTACTGCACATATTTGATTCTTGTCTCTTTTCTTCTTTATTAGTCTTGCTAGCAGTCTATCGATTTTGCTGATCTTTTCATAAAACCAACTCCTGGATTCATTGATTTTTTTTGAAGGGTTTTTTGTGTCTCTATCTCCTTCAGTTCTTCTCTGATCTTAGTTATTTCTTGCCTTCTGCTAGCTTTTGAATGTGTTTGCTCTTGCTTCTCTAGTTCTTTTAATTGTGATGTTGGGGTGTCAATTTTAGATCTTTCCTGCTTTGTCTTGTGGGCATTTTGTGCTATAAATTTTCCTCTACACACTGCTTTGAATGCGTCCCAGAGATTCTGGTATTTTGTGTCTTTGTTCTCATTGTTTTCAAAGAACATCTATATTTTTGTCTTCATTTCGTTATTTACCCAGTAGTCATTCAGGAGCAGGTTGTTCAGTTTCCATGTATTTGTGCTGTTTTGAGTGAGTTTCTTAATCCTGAGTTCTAGTTAGATTGCACTGTGGTCTGAGAGAGAGTTGGTTATAATTTCTGTTCTTTTACATTTGCTGAGGAGTCCTTTACTTCCAACTATGTGGTCAATTTTGGAATAAGTGTGATGTGGTGCTGAGAAGAATGTATATTCTGTTGATTTGGGGTGGAGAGTTCTGTAGATGTCTATTAGGTCCGCTTGGTGCAGAGCTGAGTTCAATTCCTGGATATCCTTGTTAACTTTCTGTCTCGTTGATCTGTCTAATGTTGACAGTGGGGTGTTAAAGCCTCCCATTATTATTGTGTGTACTTAACCCATTTTCTAAACACGTTTAAACCTCATAAATCCTGTTATCTTCTCATCCCCAGCACAGCTGCCTCCTTCCTCGAGGTTTCTCACACTCTCAGTATGTGGATTTTCACACTGTGTGTCTTGCACTGTAATATATGGCCGTGTCCTCAGATCTCACGCTGCTCAGCTCCACATAGGCTGTGTCTGTAGACATGCCTGCGGTCATGGTGACTCTGCCCTGGAACTTCTGTGCATATATTGTTTCACCATCTTCAGGATCAACATGTCCCATCCACTCAAGCCCTTTTCCAGGGGCCTGTGGCACCCAGTGCATGTAGTGGAAGGTGAAGGTGTAGCTGGAAGCCTTGGGTAGACCTTCACTAAGGCCCCAGGTTTCCTCACCTCAGCCCCAGACTGCACTTGCTGGACCTGGGACTGGGCACCTGTGGAGAGGACAGAGGAGTGAATGAGACCCCACTTAACTGGACCCAGTCCCGTCATCAGCCATGGAACTTAGAATTCTCTTACCTGTAGCTGCTGCCACCAAGAGGAGGATCCTCCAGGTCCAGTCCATGGTGATGTGCTGTGCTCTGGGGACTTCTACAGGGGAGAGATGTGGTTGTTGTGTGATGCTCTCTGGGCAAGGACAGATCTGTATTTACCTCGGTAAACACCAGTGCATTTGCATATTCATGAGGCAGCTACCTATTTCGTAGCTCAAGCCCCCCAACCTGAGGAAGAAGTTAGGTGACACACGGACCACGCCACAGTGGGATGCTGAGCTCCATGCCCTGTACTTTGTTTAATGATATTTGTCCTCTGACATGCTCAGAAGTCCATGAAGACAGAACTCGTCTCACAGAAAACCACAATCTCCCAGGACATTGTCCTCAATGTGATTCCTTGTTCCTATGGAACTCTGACAACCTGAACATTTCCTGGGCCTTCACCTCTGCACCTTAACTTCTAGGATGAGTGTATCTCCCAGTAGTAACACCCATTGAATTAATAAAACCACCACTCAATTCCTAACTATAAATACATTTGAAAAGACTAGACATTTCTCCATTTAAATATGGTTTGCATTAAATTATTGGGTTAGGTATCGGCTCCATATACAATAAAATACTTAACGGTACATCAGTACTTGCTAAATTCTTATTTAAATTTTAGGTCATTATTGCTTTGAAATAAGAAACATTCAATTCCTGAGAGAAAACCCCACCCTGTCCTCCTGTGCACCTGCTCCAGGGCTGAATCCTGTGCTGGGTGCGCCCTGAGGACCCCCCTGAAGCTCAGCTCCTGCCCTGCATAGAAGTTCCTGTCTGGGCTCACAGAGAATTCTCCACCCAGCATATCAAGCCCAGTATGAAGTGGCTATGCCTTGGCTCAGAATGAAGTTTTAGTGGCAGCAATTGCTTCTCCCACCATCTCTTACAGTAGGAAATAGGCCTTACAGTAGGAGTAGGCCTTATCCTACAGGGAGACCTCAGCACAGCAAGCAAGGGATCACTAAGGCCACGAGGGAGCCCCTTCCCTGGAGCTCCAGGTGCACTGATACGGTCCAGACACATGTCGAGTCCAGGAACTGATGGGGACTTTGGGGCAGCCTCTTTTTTAGGATTCTGTGTTTGAATATCCCATCAGATTCTAACTTTACACACAGACCCTATGTCTCAAAGCCCCCCAAAACACACAGTGGCATATTTGCACAGTAATGGGCCTCGAATTTGCCCTCCTTCATAGTGTCTTCCCAAAGAAAGGTGCTTCCAACACTGACCTTAGTCCTGCTTATGTTTGTTGTTGTTTTGTTTTTTCCAGAGCTAAAGCAAGCTCAGTACTACTGGTGATTTGGAAAGTGCCTTCATATTGTTTTTGCCAGTTCTCACCTGAGAACCCTGCAGATGCCCCATGAGAGGTAAATCTAAGGCCATTTAGGGAGGGGCTGTGATCTTGGTTCTGAAGCTGTTGGTCTCAGAGGCCTGTTGGTCTCACTTCCCTGTCCTTGATTTGTTCTCTCCTACCACCTTTGGTTTCCCTACATTCTAGTCGTTAGACGGAGTCTGTGCCTTGCCACACTTCTCTCTTTAATCCATATTAATCCTAGTGGTGAGGAGGTGATGTGGTGGGCAGGGAAGCAGTAAATGTTCTTGACATTGAATTCCAATGATTTCTTGCTGTGCTTTCTCTAGGCTGTGCCCTTTACAAGGAGTCTCCAGTGATACAGCTGATTTTCCTCCATACTCTAATCCCCTTCATGGCTGCAGCATCAACAGATTGCTCTCTTGAATCTGACCCCAGTTGTTTTATTAATTATACCCCTTTTTGTGACACAGGAAGGCTAAGATGAAGCTGTCTTGGATGGAAAAGAATTCGTTCTCCTCACATGGAATAAAGATCTTGAAAAGTATTTTTTCTATGTAGGGTCTGTCCGGACAAAGTTCTGGGCATATTTATCAGAGAACAGTTCTCCTGATATCAGAGCCATGAGGGAATCTGTTTGGATTCTCATCTTGAGAACCCAGAAGTTTCTGGAGGGAAATTTCATAAAAGTGTGGGGTGCGTGGCCCCCAGGAGTTCTTACCCTACCCTATCCACACTTGTCTGCTAGGCATTTATGGAATTATCATGTAACTGTTTCCACCAGCTTGTGCTTTCAATGGAAGAATCACCCAATTTATAAATTTAGAAAAGAAACTTTATTTCTGATAAATGGGTGAAGCTGCAGGATGGCCATCTTAACAGGCCGGAAAGCAAAGCCTCCCACAGAGACAGTGAGCAGGCACTTCAAGAGAGGGAAAGGTGAGAAATGAGTTCATGCAAATGGATTGGCCAAGTGCACATACTCAGCGGGCTATAGAAGGAGCTATGAATATTCACATGGTGGGCAGGCTGTCATGCATAATAAGCAAACACAGATGTTACATGCATTTCATGTTTGCTTTGGGGCGAGGACTTAAGAACTAAACAAATTACAGTTGGGCCGTGTACATCAAAAGGGCTTTGTGCAGAGGCAGAAGGACACACAGTGCACAGCCTCCATAATTTGGCAAGGACAAGTCCATGGTGAGTGGTCTCTTCTCAGGAGAAAGTTACTGAAATCAGTCCTTCTCCATTCAAAGCTCTTTTTATGGCTGTGGAACGGGCACAGTTACCCAGTGTCTTGAGTTCCATGAGCTGCAAATATTTTAATATTCTTATCGTAGGACCAGTGCTTTTTAGCTGCTAGAGAAAATGAAAAGCCCTGTGGCAGTTACAACATAGTCTATTTTTTAAGTGTAGGAGTGAGTGACTTAATTTTTGCTTGATGTGGACTTGGGTCTTGTTTATAATTTGGTATCTTATTGCCACAACAAGATTGTTCCATCAGTCTGATGATCTCTATTTTAATGTCTTTCTAGTTTTTGGGTCTTGGTTTTCCCTGCAATTTGATTTCTTAAATAGATCCAAGAAGTTATTGATAATCAATTTTCCAGGCTTTCATTGTTGTAGGAATGTAGGGGATGACTGACATGCTCTTTACATATTAAAGTGGAAAACAGAAGTAGCTTCAGAGATCACCATTGACCTGACAAGCAGCAGGAATCTCATCTCGTTAAGTGTAAGTGGCACCACAGATGTAGCTGAACATGCAGTGACACAGAAGACCCACACCACAGAACACATGAAAAATTTTATGATTCTGAGGTTTTCTCCAGGAAGCTGGAACTCAGGTGGTACTACAGAGATGGACTCAGTTATCTCTCAGGTGATACTATGTTTTGGAAGCTTATTTCCACTCCTGCACTGGACTCATTAGCTGCACCTCGACCAGCACACCTAAAACAGAAACTCTCAATAATTAAGCACAAAACTCACCAATAATAAAGCTGTCCCCAGAGAAGGTGCAGAGCAGGGAACTCTGCTTTTGGGAACATGCTGGTGTGCAGGGAGTGTCAGGAGCGTGACCCATTTCCTTCTGCTCCCCCTGCTGGCTTCACAGACAACTGCATCCAGGAGCTTTATGTTGCAAAGTATATAAAATATGTTATAATTGTAGAGAAATGTAATACACAGATTAAGGAATGAGGAACGTACATGAAATTAAACATAATATTATCACGGATAAGACAACAAACAAATATTAAAAACCTGTGTGTGTACGTGTTTGAGATAGTATTCTTGTAAATTAAATCATAATTTGTTTATAAAGTCCTTCAACTATGTACAAAATCTTTGCCTTTGATTGCCACAAAGATGAAGAAGGATGTGGCACCAGGACTCCAGGGCCATGCTAGTGATTTCCCCTCCTATCTCCTGAGGACACGGTGCTTCCAACTCTGAGGATCAGGATGCTGAAATTGGCTGTGTGAGAAGAGAAAATGGGATTTTCTGTGGGAACAGACTAGTGTGAATGTAACTTTCAAGCAAGTAAGTTTATTCTACCATGAGACACACAGCTATCATGCTGACTGTGTGTTGCTTTTGACATTAATATGATATTATCAGTATTGGGTTGTTCCATGGAAAATGACCAATTGTCTCAGAATTAACTGGAGTCGTTTTCATTTCAGTTTTTTCACACTTCTAGCTAAATCACCTAATTTTACTGTGTTTGAGCTTGGAAAGTTTCAGGGCGTGGGTTACAAATGATGGAGTGGAAGGTCTCCCAAGAGTTAGATGTGGTTCTGCTAAAGGATGACCCAGGATTTGTCCAGAAGCTCCCCTCCTTGTCTGTCCCAGCACTTGCTCCTCAGTGCGCCCCATCCTGCCAGAGTGCTGAGCTTCTCTGCGTTCCTGGACAATGCACGTCTGGGGCATCTGCTTCCTAGATGTGCATACATAGGGCGGGCTGCTCTTCATAATGGTTGAGAGGGAGCTGGGCCTGGATCCACCCAGGTGGCCCTACCACTGTGAACTGGGCTTCCTCCCAGCAAGGAGACAAGGTCAGTTGAGTGCCTTCACTTCAGACAACTACTAGGAGGTGATTTTAGTCAAATTGTCACATCCTTTGTCTATGTAATCCAGCAATCATGCTTTTAAGTGTTTATCTGACTGCAAAAGTAAGTCCACAAAGAAAACTGCACATGAGTAATTGCAATAGCTTCATTTACATTTTCCCAAAACTATAAACATTCAGAAAGTTTTTCTGTAGGTGAAAACCAAACTGTGATAAATTCATATAATGGAATTATATAGCAATGATAAAGAAGTGCTAGCAAACCATGAAAACACATGAATAAATCTTAAATGCATATTGTCAAGTAAAATAGTCTGATAAAGCTATACAATATATAATTTAATTTATTTGATCTGGAGAAGGCCAAACTTTAAACAAAGTGAAAAAAATTATATTTGCCGGCAATTTGGGGAGAAGGTGAGAATAGATTAAAAAATAGAAGACTTTAAAGGATGATGAAACTATTATGTATAATATTGCAATGGTAGATATATGATGTCATAAATTTGTCAAAATCCACAGACTATACAGCATGAAGGCTAGATTTTACTTTACAAAAAATAAAAGATTAGGGACCCCAAGATGGAATGCAGATCGTACAGAAAATATCTGATGTCCTTATTAATGCATGAAACAACTTTGTCGAATAAAGTATGTGAAAAAGGCTGCTAAATCACTTTAGAAATAGTGACACCAATAAGACTAAAAAATAAACCATGTCAGCACTGTCCTCTAGTTGATGATGATGTTCCACAAGGAGCACAGCTTACCAATTGTGATTCCACGCTACAAGAATCCTAGAATTGGACAACACGGGGTATAGATGGTGTGTGGTGGGAGGGGGTTCCTCACACTTGGAGTGGGAGGTTACAGACAGCAAGGAAGAACGGTGAGAAATGTCCATGTAGTACTGGATTAGAGTGAAAGTGCTAGTAATTTTGTATGATTGACATAATCTGCATGCAATAAATTAAACGAAAATACTTCTTTGAAGAAAGTGCAAAATAGGCTATGACCTAAATAACTTTGGAAATGAGGGAATTCTGAAAGTCTAAAGTGTAAGTAAACTGCACGTAATCACTGTACTCTAGTGGATAAACATGTTTCCGGCAGAGGTACAGCTTCACAATTTTGATTCCGCTATGCACGTTTCCTGAAATTGTGCTGCTAAGTAATACTATGGAATATGGTGGGATGGAGTTCCTCATTTGGCAATGGGTGGTGATTGACAGGCAAGGCAGGCAGGCTAGAAATGTCCATGTGGTATTGTAATTGGGTGGAGACAAGAATGTGTTCTCATTTTTAATGTGTTACAGGTACGGAAGACTAGATATGTAAATAGTCGAGATGTATCTCTAAACGTGGGTTAATAAACACCTGCACATTTTCTAAGCCATTTAGTTGAGAGGTCCTTGAGGCACTTACATCCCACTAACAGTATATACACCCAACTTCACAATTCTCTATTTTAATACCATTCTTCAACACCAGAAGCCAGTAATCTTCAGAAAAACAGCAGATTCTATGTATGGAAAAGATAATACGGAAAATAAGCTTAGGATTTCTTATAATACCAGAAAATAGGGAAGTGTTCAAAAACAAAAGGAGGAGATGTCATGTAAGGATACAGGATCCAAATTAAATGAACTCCAAGCACATAAAAAAAACTGTGATGATTTGAGCAAAAGCATAAATAATGAAGCATGGATCTTCCTCATAGTATAAAATAAGCATCTTTAAGCCAATACTATTATAATAGATGAGTAAATAAAATGTGAAAAGAAGGACGAATCTTCCTTACAGAGTTATTCAAAATATTTTAGGCTGATAGTATTCTCATCATGTAGGTGAGGTTTAAACACTCGTGTTGATTGTGGTCTGAGATTATAGAGATGGGAAAAAAAATCACTGCTAGTTTATTTTATAACCAGTTTTTAGAAATAATGCCAAAAACATGGTCTGTGAGTGAATACAATTATTCATGGTAATGTATCCAAATTTGCAAACACACATTTTTCTGCAATAAACACTGATAAGCAACTAAAAAGACAAATCACAGACTTGGAGAAAATATTTTCAAGTAGCATTTTTGTTAAATAATTTCTTTTAATTCAGTAAAGAATTAAAAGAATTGATTTCTATAATGAATATGCAAGTAAACTCAACAACATTATATAAAAATTGTTAAATATAAATTTTTCATTAGGGATATGAGCATTGAAACAAAAATTAGATTCCATTGCTCACCTATTAGAATGGTTAAAATGCACAATCCTCATGGTGAAAAATGGCCGTAAGAATGTGAAAAAACAAGAACTAATTTGCATTTATGTTGGGAATCCCAAATGGTGCATGCACAAAATGAAATACATTTTGACTTTTTTTTTAACAGAGATAAAAGAGTTGAAATATGATCTAGTGGCTGTGTTTCAAAATATTTAAAACACTGATTCAGAAATTGATGTTTACACAGGAAACCAGCTTCTGCTCTCTGACATATATCACCTGGTTTGTGCCAAGAGCATTAACCCTGGGAGCTCCTCCCAAAAAAATGGTTGTGCACAGGGGAGATGTTAAGCTATGGCTGCTCCTGGGACTCATCGGAGATTCCTGATGGGCATCTGTAATCAGGAAGTCATCAACAGCCTTGCCGGACTTAACTTGCTCCACAGGTTAACTAGGAAGCACCACCAAACTCCCACATTTCCCCATCACTAGTTGTAAGACTGGCATCCTGGCCTGACAGTGTCTACAGCCTCACCCAGCCTCCTGTGTGTTTTTCTGCCTGCCTTACTTACATCTCACTTTGGGACAAATAAGAAATTTTTTAAATAAACTTTTCTAATCTAGAGACCTCAGTGGTAGGCACAGAAACACAAATATAGAGAGGCTCCCAGGGAAACTGTTCGATGGAGAGGAAGCCACAGACCCTGAAGGAAAGCGGCCCTTGACCTTCAACTGCACCTGCCCTGGGGATGCCCCTAACTTCTGTGGGAGTGAGTGCCCTCTGCAGCCCAGGCTCCTTCCTTCTCTCTGCAGGATATTTTGCGTTTTGGCTGACACTGGTGTTCCCTCACTTGGTACCTTATGTACAATAATACGAGGCCATGTTCTCAGCTCTGACTGTTCATTCACAGGTACAGTGAGTTCTTGGCATTGTCTTTGGAAATGGTGAATCTGTCCTTCACAGATTTTGAATGGTATAACTGATTCATCATACTTCGTATTTACTGCTCACTCCAGCACCTTCTCTGAAGCCTGGTGGACTCAGCTAATTCAGTAGCTTCTCATTCAGTAGCTACTAAATTTGAATCCACGGGCTGCACAGAAGACTCTCAAAACCCTCAGGCTGTCTCAGGCCTTCTCCAGACTCCACCAGCTGAACCTCACTTGACACCTTCACATACATAGGCATGGTTAGAAACTGCCAAATGTATCCACTGTTCCTCTCACTCACATCCACTTATACTCACTATCTCTAATTCTCCATGAATAAGCTTTTAAAATAGCAACAAGAAAAATCTAGTATAGCTTAAAGCCCATACTGAATCTTGTGTTCAGTACTGATTACCAAGTGGAAACACCTGGAAATCCCAGGGCTGGTACTCCTCTCCCAGAGATGCAGGACCAGAACTGGGCTGTTTTTTATCAGTAGAAGGAGAACCCAATTGGAATGTCTCCTACTACATAGCAAGCTCTAAGGTGGGATGCCTTAGGATAGGACAGGGCCCAGAGCAGATGTGAGACTCCTGGAGTTTAGTGGCAACAAAAGAGTTTAGAGAAGCATAATTACTTAATATGTGATTGTGCCATGAAAATCACTTAGCAATATATTTTACATCTTTTTAACATTTTTAAAAATATATCTGCATTAAGCAAACTTTAAGAGATATAAAGGGTGAAATAGAAAAAAATACAATAATGGAAAAATATCTTAATATCTCACAGACCCCCACAGTATCTTAGCAGAAATCGGAGGCAGTGGAGGTCACCCCACTTGAATGAGAAAACAGCTGAGTTTGTAAAACTGCACTTGGCTTCTCCACAGGCTTTGAGGTGTGCAGGACCAGCCACTACCCCAGACTCAGGCATAGCCCCAGTCTCTGCTCTTCAATTTACACAACTATACAGGTTAATAATATATTTCAGAACTTCATAATCACACATACACATACACATACACACATATGCCCAGTACTTACAGGTACATAGGGAAATACAAAAATGAACACATCAAATACCAAAACAAAACCTGAATTTATTTACTACTGTTATAGTTATTGAATTTAATTGAAATTATTTTGTTTTACACTATGATGTAGTGCAAAATAATGTTTTTCTATGTGATTGTTTCTCTATCCCAATGCCAATAAACAAATATATCTAAATGCATGTTTTGGTAAAACTAAATGTAAATGCCATTCTTGCCAAATACATTAATTAAATGTACATAGTATTTATGCATAAACTCTGTGTTGGTTTATTTGTCATTTACATTTTTGGTGTATATATAAAATACATATACATATATATACAATGTATATATCATATATACACATATTATATATATGTATATATTTTATATATATGTGTGTGTGTTTGTGTGTATATATGTATTTTGAGATGGAGTCATGCTCTGTAGTCTAGGCTAGAGTGCAGTGACACAATCTCGGCTCACTGCAACCTCCACCTCCTGGGTTCAAGCGATTCTTGTGCCTCAGCCTCCTGAGTAGCTGAGATTATAGGTGCCCGCCACCACACCCGGCTAATTTTTTGTATATTTAGTAGAGACAGGGTTTCACCATGTTGGTCAGACTGGTCTCAAACTCCTGACCTCTTGATCCACCCACCTCAGCCTCCCAAATTGCTGGATTTACAGGCAAGAGCCACTGTGCCTGGCTGACATAATTTTTAAATATCAGTCAATTATTAATACATGTAATAACCAATAAGATAAACACCTTTAAAATTGTATTACATTATTGGTTAAGTTCACATTGTATTTTTTATAAAACTCAGGATAAAATACCTAATGCTAGATGACGAGTTGGTGGGTGCAGTGCACCAGCATGGCACATGTATACATATGTAACTAACCTGCACATTGTGCACATGTACCCTAAAACTTAAAGTATAATAATAATAAATAAATAAATAAAATTAAGAAAAAGAAGAAATTAGGTTTGTTTTTGACAATTGTTTTTGCATGAATTTTCAATACAAATTCTAGATGTTTATTTGCCAATACTCCTGGATGCCAGAGAACATCCAGTAATATGGAACTGAAATCAGCCCAGGATTCCCAGAATGCACTCACAATGGCAGCTTGCTAGATTGTCATCTGGCAGTGTTTCAACACATTAGGAATTTGGACTTCATCATCAAAGCACTAGTGAGTCCCAGGGATGAGCACACAGGAGGCAGCAGGAGCTGCAGAGCCCACTCTGTGGTACTTAGGGAAGAGACGGGATGGGGTGGGGTGAGTCTGAAGAACTATAAAAAAGGGTGAGGAGGACGGAGAGTCTACAGGTAGATGAGCATGTTCTAAGGATAACTGTTACCCTACTAAACATGGTTGGCTTCAGTGATCATGAAGAGAAGTGAACTGATTCACCAGACATGGAAGAGAGAAAATAAAAGGACTTGCTGTTTCCTTGCCAGGAAGCTGAGGAAGACAAAAGGCAAACAGAAGAAGGAAAAGTAGAGAAACAGTCTGAAGAGCAGAACATCAGAACCCAGCGAAGACAGAGGAACTGAGCATTTAAGGTGGTGTTTCAACTCCCCAAAGGCAGATGAAAGGAAAAGAAACTCAACACCATGCATATGCTGTGTTACAGTTAAAAAGGCATTTACAAGAGTGTGACGGACACAGCACAGAAATCAAAAACCCATGCATAGAACAAGAGTTTAAATTAGGCATACGCAATTTCTTATTATATTATCAAAATCATACTGAGTATTGCTAGTATTAGTATTGCTAGTATTGTTCTAAAAATATGAAAGATCAAAAGTTGAATTAAATCCCTCTTCTAAGTTAATGATTTGTAGTTGAAAGAAACCATAGATTACAAGGAAGAAATGGTGAGAGCTCCCGAGAAAACTTTTGCTTGACCAGCTCAGGAATCGGCAAGATCAAAAAGCAAACCGCACCCTCCCCAGGAATCTGATATGAAGCTGCCTCCTAAGAGAACCCTGGTGTCCTGAGCAATTCCCTGGTGGTTGCTGAGAGCTACATGGTGGCCTGAGCACTCCCCGTTGGCCCTGAATTCCCCCCTGGTGTCCTGAGTGCCTCCTGACAGTCTTGTGTGCCTTTAGGTGGTCATGTTACCCCTGGTGGTTCCTGAGAACCTCTTGGTGGTCCTGCGTGTTTCTTGGTGGTCTAGAATCCACCATCGTGATTCTGTGTCCCCTGCTTGTCCTGAGCCCCCTGGTGTCCTCAGTGCCCCCTGGTGGTTCTGAGCACACCCCCTGGTGTCTTCAGTACCCCCTGGTGTCCTGAGCGCCATTTATTATGAGGTCCCCTCCTGTCTCCCTGCAGGGAGGTTTGTGTCTGGGCTCACACAGATGTCCCCTCACTGTGTCTCTCACAGTAATACACTACCTACTCCTCGGCTCTCAGGCAGATCATTTTAAGGGAGACTGTGCTGGCAAGTCTTGTCCCTAGGAATTGTGAATCTTCTTTGTACTGACGCAGGGCATCACTGAGAACTTTCACTTGAATCACTCACTGCTACCATCCACTCCAGCCTCTGTCCTGCAGCCATCTGGGCCCAATTCATGCTGTAGTCAGTGGAGGTGAATCTTGATGCTTTGCAGAAGAGGCGCAGAGAACAGCCAGGCTACTTTGCCAAATAAAACAGTATAGATCTAGCAAACCTTTAAGGTTTTCCAGGAATTTGGGGAGAGGATGTGTGGAATAGGTGAAACACAGATGCTTTTTAATCACAATGAAACTATTTTTTGTGATAGCCAATGATGAACACTTGGCATAAATAATTTGTGAAAACTCAGAATTTTTTGAGACAAAGTGTTAACCTAAATGCATAACAGCATAAAAAGTATCTAGCAGGTCATGAAACACTGCAGGAAATGAAAGCTGTGTGAAAACATCTCACAACTACAAAAATGTTTGTTTGAACTAATTTCACTGAAGAAGGTGGGTCATAAATCTCTGACACAAGTAACTTTGGAAAGAATTCAGTTTTCTGTTTGGAAAATATAAATAAGCTGCACATAAGCACTGTATTCTAATTGATAAACACACTTCCAACAAGCATCAGTTAAACAATTCTAACACAATTTGTGTATCTTGAAATTATGCACTAAGTAAATTAATGTCATATGGTAAGAGAGGCTTCCTCACCTTTGAGTGTGGGATTATGGACAGGCAAAGAAGGAAGGCTATGAATGTCCATGTGGATCACAGTAGGGTGAAGACACCAGTGTATTCTTATGTTTAATGTAATATGGATACAGAAGTTTAGATACATAAACACTTCAATTTTTGCCAGTAAATAGTATATGTATATATTTATGGGTACATGAAGTACTTTGATACAGCATGAAATGCATAATAATCACATTTTGGTAAAGGGGTTATACATCCCTTCAGGCATTAATCCTTTGAGTTACCAACATTGCAATTGTACATTTTTAGTTATTTTATTTTATTTTATTTTATTTTATTTTTTGAGGTGGAGTCTCGCTCCGTCACCTAGGCTGGAGTGCAGTGGTGCAATCTCAGCTCACTGCAAGCTCCACCTCCCAGGTTCACGCCATTCTCCTGCCTCAGCCTCCCATGTAGCTGGGACTACATGTGCCCCCCACCACGCCTGGCTAATTTTTTTTGTATTTTTAGTAGAGACAGGGTTTCACCGTGTTAGCCAGTATGGTCTCGATCTCCTGACCTCGTGACCCACCCATCTCAGCCTCCCAAAGTGCTGAGATTACAGGTGTGAGCCACTGCGCCCGGCCCATTTTTAGTTATTTTAAAATCTACAATTAAATTATTAAGGACTACACTTATGCTGTTGTGTTATCAAATATTAGGTTTTATTCATTATCTCTAACTACCTTTTGTACCCTTTTACCATCCCCAATAACCCCCATCAACCACAGACCTTCCCAGCCTCTGGTTACCATATTTTTACTCTCTCTCTCCACGAGTTCGATTGTCTCAATTTTTACCTTCCAGAAATAAATGAGAGCATGTGAAGTTTGTCTTTCTCTTCTGGGCTTATTTCAATCAATATAATGAACACCAGTTTCATCCATGTTGTTGCAAATGACAGAATCTGACTCATTTTTATGACATAATATTAACCCATATCCTATATGCACCACATTTTATCTATCCATTCATCTGTTGATGGACACTTAGGTTGCTTTCAAATTTTGGTTATTATAAAAAGTGCTATAACAAATATGATAGTGCAGATATTCCTTTGACATATTAATTTTCTTTTTGGGGGGCACATACACCAGCAGTAGAACTGCTGATCGTATGATAGCTCTATTACTACTTTTTTAAGGAAATTCAAAACTGTTCTTTATAATGGTTGTACTAATTTAAATGCCCACCAAGTTTATGAGGGTATGAGGATTCCCTTTTCTCCATATCCTCACCAGCATTTGTTATTGCCTGCCTTTTGCATAAAAGCCATTTCAAATGGGACAAGATGATATTTCCTTGTATTTTTCTTTTGCATTTTTCTGATGATCAGTGCTGTAGAGCACATTTTCATATGCTTGTTTGCCATTTGTAAGTCTTATTTTGAGAAAAAAACTTTGCCTGGTTTTCATTTGGTTTACTAGATGTTTTTCCTGTAGAGTTGTTTGAGATCCTTGCATATTCTCAATATGAATCCTTTGTCAGATGGGTAGTGATGTCTCTTTACCTTACATTATAAAAGGCATGATGTCATTATTCACAGGTGCATCCCTGGATATATACACAATAGCCATGGAAAAGCTGTCATTCGGCAGTGTTGCCTTTGACAACCTGTTTACCTGATGTCTCTGTTTGGGTGTCAGTATCTCTTAATGTAACAACTAGATGTTGTTTTTTGCACTCATTGCTGGTATGGTGTCACTGTTTTGTGTCATAAATTGATCCACAGTCAAATGCAATTAAATTTATTCCTATTTGGAAGATCAGGTTTTGAGATTTGTCATGACCCATAATTTTCTTTTTCAAGAAATTGAGACTAGCAATGTTTCACAGGCTGGCCTTGAAATCCTGGGCTCAGATGATCATTCCACCTTAGTGTCCTGACTAGTTAGAAATACAGGCATGTGCCACAGTGCCCTGCTGATTATTCTTAAATTCTGATTTTTCTCATTCTCTCAGCTAAACTGAGTGTATTATTGTTTAACATATTGCTCTCATGGAGTTGTCAGCTTTCCATTAATTATTTACCATAAAAATATATCACATATTTTAGGAGAACCTTGTGGTAGAAATTATTCACATTCAACTGCAAATAAAGTCGCACCCTTTAGAGAGACTTTTGTATCTCTATTTTTCATGCCCTGCTACTTTAACTATAAAAATATAACTGCCCCTTCCTTGTTGCAGAAGAAAAGATTCCTGTATCTCAGAGGGACACTCCTGCTTTAAGAACAGAAACCCGCATGAGAATGGAGGACTCCTATAACCCCATTGTGCCTCTCCCAGAAAGCTACCCGGATCCTCTACCCTACAAGTGGGCTGGGGTGAGAATAATTGGGTGCCCCCTGTTCTTGTCCTACAGCACATGGCATAGAAGCTCTGTCTTGTAAGTGGGGCTGGGAGGAGATAGGAATCCATCACATCACAGACGGGAATTTAGTCTCCGCCATAGAGATCTGACTCCAGGGCCTCAACTGAGATCTGGGGAGAGGAAGCACCATCTTCTTGTCAGATCAGTTCAACGTCAAGCTTCTGTCATCCTGAGTTGCAAATGAGAGTAATTCTCATCTCACAAGTATGATGGACCCTCACTGCCCTTACTGAGACTTGGTAAATGATTTATTCTGTTTTAACTGCTATAAGAGAACTCCATAAAGTGGGTGGCTCCAAAATAACATAAACATATTTTTCTGAATTCTCAAGGCTACGAAGTTAAAGATCAAGATGCTTTTGAAATTGGTATCTGGTGAAGACCCAATTCCTTATTCATAGATGACCATCTTCCTACTGTGTCCTTACATGGGGGAAGAGGACAGAAAAGTCTCTGAAGTTTCTCATAAAGGCACTAATCCTACTTATAAAGATAGCACCTCGACACCTCCCCAAAACACCTATTCGTTTACCAAAGCCCCCACCTCCTAACACCATCACGTTGGGTTTAGAATTCCAACACAGGCATTGTCGGGGGTAATAAACATTCAGTCTATAGCAGTACATTTTATCAATCAATAATTTTTATTTACTGCATTTTCTTAGAATAATTTCCATTGATTTTTAATGGTTGAGATTTATAGTTTTTTTTTGTTTTTTTTGTTTTTTTTTTTTTTACCAGAAGTGATTGTTTCATTGGAAATCTTAAGGCTCCTCATGCCACCACTCTGGTAATTAGATGACTCTATTCATATTTGTGTTTGAAGCTTCTTCACGTTCTGAATGTCTTTCTCTTAAGCCAATTGCCATCTCTCGTTGGTATTATCATTTGCTTGGAAACACACTTCTCTCAAGTTTTCATGTAGTGAATCCACCTGTCTTTTATTTGGCTTTATTATGGTACATTTCTGCATATTTTAACTTTTTAGGCAAATATTTTGTATATTTTTAGATAGTTGTATATTTTGAAGACAGCTCCCTCTATTAGGACGTGTCCTCATGTCCAACTTGCCCCGTGTCCCACACACTGATCTGCACTCTCTCAAGCCTGGGTCTCTCTCCTACCTTCTGTGGGGCTCTCTCTCTGAACAGTGTTCTGCAATCCAGTGTCTATACTGGGGTCTTCACACGTCTTGGCCTATCTGGTTTTCCAGCTCCCTTTCCTCAACTCCAAATCTTCCTGGTTCTACACCAACACTGTGGCCTGGAAGCTCCCTTAGGGAAGTATCTGATTGTGCATTCATCACAGGGCTCTTTTTGATTATTTTCCCCATCTCATTGGCCACTGTCCTTGTTGCCTGATGTCAAACAGCTTAAAAATGTGTTTAAGATATTTCACTGTGTTTTCCAGTTATTTCTGGTGGAAAGATACATCTAGTCTCACTTGTTATACCTTGTTTGAAAGTCATCATCTTGCCTACAGATATTCAAACTAATTTTATGATGTCTACTGAGATTTATCTTGGAATATATACATATAGATATTCAACCCTAAATTCCAACAGACATTTTTGTAGACATCATAAAGCATATATATATAATATAGTATTTGGTAAAACTGATATTGTACAACTGTCACATGAGAAAAGCAAAAGTTCTAAAATTCCATAATAAAAAAAATTGATTTGTCTTTCAATGAATTTCTCCTATGGAAATACTGAGGTATTTTCTAGGACATTGCCCCAGGGGTGCTTCACGAGGCCCCTCTCAGAATTTGACCCAGCAGGGATGTGAGGGATTTCAATCCCTGTGCTTGGCATTCTGTCTCCTCCATAGGAAAATTTGAGATCTTCCTCCATTCCTTTGTTGGGCTGCTTCACCATTCTGGACACTGATGGACAGACAGAGGGTGTGGCAGGCCATAAATATCAATGACGCCAGTGTCTTTGAGGATGGAGACACTAACCTGCACCAGAAAAGCAGGGACCTGCATGGGGCATAGCCTCAGTGTATAAGCCTAACCATGTGGTAATATGTGTGCCACTCTGAGAGAAGATTCCACATGGAAACAGGTTGTGCCTTTCTGAGAGTGAAGGCTCATTCAGGAAGGTGTGTACCTGGACTTCAGTTGTGTTTGGTAAAACCTTTCTCAATCAAGGAATAATGAGAATCCTCAGAATGATTTGTTTGTGAAAAAGAAAAAATGGATCATGAAAAGAACTGACATAGAAACAGTCACTGAACAATATTCTTCATAACACAGTGGATTACCGATTACTTAGGACATGCCCATATAAAAAGAAAAACACTGCCTTCTTATTGACTAAATACTGCCCAAACTTATCCTAGACCTCTCACAAAATGAATATTGACATGACTTCTAGGATAACTGGATACCAAAGACAATGGTGCCATTAAGTTTTCTGATTCTTTGGTACTACCTCATTAATTGATCAGTTCTCACCTAGAGACCCATTCCCAAGAAATGTAATTTTCAATTCAAGAAACAGTTCTTCTGTGAGACAAATTGTCTTCGTGGTGAGTAAATGTGTGTATTGATTTTGACATCATGAACATGATGGTGATGATATTGATGGCATTCTCAGAAACATAACCCAGGTCCAAAAAGTTAACTGCAGAGTCATATTTATTTTAGTTCGGCTTTGGGTCAAGAAGGGCATACATTGAAAATGACATTGTGGGTCATTTGCAATCCTGAGGGTTTGGTGCTGTTAAGAAAAACAAGACAACCCTAAATGGTGGTCAAAGGCTCCCTGACTGGTTCCTCTCTGCACCTGCTCCTCACTGGACCTCTGCCTTGGGTGGGCTCTAAGCACCTCCTTCTGGTCATCTGCTACCTGTGCACCCAAGTAAAGAAGGCATGGGGGAATCTGCTTCTGAAACGTTTACTTGTACATCTGGCCCCCAGCAAGCAGCTCAGCCAGGACTGGGAGCTGCGCCTTGGATCTCCCCCATGTGATCTCACCTTGTGCGCTGTGCTTCCTTGCAGCAAGGTGACAAGGTCAGCTGAGTGGCCTCCCTTCACAGATATTACTGGAAACAATTTTTAGCAAATCTAGTTGTAGTTTGACAATAGGATTCAGCAATCATGCTCATAGGAAGGTGCCTGACTGAGTTATATCCACACAAAAAAACTGTGCGTGGGCATTCATTTACATTTCCCAAGACCTGGAAACTTTTAAAATTAATTCTCATTAGTTCAGCCATTCTCAGATTTTAATCAGAAAACTAAACAATAACATTTTCTTTAACCAAACTTACAACTGACTAAGATGAGAAAATGGGGTCAGAAAAATCAAGACTGAGTTCTTACCTGCAGTCTAATGGTGGTAAGTTACATAATGGAGCTATGGTGAGATAAGCTACTAGGTGCTCTAATTCTTAACCTCTCAATTACAGCCAACCAGCAACGCCTGTTAGCGAGGCATCTAAAGATCCCCCAACATGGGAAAACTCTCTGACTCCATAAAACTACACTGGGAATCTCTCCAGGCTCTAAGGTGTGCAGGAGCAGCTCCTATCCCAGGTTATGCAGTCAGACTAATCTCTGCTCTTTTCCTGGGAAAACAAGTGATGGTTAGGATAGGCAGAAGACATGCTCTACTCGAAGTCTCTGCACAAAGAGAAAAATCAACAAAAGTAGGAAACGCATTTTCCCGACACACTGAACAACATCTGTGAAAAACGCAACTCTGTGCCATGATGTCTTGCAAAATTAAGACACAATGCAATTGGAGTAAATGTGAAAATCACAATTGTTTGCAGACTGCACATTTGTTCATATAGCTTCCAATAAAATAACATCAAAGCCAGTGTTCTCCATAAGAACTCAGAAACAGTGAGCATTTCAGAAGGCATTTTCCTCCCACCTTCTACAGGCAACACAATGCGCATGGATCAGGTGCCCACCTGCTGCTTTCTGATGTCCATGGCGTGGCTTGTGCTGAAGCCCACATTATGTGGTCAACTTGAATGAAAGGACTGACTGCAGTGATTCTGAGTCAGAGCCATTGCTGGGAGTCATGGAGGTCCCCTGCGGGGTAACATTGACTTGCAGAAGACTCAATTATGTTCTGCACCTTATTTTCACAGCACAGAAATATAGGAAAGTTCTACCCAGTCCTGCCTCCCTCTCTCCTTCACTCAAGGACACACTTCCCTCATATGCCTTCAGCTTCCACAGCTTCATTTCACCCTTGTGCATTTTCCCTCAAAAAGGACCCCCTAGGCTGTACCAAGCCTCCCCCAGACTCCACCAGCTGCACCTCACACTGGACACCTCCAAACACAGAGAAACCCTGGTGGGAAACTGCCTCATATATCCACTCTTTCTCCCACTCACGTCCACTCACACTCAAAATTTCTAGTTCTCCATAAATCACCTTTTATAACAGCAACAAGAAAAACCCAGCTCAGCCCAAACTCCATGGTGAGTTCCCTGTCTGATCACCGAATGGAAACACCTGGAAATCTCAGGGCTGAGGCTCCTTTCCCAGAGCTGCAGGTTCAGGGCTCGGCTGTTTTTCAACGGCAAAGGGAGGGCCCTAGTTGCCTGTCTCCTACTATGTAGGGAGTTCTGGAAGGGATGCCTCAGAGTGGGCTGTGTCCCAGAGTGGATGTGAATGATTATACTTCATAAATAATTAATTCTCATTAGCATTTCTACTTATAGATGCACATGAAGTGTGTTCCGTGGGAGTCAAATTTTCCTTTATTTACAGATGCGAACGTAAACCCCCAAGCATGGAGGGACGAATGTGTCTAAGAGCTCACATCGGCTGGGCGCGGTGGCTCACGCCTGTAATCCCAGCACTTTGGGAGGCCGAGGCGCGCGGTTCACGAGGTCAGGAGATTGAGACCATCCTGGCTAACACGGTGAAACCTCGTCTCTACTAAAAATATAAAAAATTAGCTGGGCGTGGTGGCGGGTGCCTGTAGTCCCAGCTACTCGAGAGGCTGAGGCAGGAGAATGGCGTGAACCCGAGAGGCAGAGCTTGCAGTGAGCCGAGATAGCACCACTGCACTCCAGCCTGGGCGACAGGGCGAGACTCCGTCTCAAAAAAAAAAAAGCTCACATCTGGTAAGAGCCAGTCTCAGTGTCTGGCCTGTGTTTCTCACGACTGGATCTGACTGCTCCCTAAATTAACTCTAGGACTGAGCTAGAAATTCCGTGTAAGGTTTACAAAACCCTTTTCTTATAATGATATCATGATATTATTTGACTGTATCTTAGTGTTTTTCTAAATAATGTAGAAAAATTGACGATTAATTGACGTGTGTATTCAGAAGTCTATGACTTTTCTTTTATTAGTTTTATCTCTCTCTTAATCTTTTTCTACCAAATGATACACTTTTATTTGTAATCGTGACAAATAACAATATTCACATAATATCTCAATTTGACAAATATTGGCATAATCATTACCACTCACAAAGAAAACAAATCAATTAGCCTCACAATTTTCTCTTTTTCTCCTACAATATCCCTTCCTACATCTTCCCTCCTCTTACCAGGTAGAAGTCAGTTAGGGATCTTTGTTATGTAACTTGCAATGAGTGTTCACTTTGTACAGTTTATAAAATGAAATCATATGTATGTGCTTTGGCTTATCATACTCAGCATAAGTACTTATGAATTTAACCATGCCCTTGAGCGTATCCAACATTAATTGATTGTTGTAGTGGTACTATTCCAGTAAGTGACTTTTCCACAATTTGTTTACTGATAAAGCTGCTGATTAATATTTGGATTGTTTTCAGTTTCTGTGTATTTCCCATAAAGCTGCTGCTCAGCTTAGACAAGTACACAGTTGAGAAACATGTTCTTAATCTTACGACAACATGAACAACAGCTAAACTGGTCAAGTTGCAAATGAATAAATTTTCTTTAATATATCAGGTAATTAAAGTTACAGCACCCGGTGTGTTTGTCAGTGTATGTGAGAGAAAGAAAGAGGGAGGAAAGGAGGCTGGGAAAGAAAGAGAGAGGAAAGGAGGCTGGAAAAGAAAGTGACTCTACGTAATTATTAATTTATGAAATCTTCAAGTACAGGGACTTATTCCTAATGAATGGGGTCCACATAAGTTGATGAGGGTAACTTGATGTGCCCCCATATGGCTATAGATTTATAGTATAAATATTATTTTCTAAACACATAAACACTCATATTCATTAGAATAGATGTAGTGGAGGGAGTCTATTGGTGCAATGAGAAGGTGACACAAAACCCTATCTCCAGTGCCTTTCTCTGCTTCCTACACCTGCCCTGATGCTGAGCCTTGAGCCTGCCTGATCACTGAGCCCCACAATGGTCCTGAGCCCCCATGTGGTGCCAAGTGCTCCCTGGGTTTCCCTGCTGGTTCCTGAGTGCCTGCTTCTGTCCTCAGCACCCCCTGCTGTCCTGTGAACCCCCATAGGGAGATGTGTGTCTGGGCTCACACTGATGTCCCCTTACTGTGTCTTCTGCTTAAAAACGCATGGTTGTGGCTGGGCAAGGTGGCTCACACCTGTAATCCCAGCACTTTGGGAGGCCGAGGCAGGCGGATCACCAAGGTCAGGAGTTCGAGACCAGCCTGGCCAACATGGTGAAACCCCGTCTCTACTAAAAATACCAAAAATTAGCTAGGCATAGTGGCGGGCACCTGTAATCCCAGCTACTCAGGAGGCTGAGACAGGAGAATCACTGGAATCTGGGAGGCGGATGTGTCATTGAGCCAAGATGGCGCCATTGCACTCCAACCTGGGCAACAAGAGTGAAACCGCTTCTCAAAATAAAATAAAATTAAAATAAAATAAGTAAATAAATAAAATTTAAAAAATAAAAAAATACATGAAATACATGGTTGTGTGCTTGTTGCTCAGGTAGCTCGGCCGCAGGAAGAATTGTTTTTTGGACACAGATCTGGAGGTGGTGACTGGACTCTTGAGGAGTGGGTTGGAATTTGCGCTCCCTTCGTGACCTGTGCAGCTGACCCACTCCAGTCCCTCCCTTGGGGGCTGATGGATGAAGCTCCAGCAGGAAGTGCTGGTTGTGATGGGGAATCCAGCATTTAAACAGAAATGTTATTGTTGTTGATTCACTAAACAAAATGTGGTACTCATTTTTATTTTGTCGAAATACACAAAATTTAAAATTTACCATTTTAGCCCTCGTTAAGCGTACATACGGGTCAGTGATACTTTACACATTCGCAATGCTGTGCAACCATCACCACTATTTGGTTTGGGAACATTTTCATCACCGAAAAGGAAACCTCACCCCCATTGAGTGGTCACTCTCCATTTCCCCTCCACTGACCTCCTGAGATCTGTCTCTAGGGGTTTTCCTGCTCTGCATGCTACATGTCAACGGGACAATTCTGGATGTGGACTTCCGTGTGTCCCTCAGTTCACTCACCCAGTGTTTTCAAGGCTCATCCAAGTTGCAGCCTATGTCAGTGCTTCACTCCTCTTTAAAGCTGGGTTACAGACACACAGACGCACCGCAGCGCCTTCATCCCTGTGGCAGTTGATGGGTACTTGAGTTGTATTCTCCATTTGGCTACTGTGAGTGGTGACACTGGGTACACTTGTGTATGAGGTTTTCTGTGAAGACCATTTTCCAAAGTTGTTGTACCAGTTCAATACCAACCTGCAACCTATGACCATTCCAAATTCAATGTCTTTACCTACAAGTGATTATGTTTTTCTATTTAGTTTTGAATACTGGTTATCTTAGTGTGTGTAAGGCAGTAATTTACCGGGATCTTAAATCAGCAACATAAACCAAATAACCCCATTAAAAATGGGGAAGGGACATGCACAGAAACTTCTCAAATACAGACCCAGAAGTGGCCAACTAACATATAAAACTGCTCAGCATCCTCAATCATCAGATACGTGCAAATCAAAACCAAATGAGATACTATCTCACATATGTCAGAATTGCTATCACTAAAAGATCAGAACTTGACAGATGCAGGCAAGGCTATAGAGAAAAGGGACCACTTACACTCTTTTGGTGAAAATATAACTTGGCCCAAGCACTGTGGAAATCAGTCTGGAGATTTCTCAAAAACTTAAAACAGAGCTACCAGTCCATTCAGCATTCTCATTACTGGGTATATGCCCAAGAGAAAACAAATTATTGTAACAAAAAGACACATCCACTCATGTGTATCACCATGCAATTCACAGTACCAAAGACATGGAATCAACCTAAATGCCCATCAGTTATAGACTGAATAAAGAAAGTGTGGTATTTGTACACAGTGAAACACTACGCAGCTACAAAAAAAGAATGAAATCATGTTTTTTGCAGCTAGCTGGATGCAGCTGGAGTCCAAAATTCTAAGCTAACTGACACAGAAACAGAAGATAAGAGTCAGTGGGAGATGAAATAAACATTTTGGTTGCTTCTCTGTGTAAAATTGAGAAAAGAAATCACCTGGGTGCATGAACTCTTGAAATAGACAAGCCTAGAGCCACTCATGTCCTGACTTCCATTTCATTATGCTGTGATTTTTCTCATTTTTATTCAGTTAAAATTGCTTTCCTTCACTCTTGGCTAAAATAGCCACACATAATCATCTAGAGGCATTACAATAAAAATATAAAAATAATATATTTGAACATAAGAATAAGTGATAACTTTTATGTCAAAATTATTGCAGATTCAGCGTGATAGACAGATGCTCTGGAGCCCATCTGAGCTGCGGCGGCATCTGTAGCTCACTCCTGCTTACTGCTGAGTAGCGTTCTGTGGAATGGATTCACTGGTGTTCATTCCACCATCCACCTACTGAGAAACAGTTTGCTTGTTTCCAGTTCTTGGCTGTTCCAAATAAAACTACTGTGAACACTCGTGTCCAGCCTTTTGTGTGGGTGTAATGTTCACTTCTCTGGGGAAAATGCCCTGTATGTTTGCTGGGTGTAATAAGTGTGTGTTTTATTATGAAACTGACAAACCATTTTCCAGAGTGGCTGGAAAATAACTTTTGCATTTTACATTCCCACTAGCAACGTATGAGATTGTAGCATTAAAGTTCATGTTTTATGCAGTTTACTGGTGAATTTTTTGAATGGATGACTGTTAAGATGAGAACAGACATGCATTTATTTTCTCTCTCCTTCATGCAGCAAGTGTGTGTGCCTTGGAGAAGCCTAGGGAAGGTGCAGCTCACAGACCTGCCCTGCTCTGGGCCAGCTGTCTACAGGTGCTAAGGGACGACCACGCCGTTACCTGTGTGGTGCAAGTCAACTCATCGGCTATTTTACAAGCTGAAGGGTGGAAGCTGACAGCTCACCCAGTGACTGTGACCAGGTAAATGCTTTATGAACAGGAGTCCAGTAAATTCCTTTATCTGTCAACCTTGTCACTAGTTGACTTATGAGATTTTTGACTTCTTAAGAAGAAACAGCTAAGAAGATTTCTACAGGCTCAGAAAGTTAAAAAGGGAGACGATGCAAACACTTCGATGTTGGATGTTTTCCTTTGAGCTGCTTAACTCGCCTGCACGTGGGTCAGAGGGAAATCCTCTGAGGTCTTAGAAGTTCATCCCGAGCTATTCCAGCTCGACACATTTATCATGTCTTACCCAAATGGCCAGTATCGCCTTCATTCCAACCGGCGGCTGCTTTTACTCTGTTTAAAGATCCTGTTTGAAGTTCACTGAAGCCAGTCCTATGGGCCTCCCAGGAGCACCTAGGGCTCTGTGTGGACTAAAGTCACTGAGTGGGTATGCGGGAAGGAATTGGGGCTCCTCTTAGGCCTGGACTCAGGCAAGTATCTTCCCCTTCCTTCTAACATTTCCTTAGAAGGTGAGTTTTCCAAAAGGAAAAATCATCTCCCTTGCTTTCCTCTGTCCCCCTGTCAGCTCTCCATACTTCCAGGAGCAGCAAAAGTTAACACAATTTACCCCAGTTTTATTTCATCATTTGCCTTTCACGCTTCTGCCTTTTTGCTTCTTTCCCTGTGTTCACTCCTCTCACTGCCACGCAGCCTCTTCCCAACCTGGGCCAGGCTCCAGCAGGACGCTGCTCTTCCTTCCCTCCTGTTCTCCTGCAGGACATGGGAGCCACCAACCTCTGTGCCCATGGGACCCCTGGGTCTGGTTGGACTGATTCCTGAGGGTGTTCCCTGGAAGACAAGGAAGGGAGAACATGGGGAAAGGGAAGGCCTCGGGCTGGGAAACAGCAAGGCCTCCCAGGAGGGAAGATGAGAGGGGCCCTGGGATGAGAGTCAGGTGTGAGCCTCCCACACTGCCTGTGGCCACCCACGCTGCCTACGGCCACCCTGGCCTTTTTCCACTAGGCCCAGCCCCTACTCTGGGAGACCATAGTGTGTTCAGGTTCAGTAAAATAGAGTCAGTCAGGATGGGGTTTAAAGCCTGGCTGGCTCTGCTGCCTCATCGCTGTGAGACCCTGGGCAGGTTACTTAACCACTCTGAGCAGCAGTTTCCACAACAATGGAAAGAGTAACAGGAAAGAGAAACAAGGATCCTGTAAGACAGCTGCAGGGTTTGGATACAGACTTCACAGGACATGTCAGGACAGGGTGAGTGAGTGCTCCATGATGTCAGCCCCTACTACTTTGTTGTTGGTGGTCACTGGACCTCTTATTAGAAAGTGCAGGTCTCAAATGAGACCTAATTAAACTGAAGAGCTTCTGCTCAGCAAAAGAAGCTATCAACAGAGTAAACAGGCAACCTACAGCATGGGAGAATAGTTTTGCAAACTATGCATCTGACAAAAGTCTAATATCCAGTATTTGTAAGGAACTTAAACAAACTTACGAGGAAAAAAAAACCTCATTAAAAAGTGGGCAAAGGAAATGAACAGACACTTCTCAAAAGAAGACATACATGTGGCCAATAATCATATGAAAAAAAGCTCATCATCACTGATCATTAGAGAAATGCAAATCAAAACCACAAAGAGATACCATCTTACCCCGGTCAGAATGGCTATTAATAAAAAGTCAAAAAATAACAGATGCTGGTGAGGTTGTGGAAAAAAAGGAACACTTTTACACTGTTGGTAGTAGCATAAATTAGTACAACCATTGTGGAAGACAGTGTGGCAATTCCTCAAAGACCTAAAGACAGAGCAATCCCATTACTGGGTATATACCCAAAGGAGTATAAATCATTCTTTTTTAAAGACACGTGCACACATATGTTCATTGAGGCACTATTCACAATAGCAAAGACACAGAATCAACCTAAATGCCCATCAGTGATAGACTGGATAAAGAAAATGTGGTACCTATACATAACGGAATACTATGCAGCCATAAAAAAAGAATGAGATCATGTCCTTTGCAAGGACATGGATGGAGCTGCAGGCCATTATCTATAGCAAACTATCACAGGAATAGAAAACCAAATACCACGTGTTCTCACTTATAAGTAGGAGCAAAGTGATGAGAACACATGGACACACAGGGGTAATGACACACCCGGAGTCTACAGGAGGGTGGAGGGTGGGAGGAGGGAGGGAATCAGGAAAAATAACTAACAGAAACTATCAACAGAGTAAACAGGCAACCTACAGAATGGAAGATACTACAGGTACTAGGCTTAATATCTGGGTGATGAAATAATCTGTACAACAAACTCCCATGACACACATTTACCTATGTAACAAACCTGCACATCCTGTACATGTACCCCAGAATGTAAAACAAAAGTTAAAAAAAAACACAGATCTCTTATAAGACAAATACCAATTATTAAGTCAGCAAGTGTTTATTGAGATGCTACTACTCTATGCTCTGCTCTTAGGGGGATATAAAAATAAGACAGTCATCAAGGGATAGGGTTAGGCATAGGCCTCTACTGAAGGAATGGTGCAACTAACACACACTGAGTGTGCGACCAGCACCCTAGGGCAGGAGGCAGGTGAAAAGCAGGGGCTGCACAGCCACAGCTGCCCGGAGGCCCCAGGAACCAGAATGTCATCAAGGCAAGCTGACTCAAGGAGGAGCTTGACATTCTTGAGGGGTTTGGATTGAGGGGTCACACATTTGCTTGTTCAGATGAGGACTGTCTAGGACCAGGAAGTTAACAAATATAAAGTCAAGATGTAAGGAAAAAGGAAGACTTAAATCCCACGTGTTCATTCAACCAATATTTGTTGAGCAGCTACTGTCTCTCTGCCAAGCACTGGTGATACAAAGATAAACAAGACAGACATGGACCCTGCCTTGTGGAGCCCGATGGCTAACAAGAGAGATGGAGAACAGCCAAGGAAACCAATAAAGGGTGTTGTGCCCATCACAGTCCAGCAGGAAACAGAAGCCACGACAGGTATGTCACACAGAGGGGATTCAGTACAGGGACTTGTTGACACAGTAGCTGGAAGGCAGAAAGAGCAGAAATGGGGTGCTGAACAACCCAGAGAACAATAATCACTGGCAGCGGCTGCCACCCACCCCCAGAGTCAGGGACAGAAGGGCAACCGGGACTGATGCTCAAACCTCTAGACGGGGCCATCCCTGCCTCACTGGCACCCAGACCTGTGCGGGGATGCTGGAAGACAGTGGTCACCCCAAAGAAAGGGCACAAGGACCCTCATCTCCAGCGACTACTGCTGCTGCTGCTGCTGCTGGAGAGACAGTGGCAAAGCCTGGAAAAGGTGGCAGGAAGCCCCACTCCTCTCCTAACATCCCAGCCTCCCTCCAAGTCCTCCACTGCCAGAATCTAGCAAGGACTCAGATGCCAAGGGAGCCCGCGTCACGGAGCAGAGACACTCAGAACCAGCTGGCCCAGTCCCGCATCCATGCCCCGCTCTGCCCGTGTCTGAATTTCCAGCCCTGGTCTTTCCCTGACCATGCAGCCAGACCACAAACAGCCTTCCCTTCCCTCTCTGCTCAGCCAAGACAGACAACCAGGCATGCTACCAGAAGGCAAGCCCGCCTGGAGGGCCCACAGAAATGACGGGTGCCCTGAAGGAAGCCGCCGGCAGCTATGGTGGAGCCTCAGGGAGAGGGCCCAGGCAGTCGGACCTGCTGGACCCGGGGCGAACCCCAGAGAAGGAGCCTTGTTAGTTAGAAGCGCTGCTTCCTTCCGCCATTCCCAGGGGCTTTTTCCCTGGAGAACTTTCCCCTGGGCAGGGCAGGTCTGTGGGGGTCAGGAGAGGCTTCTAGAGTGTTGTCCAGACTAGCAAGTGAAGGGCCAAGGGCCAGAGCTGGGAGGAGTTCTGAGGGCCCCAGCAGTTGCCCCCTCACCTCCTGGCCCCATCTCTCTCCAGCCCCTCCCCTGCCTCATCCATCCCTGCCAGCCAGCCCCCAGCCTCGGGCCCCCATCACCTCCTGAAGAGACCAGCCTGTCCCTCAGTCATCACTTGGTCAGGCCTTCCCCATCTCGGCCATAAGGGACAGCTGCTCAAGCCCCACACAGGCCCCACCTGGTGGAGCAGGGCCAGCTCCTACCCACCTTCCACAGCACCAGCTCCCTGCAGCCACTTCCAGTCTCCTGGCCCCTGACAAGCTGTTCCTAGAAAATACTAGCTGGGCCCCAGAGTGCAGCCTCAGTGGGGCCAGGTACCATGGGTCTGGGACTCCAGAATCTTTAGGCCTCAGCCACTCACCTGGGCTGGATTTTCTGCGCTTTGCTTCTCTACCTCGGCACTGTTCGCAGCTTCCCCCCGCCCGCCCATAGGGACCCTGTCTCTGCCGCAGTGACACTGGGGGAGGTGTGGCAGGAGTGTGTGTATCTGAGCGCCATCCTCTCTGACAGCACATTTTTGTGTAGTCCATCCTAGGTACCAGGGTGGTAGGGTGTCTCAGGATGACGAGGGGTGCAGGTGGGGTCGGGGACGAGGCAGAGAAGTGGGAAAAAACCTTCCCTGGAAGTTCAGAGGGAAGATTGCTTCCTACTGGGAGAATGTCTAGGGGCTAGGTGGTCATGGAGCAGGAAATGGGTGGGGACGAAACAAATAAGCATCTGTCCCCATCTGGTCCAGGCTCCTGACAGGAACGGGATCTGAGGCTGGGCCACAGTGGAAGGCCAAGAAGGCACCAGGTGATGCCACCTTCACAGGCATCTGTCCCAGGAAGCTGAAGCTGTGAGTTGCTAGTGAGTGGCGTGTCCAGCAGCTGCCTTCTCCTTTCTTGAGTGGGTGAGTGACACGTATCAAACACCTGCTTTATGCCAAGCTCCATGCTGTACTCCAGGGACACAGGGACCTCAGGGCATGGTGCTGCCTCCAGGAGCTCAGGGTCCTGGCAGGAGGCAGGGAAGAGACAAAGAGAGACAATGAAAGTGGAGAGTGACCCAATGAAAGTGGAGGTGTGCTGGGGGCTTGGTAGTCAAGGGTGGCTTCCAGGAGGAGGTGACATTGGTGACACTGGCCCTTGCCTTGCAGGGTCTGGTCATAGATAGGCTGGGGGTGGGCTTGGGGAAGCAGAGCAGGCAATCAATCAATCAGGACTAAGTGACCTGGAGCCTAGTGAAAGGCAGGAACATGATTACCGGTCACAAAATGTCTGTGGCTTCCTGGGAGAAGAGGAGGGAATGGGGACCTCCCCTAAGCCCGAGTCCAGGGCTCATCTGAAAACTTCCTGGGGACCTGGGAAGGGATATGAAGTTAATCCATGCAACTGGGCCGAACAAGGAGAGTGGGAAAGAAGAGAGCAGGCAGGAGGCCAGGGTGAGTGGGATCCCGGCCTCGGGGCCACTGGAGGAGCAGGATGCCTTTGCCTGGCTGCTTTACTGCCTTTCTGTACTTTCTAACTTTTCTAAGGTACACAGGTAGAAAAAAGGGGAAAATGCCCCCAAAATGCTCGCTGTTTAATTTTGTCCTTTTTTTTTATTAAAGGGACTAGAAAACAAGGCCTTTAAATATTAGATAGAAAAGAATGTTCTAATTAATCCTTTTTATGTGACTTTGTAAATATGTGCTGTTTAATAAAAAGCTGGGGCAGTCCATCTGACTGGGCTGATGTGCTCCTGGGGGAGGAGGACACAGGAAGGGGAGGCCTGGCCCTGACTCCTGGCCCCTCTCGGACTGCACTTCCTACACACCCCAGGAGGCCCAGGGCACTGGCAGCCCCATCCTTGGAGCACTCATAGGTGTCAAGGAACCCCTTGTGTGACTGGTTCTGCCAGGAGCAGGTGCGATGGGAGCTCCCGCCAGCACTGTTCCTCCAGATGAGACAGGGGCCCTCACTGGAGGCCCAAGGGGACTGGGCTGGCAATTTCCTGCCAGTCTTAAAGCCACAGAAGGAGAAAATTCTCCCTCCATGAGTCAGGGCACAGTGACTTGGTGTCTGGAAGTATCCTAGGTTGAACTGCAGAGTGTAGGGAAGTATTTTATTTGCTAATTCAGTGTTCACTGGGACTTTACAAAACATAGCTACTACAAATAACAAGAATCAACTGTATCGTTAAACCATGTAATAAATATATATGTATATATGTTTATGTACATATATGTATATATATAATTTATGTGTATGTATATATAAAGTAGAATACAAAATGTATGTTCACCATAATTTACAACTTTATAAAAAATGTATGTGCATAACGATGAGGTCTGGGAAGGAACATGCCATAGGTAAAACGTCTTTACTGTTAACATTATTTTTACAATGAGCTTAAAACAGGTTAAAAACTAATAACAGCTCTAATTCCCACTATGTGGTTTCATCCTAAGCCATTAAAATCTCCCTGGAGTTGAGGCATTTTGAGTGAACAGCACCCAACTCCCGAGGGATGCCACGGTGGCGGGAACGTGGGCACATCTGTTTAACGGAGCCGTGACTCTTGAGGCAGTTTGCGTGGGAACTGCCTGATGGGTCTGAAGCACAGCCCCAGGATGGCCTTGTCTTGTTTTTTCCTTTTCTTTTCTTTTCTTTTCTTTTTTTTTGAGACAGAGTCTCCCTCTGTTGCCCACACTTGAGTGCAGTGGTGCGATCTCGGCTCACTGAAACCTCCACCTCCCGGGTTCAAGCAATCCCCCCACCTTAGCCTCCCAAGTAGCTGGGACTACAGGCATGCGCCACCATGCCCAGTTACTTTTTGTATTTTTTGTAGAGATGGGGTCTCACTATGTTGCCCAGGCTAGTCTTGAACTCCTGGGCTCAAGTGATCCACCCACCTCGGCCTCCCAAAGTGCTGGGATTACAGGTGTGAGCCACCACGCCCAGTTTTTTCCCCTTGATTTTTATTTTATTTTATTTATTTATTTATTTATTTTGAGATGGAGTCTTACTCTGTCACCCAGGCTGGCATGCAGTTGTGTGATCTTGGCTCACTGCAGCCTCTGCCTCCCAGGTTCAAGTGATTCTCCTGTCTCAGCTTCCTGAGTAGCTGGAATTGCAGGCATGTGCCACCACACCCAGCTAATTTTTGTGTTTTTAGTAGAGATGGGGTTTTACCATGTTGGCCAGGCTGGTCTCGAAATCCTGACCTCAGGTGATCCACCCACCTTGGCCTCCCAAAGTGCTGGGATTACAGGCATGAGCCACCATGCCCGGTCATGTTTTTTTCCTTTTAAAGCGTGTGTATCAGAGAGCTATTTGGACACTCATGTTCACAGTAGCACTAGTCACAACAGTGGAAAGGTGGAAGCAACCCAAGAGGTCAGCAGCAGGTGAGTGGATCAACACAATTCAGTGAAATATTATTTGGCCCTGAAAAAGAAAGAAATTCTAACCCATGCCACAACACAGATGAACTTTCAGGACGTTATGCTAAGTGAGATAAGCCAATCACAAAAGGGCAAATGCTGCCTGATTCCATGTATATGAGGCACCTAGAGTGGGCAAATCCATAGAGACAGAAAGTAAATGGTAGTTGCCAGGGGCTCGGGGGAGGGAAGAATAGGGAGTTGTTTAGAGTGGAGTTCCTGTTTTGCAAGATGGAAAGAGTTCTGGAGATGGATGGTGGTGACGGTTGCATGACAATGTGAACGAATATTAATGCCACTGAACTGTGCACCCAAAAATGGCTAAGATGGTTAATTTTGTGATGTGTATTTAACCACAATGTTTAACAAGGGAGGTGTATAATGGACAAGAGACCCTGGGAAGCAGCATGTACTGTGTGCACCTGAATGCGAGCATCAGTAGTTTCCTTCATCTTGAAACATTACACTGTCAAAGGGAGACTTCGCGGCATCCGGGTTCCCTCTGTGGGCAATGCCCGTGTGTGCCCTTCATGGAGCCCAGTTCTCCTGGGCCCTGGGTGGGACCAGGAGACCCCTGCTGCCTGGTGTGCTGATGACACGATACTTGCCCATCTGGAGTTGGGCCTTTTTCTCCCAGCCGGAAGTTTTTGAGGCTTCCTGGTACAGCCTGCGGTCACCCGAGTACCAGAGAAGGGAAGGAGAGGCAAAGCTGTCATGGAAAGGAAGACAAGTAGTAGAAAAGGCATCTGGGGTTGGCAGTGCATGAAACCTGCCTTGCTGAAAGAATGCCCAGCTATGCAGAAAAACCTGCCACCAGGCTACCCACCCCCGGTGCTCCTCCCCATTTCTCAGCTCCTCCTCTGCCCCAGCCCAAACCCATACTTCCCAGCCACAGCCCAAAGCCCTGCCACACTGACCTGAGAGCACGCATCCTCCTGACACCTCATTTGCCCTTCCCATGGAGTCATTACTTGGGTAGTGTCTGTCACAGCGTGTAAAGTTCACTTCTCAGCAGCAGTCCAGCCCCTGCAGCAGCCCCCGCCTGCCCATGAGAGGCTTCCAGCTGCTCTGTGCAACGGAGCAGATCCACTCTCCACAGAGGCTATCCTCCTTATTCTTTCCCATCTCAATGCTATCTCGCCAACCCAGCTGATTGGTCTCCCTCCCCTCTGTCCCAGGAGTGAACTTCCCAACCCTTAGGGATATTTCCCTCTCTGGGTCTTTCTCAGGGAACCTCCCCTCCTGCCGTCTGTGCCATTCCAATGGTTATGGTTATTTTGGCCAACACTCACCATGTGCCAGAGAAGCTTGTTAAGCCATCATGAGGACCGGATGATAGAGGGGCCAGCGGGACCCCCACCTCCTCTATTTGATGGACAGGGACACAGAGGCACAGGGGAGTTCAATGACCTTGCCACCAGGCAGAGCTGGGATTCAAACCCAGGAGGAACGCTCTTGCCTGGTGCGTGGATTGAGGGTGAGAGTGGAGGCAGAAAGCTGGCCTCAGGCTTCCTCAGCCCTGGCCACCCTGCCTGGGGAGCTTTCAACAATGCAGCCTCCCTTACCTGTTCAAGCAGAATCTTTGGGCAGGAACCCGACCCTCAGACTTTCTTGAATTCTGCAAAGGGTTCTAGGAGGAGAAGGACTCAAACAGTGCTGTCCAGAGGATGGTGCTCAGGTATCCATGGTTGTTTTTTATTTGTTTGTTTGTTTGTTTGTTTGTTTTGAGATGGAGTTTTGCTCTTGTCACCCAGGCTAGAGTGCAATGGCGCAATCTCGGCTCACTGCAACTTCCGCCTCCCGGGTTTAAGCAATTCTCCTGCCTCAGCCTCCCGAGTAGCTGGGATTACAGGCACCCAGGACCATGCCTGGCTAATTTTTGTATTTTTAGTAGAGACGGAGTTTCACCATGTTGGCCAGGCTGGTCTTGAACTCCTGACCTCAGGTGATCCACCAGTCTCAGCCTCCCAAAGTGCTGGGATTACAGGTGTGAGGCACTGCACCCAGCTGTATCCATGTTTTTAACAAGCTCTTTGCCCCATATCATGTTTTTTGCTTGCTTCTTTTTCTTTTGAAACAGTTTTCAAAATAATAAGCATCCTCCAAAAGTGACCAAAGAAGTTTTTGTTTTAAGTATCATTTTGAACTTGTGGATTTCAATTTAGTGCATTCCAATCCATTGTAGTGATAAGAAGCTCATGTGTTCCCATCTTTGGCCAGCAGGAGGCTGCTGAGTCCTTTTGACCAGAGCCCAGCAGCCTTTGGAAGTTTTCTCACCATCTGCTGTGGTAACATTCAGGCTCAACCTCCCTCTCCAAACCTGGCATCAGCCATTTCTTCCTGGACTCCAATCTGGGGGTTATTACCCCAGTTCTTATATTCTACTCTTAACCAACTTTCTAAATATAGGAGGCTCTTCTCCGTGTTCTAGAGAAGAATGGGTTAACACACCTGTTGTTAAGCTCCATCCTTCCTTAAGAAGTCCTTTCAAGTTTAAGTTCAGCCTTTTGGGAAATGTATACATGACTGCGTGTATTTGCTTATTTAAAAAAAAAAAGGATTCTGCCAAAGTTATACTTGAAATATACTCACTGTAAATGGCTCGCTGCAATCAAATATTTCTCCACTTTGAGGGCCAGTCCCAGCCACTAAAAAATATCTCCTGCTCTGAGAAAATACACAAATAAGCATTAAAATGAGAGGGAAGTTTAGGCCACCAGGAAATTTGGAAAACTAAGTATGAGTTTTAATTAAAAAGTAAATACAAATACTCAAAGATTTCACACCTAAAAAGAATCCAACCTAGACTACTTGAGACAGAAATGAGATAACAAACTCTACTACTGGGTTTACATCCACCTGTAGTCCTTGGCTGTGGTCCCTCCTACTGTTTAGGAGCCAGAGGGGTGTGGAAAGAGGAAGTGACTTTCTTCCGCACAACATTGATTCTGCAACACTGAAGCCATTGCAGGAAGGCTCCCACGATGTTTGAGTAGATTCCCAAATGCTCAGGGACCCCTGGCATGTCACGAAAGGTAGGACAGGGATCCCTAAGCCATAGCTGGAACCCGGAGAGAGGAAGCCACTGATGGGCTCCGTGGCACTGCAGGCATGATGCCCCATCAAGACTCCTAATTCCCCACGCCAACCTTGGCTGAGGCTCTGGCAGGCCACCCTCTGGGCTCATTCTAGGAGCCTCTACCTGCCCCTGCCCTCAGGTGTGAAATCTGGTTTTTGGGGGAGACCCACAAGTGTCCTACACCATGTCCAGGCAGCACCATGCCCTGCCCGTGTGACCTTGGGCCCCAGTCCCCTCCAGGACAGCACCACCTCCTGGACTATGGCGAAGATTAAATGTGCAAATGTAAGTAACGTGCATATGGCTACATCTGGCCAGGGAAGCTTCTGATGGCAGGAAGGGGACTGCGACCCCTCTGCAGACACTGGCTGGCAAAATGGGGCCCAGGTGCCGTTGCTGGCCCCACGCCTGGCACTGGTGAGCTGGCAGTAAGCAGCGGAAGGTAGCAAATGGCAGTTCTCTGGTCTTGCCAAGGGAGTTAGAGTTGCTGCGTGGACTACATGAGACAGTCAGAGTGAGTGCATCTTATAAACTGTAAAGTACCTGGTGAATGTGAGGAGGTGGTGGTGTCATCGCAGATTCATTCAAAAGAATGTACTTTGATGTCCCTCCCTCCCCACCTATTTTTTCAGACCCTGGGCTGGGCACCAGGAATACAGCAGTGAATGACACAGACGGCCAGGCTGCTGGAGGTGTTTCCCACCACCACCTCCTCACATTGACCAGGTACTTTACAGTTTATAAGATGCTCCCACTCAGACCATCTCATTTAGTCCACATGACAACTCTGACTCCCTTGGAAAGTCCAGAGAACTGCCATCTGATACCTTCTGCTGCTTGAATTCCTTGCCGAGGAGTCTATGCCTTGTGGTCACCTTCCTATTCTAGTCTGGCTTTTCATTTCCTTTTACCTTTTTCTCCTTAACAGCCCATAAATCCAAAAGTGTTTTTTCTCCTCAGGACAACCACAGTGGAAGCCTGAGAAGGGAAAGGGTGACATACCTATATCTATTTATTGGCCAGTTGTAGGATACAAACTGTTAGTCCCAGAAAACCAGGGATATACTTTGAAAAGCAGAACCTGAAGTTGTGTATCTTTTGGCTGAGATACACAGAAGGGAGTGAAGGTCGGGCACAATGGCTCACACCTATAATCCCAGCACTTTGGGAGGTCAAGGCAGGAGGATTGCTTGAGGCTAGGAGTTCAAGACCAGCCTGGGCAACATAGCAAGGCCCTGTCTCTACAAAAAATAAAATTAAAATTGGCCAGGCATTGTGGTGTGTGGCTGTAGTACTAGCTACTTGGGAGGCTGAAATGGGAGGACCACTTGAGCCCAGGAGTTGGAGGCGGCAGTGAGCCATGATTGCACCACTGCACTCCAGCCTGAGTGACAGAGAAAGACTCCAAAAAAAAAAAAAGTAAGTGTTTGGTCTAGAAAGACTCTAATACATCACTCAGAACTGAGCTACCTCCACAGACATGAGCTTCCAATGAAAACTCACCACACATAGGAAGAAACAAGTGAACAGGAATTGAAGTTAATGGAAGTAACTGCAGAATCAAGCTACTAAGACCAAGTGGGGGAATTTTCAGATATTGAATGTACAGTGAATACTAAGCAGAAGTAAAGAAAAGATATCTGCATCTCAACACCTCGTATCACTATTTCACAAACCATTGAATGTACAATGAATACTAAGCAGAAGTAATGAAAAGATATCCGCATCTCAACACCTCGTATAACTATTTCACAAACCACAGAACACCAAAGACAGAGGGAAGACTCTGAATGCAGCCAAACATCAAAGACAAATTCCTACAAAGCAACAGGTCAGCTGACAGCTGGCCTCTCAACAGCAACAGTGGAAGCCAGAATACAACAGAATAATGTGGAAAAATATAGAACACAGCGAGAATGTATCTTGGAAGTGCTGAGAGAAAATAATTGTCAGGGGAAATTTAAGGATGTTTTCTAACAAATCAAACTGACGACTTCCAACTGACCTTCATTAAAGAGACTGCTAAAGGCTGCAATTCAGGAAGAAAGAAAATTGTCCCAGAAGAAAAGTCTGGGATGCAAGAATAACTTCGTGACTCAAGGTAGAGAAAGATTTCTTAAACTTAATAAAAAGCATAGTCAATAAAAGAAAAGACAGACATATTCAATGGCATTAAAGTTAAGGACTTAGTTCTTCAAAGGACACCATAAAATATGTGAGTGCCGGCAGAATATATGTGCAATGTTTATGACAGTCAGTGAGATCCACGGTATCAGCAAGAATTCCCATAAGTCAATAAGAAAAATCTATTTAAAAAATGTAACTGATAAAAACAATGAAAACTTTACAGAAGATGAAATATTAATGGCTAACAATTTACCAAAGAACAACAACAAAAACCCTCTTTAAACGAATAATAACTATAAACTAACTAATAAACTAATAAGTAACCTTAGCAAGTTGCAGGATACAATGTCAACACACAAAAAATAAATTATATTGCTATCTACTAGCAAAGGATAATCGAGAAATAAAATTTTCTAAAAGCAATAATATTTACAATAGCTCCCCCAAAATGAAATACTTAGGCATAAATGTAACAAGATGTATGCAGCCACTGTATGCTAAAAACTACAAGCGATTGATCAAAGAAGTCAGAGAACACCTTAATAACTGGAGAAATACATCATGTTCGTGGATTAGGAGACTCAACATAGTAAGGATGACAATTCTCCCCAAATTCATCCAGAGATTTAACACAATAAGAATCCCAGCAGATAGATATTGTAGACGTTGACAAGCTGATTCTAAAATTTGTGGGGAAAAGGCAACAAAACTAGGGAAGGAGACGAGTTGTCTCCTGAGATAGGCAAAAATGTGAGTCACCTGAGCTGACAACTCTTTTGATTACCTAACTTTATAGAAAGCTTTAAAACATGGTAATATAATTCCTCCAAATCACAAATTCAGGAGTCATTCCTGGCCCCCCACCCCATCACCCCAAAACTCCACTGGTCTCCCAATCCAATAGACTCTTCTTTTTCAAGATTATTTTATTGCTTTATAAAAAATAAAGCCCTGTGTATCCACTATGAATGGAAATAGAACATTATCATTATCTTTGGAGGCCTCTGTGCTCCCATTCCCCATCCTACAACTTTCTCTCTCCCAGATGGATCATTTTCAGCAGGGGTTGAGGAGAGTGGATTCTGAAGGCATCGGGGAGTGGTAATAAGTGCAGATTTTGTAACCTGTTAAATGTGAGGCGTTTTAGGGCAAGAATCAGGATGGGAGTGAGGCAAGCGAGCTGCCTAAGCTACACACTTTAATGAGATACTCACTCTTGAGATTATGCAAGTGCAGGATATAGCCCTGGCAGAGGGACATACAAGCAGAGATAGGCACTGGACAGGTGGGTATGTGGGGCCACAGAGAGACTGAGCTCGACGTGGGTTCCGGAGATTACCAGCCCATGTGGCTTAAAAGCACAGATTTAACAGGAGAAAGGAGGGAGAACCCAGGAGGGCTGTAGTGACCTCCTAAGAAGGCCCCAGGAAGGAGAGGAACTCAAAAAGTTGGAGACAAACTGAAAACAAAACTACCTGATGCCTGTGCCAACCCTTTCCTCCAAGCCCCTAACTGGACAGCCATCTGCTGGTCATGTCACTCCCTCCCCTGAGCTCACCAACATGGGTGCAAGCCCAGCCTGAAGGCAAATAAAAGCAGAGCTCAGAGCTTTGGTTTCTCCACCAAGTGGATAACAAACAGCTGGACAGAGTTGAGAGGTGATGGACCTGGAACTATATTGTCCAGTTGGTGACCAGAGCATCAGATGCTATGATCTGGAGGCTCCAAACCAAATGTTCACAGAGCCACCAGGCAGGCACTGTCAGTGGATAGAAGGAGTCAAGAAAAGAGTACTATTCCACAGCGTCAGCGAGAAACAGGGAATGTGCCACAGCAGGGTATGGGGTTAGCAGGGCTGGGGGATGGGGTCCACTGAGGACTTCAGGTCCTTTTAAAGGGGAAATTTCAGCCTGCTCTGACCTGGGAAATGGGTACCCTGTGGCTAGAACCATCGATGTCTAAAGCAATGTCCCAAATCTGAATTTTCCATGTGAAATATCCTGTTTTAAACGTTGGCGACTTATTCAGAATTGTTTAAAAGTGTATATGCCAACACTGCTTGGGCCAAGAGGACACATCTTCAGGCCAACTTGGCGAAAGTCCCTCTGTTCACAACCTCTACATCAACCCCTTGAATTTTCTAACAATAGGGCCTGACTACTGTGACTCAGGGGGCCAACCTTCCTTCTCATTTCCTTCTTGGTTCCCCCCTAACTTCATCTGAGCTATTAACCAGAGACAGAAAAGAGACGCCCTGCAAAGGGAAACATGCCCCACACTAGCTACTGAAGCCCCTTCTTTGATGTTTTTCTTTTCCAGATATTTGGGTGCTGGGTCTGGATCCTGTAGCCACCACCCAGGTTGCAAACCCATTGCTGCAAGGATGGGTGATGTATGTCTCACTCACCCCATTTCTCATCTCCCTCAGCTTCCTGTTGTCTTCCTTGTTTGGATTTTGCAAAAGAAATGATTCCTGGAGAGTTCCAGTAAGAACCGGCAGCATGGCTCCTCCTGGGTGGACGTCCTGGATGGGGTGAGGACAACTGGCACTTCTGGGCACAGAGGAGAATCAGAGACCCTGGGGTAGGCTCCCATGGAACCAAGACTTTTGATTTTAGTGTGTTTACTACTAGGCCAAAATGAAGACATTTCCCTGCGAGAGTAGATCTTTCATTCCATTCCCCTCCACTGCCTTCCCTGTTCCGAAAATAGCACCCTGTAATCGAGCACACTCTGATGTGTTTCCCCTAAATTTTCTTCCTGGTAAAATCTTAGAGCAACACTGAGGAAAATGCTAGTAGGAAAGAGAAATTACTTCAGTCTCAAGGCCTTGTCACAATCCCTGCGACAGGTTCTTTCTTCCATATTCCATGTGAACTTTATGCAAAGAATATACACAAAGAATATACTTTATGCAAAGAATATACACACTTTAATTGCACTCTACAAATCATTTTGGATGTAGATGCTTTCATTTAATGTTACATCATTAATTCTTCAAGTTGTTGCATCATCTCAATAGGCATTTAAAAGTGTCCCACGTTGAACAATTGAAGACCTATATGAAAGTACAGAATATTGTACTATAGGCCCTCACGTAGCCATAGCCCAGATTCCAGCATTACGAAGATTTTACCGTATTTGTCTCATCTTGCCTTTTTTCCCCCTAAGGAATTTTAAAGCAAACCTCATTCCACACACTTCAGTCTGTTTCCAGAAACATATGCAAACTTTCTCACATTATCACATTTATGGAAAGTTAACAACAATTCCTCAATATACCTAAGACAGTGTCCAGTGGTCCCCCTTGTCTCTGGGGAATGTGTTCCAAGACCCCCAGGGGAAGCCTGACACCTTGGGTGGCACTGAACCCTGCATCTACTATGCACACACTTCTTTCTCCTTCACTGCAGTTTCACCGATGGACAATTCATCCTCACTGCACATCTTAACAACCTCAGTGGATGATCTTTTTCTTTCCTTGTTAAGTTGAAATCTTTCATTTTTTCACTTAAATGAAGCACTTTCCGGCTGCTTGTTGGCATATCCATATTGCCAGCGTCACCACTCTTGCGACTTGGGGACGTTGTGGAGGACATAAGGCTTCCTCAAATGCACGCACTGCAACACCGCAGCAGACCATGTGATCGCCGGGACAGCTATGAAGTGACAGCATACGAGCCATCTACAGTGTGGGTGGGCCGGGCAAAGGGATGATTTATGTCCCGGTGGCACAGGGTGGGAAAAAGATATTTGCTGATTGAATAAATGAATGAGGAGCGTGTGAGTGGACAGTGGGGCCGAGTGAGGCTGAGACGGCCAGTGGGGCCTGGAAGGCATGTTGAGGGTGACAGCCCTACCCCGAGAAAACAGCAGCGCCATCGCACGGCTTCAGCATGGGGCACACGATCGTGTTTTCCTCTGGGGGCTGATTCGAGGGGCAAGGCAGGCAGAAGTGGATGAGTGAGGCCACAAGGAGTCCTGGTGGGATGCTGGTGGCTGAAATGAGGGAGAAGTGCATGTCCCCAGAGACCGGCAGGAAAACCAGTAGCCTTTGGAGTGGCTTTGCACATGGCTGGCAAGGGAGGGAGGGGAGTCGGGGCACAGGCGTCTGGCTCAGGGAGCTGGGTGAGAGGAGGACCCGGGGGCCCACTGGGCCCCTTAGGCTTGTGAGGAACGTCGGGAGCTCAGTGTGGGCCGGGAAGAGCTGGAGCGGCATCTGAACATTCACAGGGAGCTGAGAAGCAGGCGCTCAGAGCACAGTTCTGGGCCAGCAAGTAGAGCTGAGGGAGGCTGGGCAGAGGTGGGCAGAGGAGAGCGGGCCTCGGGTAGGTCAGCAAGGGATGAGGGCCCAATTGGGGTGGAGATGAGCCTGCTTCACGGCCAGGTGCAGATGAGATGGGGACTGTGCGGTAACGGCAGGACACCAGGTTGGCCCCAGGGATGCCCTGGGGGCAGAGTTTCCAGGAGAGGGAGTCATTGGCCAGTGGTTGCTATCTCAGGCCAGGCAGGAGGCTATGAGACAGGGTTACGTGTGGCTTCCTGGGCTTCAGGGCTGAGGGTCCCTGGGGTGGAGCAGGAGCTGGCACTGCCATCTTTAACAGTCACTCTGCCTCCTTCCAGCTCTTCACCACCTTCAACACCATCACCTTCATCACCACGCTGCTCTACATTCTCCAGCCTTCAGCATCTATTACCACTGATGCACAGGCGCCAGGCTGAGGGGAAAACGCTCTTTGAAAGCCGGGATTGTTGGTCCCCAAAAGCAGCTTCCAATGTTTGCTGTCCGGATGATAAACAGAGTCAGGCAGCCACGCCAAAGACTTGAGGCCAGTCTCTCAGCTGTGGGTCAGATTCTGCCCATCTCTCACCCCAGATCCTTTCCTGCCCTCAGGATGAAGCCCAAGCTTTTTGAAAAGTGACCTCCCAGGTCTTACTTGCAGATCTGACCCTGCCCTATGTCCAGCTGCATCTCCTGCTACCCTGCTGCCCAGCCCTGATGGTCCAGCGTCAGCACGGCTGCTATGGCCAGCTCAGCCCTGCTGCTGCATCGGTGCACGCTGTGGACATTATGTCCCCTCTCCCCGGGAACACGGAGGCCTGACCCTCCTCTTTACTACATGAAAAACTCTTCTTACCCGGAAGTTTTTCTCAAACTGCCCCCCACCCTCAGGGGCCTCTGAGCCTGTGCTATATATGCTGTGCTGTGTGTGTGTGCTGTGTGGGCTGTGCTGTGTGTGCTGCGTGTGTGTGTTGTGTGTGCTGTGCTGTGTGTGCTGTGTTGTGCCGTGTGTGCTGTATGTGCTGTGCTGTGTGTGCTGTGTGTGCTGGGTATGCTGGGTGTGCTGGGTGTGCTGTGTGTGCTGTGCTGTGCTGTGTGTGCTGTGCTGTACTTTATGTGCTGTGTGTGCTGTGTGTGCTGTGCTGTGTGTGCTGTGTGTGTGTTGTGCTGTGTGTGCTGTGTTGTGCCATGTGCTGTGCTGTGCTGTGTGTGCTGCGCTGTGCTGTATGTGCTGTGTGTGCTGCGCTGTGTGTGCTGTGCTGTGCTGTGTGTGCTGTGCTGTGTGTGCTGTGTGTGCTATATGTGCTGTGTGTGCTATATGTGCTCTGTGTGCTATATGTGCTGTGTGTGCTGTGTGTGCTACATGTGCTGTGTGTGCTATATGTGCTGTGTGTGCTGTGCTGTGTGTGCTGGGCTGTGCTGTGTGTGCTGTGCTGTGTGTGCTGTGCTGTGCTGCGGTGCCCCACATGCAGTGCTGATCTCACCCACAACACTATGAGAATCCACAGGCAGGGGTTTGGCTCTTGGATGTTTTAGTCATCTTTGCCCTTCACTAAGTCCCATGCCTAGGAACCTCCCCTGACCCCACCAACCTCAGCTCTGAGTGCTTTGCTCACACCATTGACAGAAATGAGGACTTCAAAAGCCACAGGCAGGCTACAGGGATTGATGACAGAGCTGGCTCCTGAGCCCTCCCAGTTCTCACCCACAACCCATGGTCTACCTCCCCTGGGCAAAAGGATGTTTTCTGCCTCCTTCCTTTCCTTCTTGGTCTGTGGCGGATCAGCTTCTTTCACCCTAGAATCCCACCTGCACAAAGAGGAAGAGCCTAGCCCGCCACTGCCAGGACCCAGTCCAGCTTTGGTGGCCCTGTGGGGCCTGGACCCATGCACAGCCAAGGCTGCCCCAGCTGTGGAGAAGGCTGGCCCACTGAGGAAGGGCCCAGCTTGATTCCAGGCCAACCCCGGCTCTGGGCCCAGTACTAGTAGGTGTCGACCTAAAAGGAAGAGGCTGAGGCACAAAAAAATAAAGGGTTGACTTGAGCCAAAGTGAGGACAGCTGCCTGGAAGACTCAGACCCAGGTAACCTTGGAAATGAGCTTCGTTGGGCCATTGTAACAAGCAGTTTTTAAAGACAAAAGGGGTGGGCAAGAAGTGGGATGATACAAATCCGTCAGGAATTCTCATTGGTTTACAGAAATAATATTGATTCATGATTGGCTCTACATTGTTAAGCTATAGGGTGTGGGTTATGGTGTCTGGTGTGGCATTATTAAGTTGATTTATAGCTCCTTGTGGCAATAGCAAGCAGTTTCCAGAGATGAATATATAGTTCAAGGCTGATTGCTCTCTCATTTTACTGTCTCTCTGGGACTGGTAATTTAAATTTTCTTTCTTCATAGGGCTAATAAGAGTGCGTTAAGTGCCCCCCAGAGCCCTGAGCTCCTGTATATCATTGGGAATCTCTTCTAAGGGAACTGCTGAAACAATGCTTACAAAAATGTCGGAGCCTAACTCTGGATTTGGGGTCCAGGAGTGGCAATCCTAGCCTTTGAGTAAGCCCAAGCAGGAGTCTTCGCTCTTCCGCTGGAGAAAGCCGGAGCTGGCGGTAGCAGCGCTGCGTGGGGCGCCTCCTTCCTCTGCCTTTGCTTCTTAAGTGAAGACTGTGACACTGTGACTTATAATAAGAAACAGAACTCCTAAAGCCCTTGGAATCTCCAAAGTGATACATGACTTTTTGTAGCTAATGAGATGACTGGGGCCTGGGGGCTCCTGGAGGGCCTCAGGATGGCGACAGCTGCCAGGGAAACCAACCGTGTGATTAGAAGGTTGGAATGTTTAGCCCGACCGCCCGCCGACCTCCAGCTGGGGAGAGGAGCTGGGGATGGAGTTAATCACCAATGCCCAGTGATTTACTCAATCATGCCTGCAAAATGGAACCTCCATTTAAAAAATGCCAACATAACGAACACTTCCAAAAGGAGGGTGCTGGGAGAGCTTCTGGGTTGGTGAACACGTGGAGGCGCTGGGAAGGCAGTGTGCCCGGAGATGGCAGGCAAGCCCCATGCCCCTTCCCCATACCTTGCCGCATGCATCTCTTCCACTGGCTGTCCTTGAGTTGTATGCTTTATAATAAATAACAGGAACTAAACTGTTTTCCCACGTTCTAAGAGCCATTCTAGCAAATTAATACACACGAGAAAGGGCCTTGGGAACGTACGGCTGATTGGTCAGAAGCACAGGTGCCAACCTGGACTGGCAGCTGGCATCAGAAATGAGGGTGGTCTTGTGGGACCGAGCCCTTAACTTGTGGGATCTGACATTAATTCCGGGTAGACAGTATCAGAATTGAGTTAAATTGCAGGACATTCAATTACTATTCTGAGAACTGGAGAAGTGGCTGGTATCAGGTATCAGAAGGGAGGCATTGAGAGCAGTAGTAGGAAGGAGAATGGTTTACATTGCAGAGACACACAGGGAACTACTCTCTCGGGGCCAGCTCCACGAAGCTACCTGACCCAGGCCACAAATTTGGGGATCAGGGAGGCGAGAAGGAGAACATGGAGGAGACCACTTCTGCTTCTTTTTCTGACCTTGCCAACTCAGGAAAGCTATGTCACTGCTGCAAGAGTCAAATTTTTTTCCGTAAATTGGGATGCATGGAGACTACACTGTATGTCAAGGTGTAGTTACATCATGGTGGGTAATGCCACCTTGCGTAGGGGTTATGTCAAGGGGCACTTAGGCTAAGTGTAATTACAACAAGGTGTAGCAATGCCAAGGTTTGGATATGGCAAGGGATAGTTATGTCAAGGGACCATCGTAGTAAGGCGTAGTTATGTCAAGGTGGGTGCTATGGACTGAATTGTGTCTCCCCAGCCCCAAATTCATATGTTGAAGCCCTAATCCCCAATATAACTGTATTTGGAGATAGGGTTTTTAGCAGATAATTAAAGTTTAGTGAGGTCATAAGGATGGGCCCTCATTCAATAGAGCCAGCCTTTGATCTTGGACTTCCAGCCTCCAAGACTGTGAAGAATAGAAGTATGTTGTTTAAGCCACCCAGTCTCATGTTTTGTTACGGCGGCCCAAGCCGACCAAGATGGTGGGGTCATGCCAAGTTGCCATTAAGAGGTACCTGTGCAAGTGTGCCAAGGTAGGTTTGGGAGCCCAGGAAGAACTGTCATTACTGGATTGGCATCGTCAACCTGGCGGAAACCTGAACGGTGACATTCCTTCAGCCATGAGAGGAAACAACGCCACCACCTTTCCATTAAGGTCATGCAACTATTTCTCGCCGCAGAGCAAGGCTCTTTGGAAGGGAAAGTAACTGGGGCGCCCACTGGAAGCAGGATTGGGTTGAGAGCTAGGTCGGCCACCGAGCGCCCCACTGGGTGGCGCGTGGGCTCCGCGCGCAGGCAGGGAGGGCGGCCCTCGGTGGGGTCGACTGGGCGGAGCCGCCGCCTCCTATCTTCCCTTGAAGGCACCTGCGCAGGGGGACCCGCGGTGCCTGGGAGGGGAGGGGGACTTTCGCATGAAGCCCCTCCTTGTCAGTCCGGTCACCGCGCGCCCGCTCTGAAGCAGAACACCGGCTGGTGCCGGCGGCTTCCAGGGCGGCTGAGGGACCGTGGCCAGGAACATGGGCTCGCAGAGCTACGGGAGAAGGATCGAGACTGTCTGCACATTATTAGAAGCCAGCCTGTTTCCTTCTTCAGCCGCTGCTGTCTGATGTACGCCCAGATCTCTAGAAGCTTCCAGGGGCGCCCTGACTTCGCGGCTCCCACCCTCCTTCTCCAGGGCCCTCTGAGAGGCGTTTACACAGGCGTTTCTCGCACCCGGGGTCCTGTTATTCGGCCCTAGCCACTGATGAAATTCTGCCCCTGGGTCCGAGAAGGGGCTGCTCCAGCGAGCACCTACACCCCCCATCCTGGGCACATGCCGTTCCCTCTGTGCCTCAGTTTACTTCGCTGTGGACTGGTGGGTATGCAAAGATCCCCTCCAAGGACCTCCCAGGCCACTACCACCTCTGAGAGAGGGACAGAGGGAGAGCGGAGGGGAAATTCAAGAAGAGCCCCTGGACCACTTTCGTGCACTGAGAGGGCAGGTCGTGTCATGAGGTCCCCGTCAAACCCAGGGTCCATTTTCTTTTTCTTCTTTTTTTTTTTCTTTGAGACGGAGTCTCGCTTTGTTGCCCAGGCTACAGTGCAGTGGTATGATCTTGTCTCACTGCAACATCCACTTCCTGTGTTCAAGCTGTTCTCCTGCCTCAACCTCCCAAGTAGCTGGAACTACAGGTGCCCAACACCTTGCCCGGCTAATTTTTGTATTTTTTGTAGAGACAGGGTTTCGCCATGTTGCCCAGGCTGGTCTTGAACTCCTGAGCTCACGCCATCTGCCCACCTCGGCCTTCCAAAGTGCTGGGATTACAGATGCCTGCGCCTTCCCCTGGGGTCCCTGCTGAGCCAGGCTCTGCTGGTGTAGATTCATGAGACACAGATGTGGGAGAAGCTGAGATCTTCAGGAAAGGGCACAACCCTGGGAACACATGACTGCTGGGACAGCCATGGTGCTCAGCAAAAGTTCGAAGGCTTAGTTCTATTGCACACATATCTGCTGAGCATCCGCTGGGTGCCTGGCCCTGGACCAGGCCCTCCTGCTCTCAAGAACCTGGAAGGCAGGCGCAGAATGAGGCAGGGCCAGGGGCCTCACTTCTTAAGGTGAGGGGGTCACTGGTCCCAGCTGGAAGTGGAAGGCAGAGACTTACCAGGGGCCTCCTAGAAAGTGGGACCTCCAGAAAGTTACTAGAATGATCACTGGTCAAGCACATGGACCAGAGTCACCCTGGCTGGCGCTCTAGAAGTTGAGGGCAGCCTACAGGGAGAGTCGGCTGGGAAGAGCGTGAAGAGGATCACAGGCACAGCAGCAGCCAGGTGGCAGGTGACTGACCGCAGGGCCTGGGCCGGGTCTGGCTCACTGGCATGGCAGTTCCTATGACTTCCCACAGTGAATGGGGGGCTCCCCATGGGTGGGGGTTTAAGCAGCGAGTGGCAGATCTTTGTGCCTGCACTGGCCACCTGGGAGGGTGGCAACTGCAGGAGGGGACCCAAGTCTCTTTAGGGGCTGTGTCCTTCTCAAGAATCTGTGTACTTTGATTCACCAAGAACTAAAAATTGCCATTTCAGGATTCCACATCATGATGTAAATGGAGATGATTATACTTTTTATTAGGCTCAGTGACTATTTTAATAGCAGTGTTATAGAGCCTCAGAGGATCTAAGCCCTGGCACAGACATTTTTTCCATGGCCATTGGGATGTCTACTTGTCAGTTGATGTGGCAGGTATTACATGACACCCCCATAGGTTCCCAGGGATTGCTGACTTCTGCAAAGGGGTTGGCCCTAGTCAGAACCCTGTAGGTCCAGTGGTCATATCTCTGAGGGCCCAGGGGATTTTCCTTGATGACTTGTGAGCTCTGAGCAGGCTCCAGCTCTGCAGTGTTGGGGGAGGGCTCCAGACATTGGCTTCTGTCATCCCTGCATAGAGCCCACATCTCCAAGAAGGCCAGGAGGTCCTGATCCTGTCTGGGGGTCGATTTAAATGTGAAGGAGCAGAATGAGGAGAATTTAGGAATCTAAGGAGGGAACAAAAGACAGAATCAGTCCCCAGTCTCAAATACTCTTTGACAGAATTGCTGGGACCCTACTCATGCCAGCCTGGGCCCTGGATGCTGGGTGTTTGGATGAATGAGGAATGGTCTCTGGCCTTGAGGTGCTCACAGACACCAGAAAACGACAAACCAGGGGAGCCAGAAAGAGGCAGAGAAAGGTGCTGGCCAGCAGGACTGTGAACCCCATTTTTTACACCTACCACCCATGCCCTTCACATTTAATCATGGCCAGAATTTGTCTCTGCCTTGTGCCTTTAACTGTGGGAAATCCTGGAGTGTTTTAGAAGTCCAGTTTCTCAGAATCTAAATTTTTCTTTTTCAGAGATGATCCACTAAAACTATAACAATATAATTTCATTTTTATGCTTCTTTAAACTTTTTCATGTAAACAACTTACAAATTTTAAAAAAGCCAAATTTAGTTTTGGAAATAACAGCCTGCATAGTTCACATGTATGTGTGCACATACACAGACACACACACAGACACACACAGGCACACACACAGGGTGCTACCCACTGTGGGATCTCAGCCTGTACTCACACATATGGATACATGTGCTTGGGCTCACACCCCAAGCAAAGGCCAGAAGAGCAGCTGTCTCTGTGTGAGAATTGGCTGGAAGCTGCAGGGAACCCCTGGAGATGCTGGGAAGCCCTCCTGCCACTAGCTGTCTCTGTTAGGGTGGTCAAGTAAGGAGCAATGGGGATGGGCGTGTCCCCACACATAGCCTGCTGCTTTCCTACTGCTTCCCACGGGCTCCTTTCAAAGGTGCCTGTGGAAGCACAGCCCAGTGGGTCACTAGGTCCCATTTCCCTGGGAGGGAGGTTTGGGCCCAGCTCAGAGGAGGGGGTCATGGAGGGTGAGGGAAAGGACATGAGGTGGAACTCCGGATGTGCCAGGCATGTGACATCTGCTCCCTCTGCCCCACTACAGCACTGGGCAGGGTTCCTCACCCACCTGTGCTAAAAGACGTGAGGCTGCCAGCCCACAGCTCACAAAGTGGGTGGCTGAGGGGGCCACATTCAAGCCTTGGTCTCACGGAAGCACCCATGGCCTGCAGTACCAAGAGGAAGGTTCAGAGGAGCCAGGGCCCTTCCCCAGACCTCGGAGGCTCCTGAGTCCTCAGTGTGTGTGAGACATGGGGCTGGTCATATTTCCCATGAGTTTGGGAAGAAGGTAGGATCAGCAAGGTTCCCACAAATAGCTCCCACCTTGGGAAACCACTGTCTGGAAAAAAAAAAAAAGTTTTTTTTTATGCATTCCATGATGTGTACAAGATTGGGAAGTAAAACACAAGAAGTTTCTACTGTGTGTCAGGCTGTTTTTTTCTTGGCTCTCCTCCTGCCCAAGTGCAGTCACAATACCCAAAGCAGGTGGCTCCTTGGCACAAGGCTTCTGTCTTCATCACTGAATTAGGCCAGAGTATTCTGCAGCGCCAGGTAGAAACACTTGCACAGCTAGAACCAGCCAGCCTTGTAGGTGTCTCTTACTGCGGCAGCTTAAGTGAAACATTTACCTTTCATTTCACACAGAAAGTGGAAATAAGGCTCTAGAAATACATTCACACTAAAGTGTCAATGGTAGGTACAGGCCATTTCTTCCTTTGGCAAGTGTCTCTTGAGAGCCAACTAGTTAGGAGTCAGAGACTTTGTCCTGGGCAATTCACTTCTATTGTGAGAACTAAATAAGCCTGGCACAGGCTTTTGATCCACATTTTATATTTTACTTCCCAATCTCTTCCACATCATGGAATGCATAGGAAAGAATACAATATTTTACTTCCCAGTCTCTTACACATCATGGAATGCAAAGAAAATAATATAGTATTTTACTTCCCGATCTCTTACACATCATGGAATGCACAGAAAAAATACAATTTTTTGCACAATGGGATAAAGTAGGTAATTGTATGGGGCTTCATGAAAAAATCATTATCTTTTGGTATATATTTAATTATGATAAAAATAATTTTAAAGGTATTGGGGAGGTATTAAAGGTGGAATTGATATAAAATATCAAAACAAAGTCTTTTTTAAAAACTTAATGAGAAACTTGGGCTTGCATTTATGTACATACTTTTTTATGTCAGTCTGTTTGCTCAAACTAGCTACAATTACTGAACAAGACTTTTAGATTACTCTTTAGGTGAGGGAGTGAAATTGCCAACAAGCTCCGTGGGCAACTGGGAAGACAATGGGCCTTCACAGCAGGCACACACATGCCAGTCTCAGAAGGATCTAGGCGAGCTCAATAATGGTTAGGTGTTAGTATCTGGGTGTTAAGAAATCTGCACATTTGGAATTTTCTGAAGATAATATGTTAGAGATTTGGAACTCAGACTCCGGTGTGGAATTGCGTCGTTGCTTTAGCCTTGTGGCTTTAGGTTAAAATCTAAGTTCACGAACAGTGTTGGAACATTAAAGAGAATGTAAAATTCAACATACTTCAAGTTCAACTTACTAGATACAAAGACTCATTTAATTAGCTGGGCATGGTGGTGCATGCCTGCAGTCCCAACTATTTGGGAGGCTGAGGCACAAGAATCCCTTGAACCTGGGAGGTGGAGTTTGCGATGAGCTGAGATGGTGCCACTGACTCCAGCCTGGGTGACAAAGCAAGTATCTGTCTCAAAAAAAAAAAAAAAAGACTCATTTAAAAGACTCAAAACCAATTTACTATCAGACCATTGACATAATTAAAAAAGAAAATGAGTATATTAAATTTTTAAAGCCAGTTTAGAATGTTGGAAGATGTTTCCTTTATTAAATTTGTGATTAAAATCAAATGTTGGCCAGGTGCACTGGCTCAAGCCTGTAATCCCAGAACTTTGAGAGGCTGAGGCAGGAGGATAGCTTCAGCCCAGGAGTTTGAGACCTGCTTGGGCCACATAGTGAAGACCCCCATCTCTAAAAAAAAATTTTTTTAATTAGCTGGAAGCAGGAGAGAAGTGGGTGTGGCCCTAAAAGGGCAGCATGAGGGATCCCTGTGGGGAAGGAGCTGTTATGCATCTTTTCCTACTTTTACATTTTTTTAAGAGATGGGGTCTTGCTGGGTTGCCCAGGCTGGAGTGCAGTGGCCATTCACAGGCGCGATCCCATAACTGATCAGCACAGGAGTTTTGACCTTTTCCATCTCTGACCTGGGCCAGTTCACCCCTCCTTAGGCAATCCAGTGCTTCCCTGCTCCCAGGAGGTCACCATATTGATGCCCAACTTAGTGTGGATACCCAATTGGCACAGCACACTACAGCCCAGAATTCCTGGACTCAAATGATCCTCCTGCCTCTGCCTCATGAGTGGCTGGGACTGCAGGCACCTGCCACAATGCCCAGCAGATGCTTGGCCTCTTGAGTGTGGTAGTGGATACAAAATCTATTCTGTGTGGGTGATAAAGCTGTACAGAACTAAATACACATGCACACACACACACACAAATGGATACAAGTAACACTGAGGAAACCTGAAAATTGGTGGAGTGTATCAGCATCAATGTCCTTGTTGTGATATTGTACTATGGTTTTGCAACCTGTTATTATGGAGGGGAACAGGGCAAAGGGCACACAGGATCTCTCTGTATTATTTCTTACAACTGCCTGTGAATCTATAATGATCTCAAAATAAACAGTTTCATTTTTGGTTTTTTGTTGTTTTTTTTTTTCTTAAAGTGCTTTGGATCAGGAGGCAGGGACCTGGGATCTGGCCATGTTGTTCCAAGTCAGTCACTGTGTGACCTTGGGCAGTTCACTTCTCTTCGCTGCTTCTGTTTTCCTTAACTGGAAGATAAAAGTTTAAATTTCCTAAAGGTGTCCCCCAGTGTGGACAGCCCGGAGTCAAGGCTGTGGTGTTGCTGTGACCTGAGGCCTCAGGTCTAAGAGGCTGCTCCTCAGCTGCATACAGTGGGCAGGCCTCTATAGCATGCCCTGTCCCCTGGGGGACCGCAGTGGCAGGCACAGCACAGGACGTTAGGTACTAGGACCAGGAGTCCTGGCCTGAGGGGTCACTGGCTGCCGCAGGCTTGGCCAAACTGGCCTTAGGCCAGATGCTCCGTGTTATGACCTGCACCTGCTCTCTGTGGGAGGCAGAAAACAGAGCTGGGGCATATATGAGCTGGGGCACATATGTGCTGGGGCACATATGAGCCACCTGGGAGCTACAGAGAGAAGAGCAAGGAGGAGGATGTCGCGCCAGGCTGAGGTCAAAAACTGCGTGCCTGAGTCAGCCAGCGTCCAGTCTGGAAAACAGAAACCATGCTGGGTATTTCACAAAGAGGGGATTTAATTCAGGGGCCTGATTACAAATAGTTTCCAGGGCACAAGGAGTACAAAAGGAGATGAGAGATAACCCAGAGAATTAATAACCACAGGAAGTGAGCGCACCCCTTAGGGCTGGAGGATCACAAGACAAGAGGTCCTGGTGTCTGAGCAGAGGAGTGCGCTGCTGCCGACAGCACCGACCCGCGGGGGTGGGGGTGGGGGAGCACTAAACTCCTGCAGTCAGTGCCCCACCAGAAGTAGAGTGAACAATGGTTTCTTTCCTCTACCCACCTTCCTACAGCCTGCCAGAGCCCACCACTGGCCAAATGTAACTAAACCCCAGCAGCAAGGCGCCTGGGAAATGAAAAAGCAAGGCCACCAAGTTGCTCTTTGAGAAGTCTGACTCCAAATACACCACAGCCTGTTTACCAGGACCTGTGAGCACGGACACGTGGACGCAAACACTTGCTATTTACTTCCTTCTTGATGTATATTTTTTGGACAACATTCACATTCTTATTTTATTTGACTTTAGGGAGTTATTGGTTTTTCTTTTTTAAAAAAAATTCCTTATAGAAATAATAAATAATAGAATTTACAAAAATATTTTAGAAAATTCCATGACTCATAAAGCAAAAGTAGAAATCACTGGGAATGCTCTGCTGCCCCCATGATGGTCAATGTGAATATTTTGGTGCTGGTGTGGCGTGTCCTTCCTGGCTGTATCTGTAAATGTGTTGGGTTAAAATGGGGTCTTGGCTTCTCCATGGAAAGCAGGACATGCCAAAGGATCCCCATGACAAAGGTCCAGCCACATAGGACTTTCCAGGGGGCATTCTGCCACTTTTATTAGTGCATTGCCCATGCTGATGACAGAGAGGAAGGCAGGAGGGTACCCCAAGCCAAATACAGGGAGTGTCAAGAGAGTGCTCTGAGAACTTGGCTGGGTCCCTGGAGGTGGGGTGGGGAGCACCAGGACCCAGTACCAGATGTGTGCCTGGAAAAACCTAAGAGCGAGGCCTGCAGCAGCTGCTGCCTCTACAACAGGGGGAAGAGGGAGTGAAGGCAGAAGCACGTGGCCTTCCCTGGGCAGCAGGGTCAGCTGCACTAACTGGCTTCTCTAAGGGGCCTAGATGGCTTGGACAGACAAGGCGAGTCCCCCACCAGGGGAATCCCAGGTGAGTTGGCAGCCAACAGGCCAGAGCTGAGAGCTAACAGCCAGCAAAGGAAGGGCGCCATCAAGGAACCACAGGTGCGGCCCCTAGCACAAAAGCACCACGGCACGAGAGAGGGCGCCTCAGGGCACAGCCTGGCAGAGAGAACTTCAGAGAGCCCCAGCGACCTAGGGTTCAGCCTTTGCTCTGCCCACTGGCCCTGGGCAGAGAAGGGGTGGAGAGAGGGGGTGGGGCCAAAAGCACAGTTGCTAAATAGGAGAAAAGGTAAAGTGAGGAAGAGAGAAAAGCCCCCACACAGAAGCTGCCCCTTCTACTGAAGGTTTTCAAGCCTGGGCTGGGGAGGTGGGTGTTTGGATTGGATAAAAGATTGCAGCTTTGGTTTCAGACTGGGCTGGATTTTCTAATCTTGAAAAACAAAACCATTCCTGGATACCCGAGACCCATGTGTGGCAACTGAGCCCTCAAAACAAGACTGGTCCAAATAGCAATGTGCTGTGAGTGTAAAATACACATCGAACTTCAAAGAACTGGAACAGAAAGAACGTAAAATATCTCAAAAATTGTTCTATTAATGTATATGTTTAAGTGATAATGTTTTAGAGATCTTGGGGCTAAACATAATACATTATTAAAGTTAATTCTACCTGTTCCATTTCACTTTTTCTAATGTGGCCACTAGAGCATGGAAGCTTAGGCATGCAGCCGCTGGGCTCTGATCATCTTTCTCTTGGACGCACAGCACAAGAACACAGCTGAGGTTTCTTCTGGGGCTGGGAGGAGGGCTCTCCTTGGCATTCAAAGGGGTGAGGGGAGAAGGTTGAAAGTTACTTTTCTGTTTTCCCTTCCAACAGACTATGCAGTGCCTCGGTGGCACAGGACATCGGCAGCAGCCGCACGGGAATTTCCCACCGCCCCTTTACTTCACTCCAGGGTAGTTCCTGTTCTGGTTACTTACTTCCAGGGCAGTTCCTGTTCTGGATGAAAGCACAGCAGGGGATCTGTTCATTCTTGGGTGATAAAAACTGGATCCAGTGTTGAGTCCCCTTCTCTCCTCACCCCCTAAACCCCCTCCAGCCTGCTGCAGCCAGGGCGGGGCGGCACAGTGGGCTGCCTAACTCTTCTTCACACCCCTTCTCCTCAAAGCCATTTCCAGCCCTTCCAGTATGGAGACGGGAAAGGGAGAAAGGAAAGCAGCAGGAGCGCTTTCACCCACTGATGCCTGTGATGGGATCTGGCCCTGGCAGAGGTGCTTTCCTGACTCCTTCGGAGATTTCCCCCACCACCCCCCACTCCAGGTGCTGCACGGCGCACCTTTGGCTACAGACCCTAAGGAGGAGAAGGCCGCTCTGTTCAGATTGGCCACTCCCTCCTTCCTCGGCCCCTGGGCAGCCAGCCTCACCTCCAGCCCCTGGGGTGGTCTCTTCCCACAGGAGCTGCCACCACCTTGGGCCGCCTCACTCTCTCACCTGGCCTCTGGTCAATGGGAACGCTTTGGCTCTTCTTTCCCATGACCCACTTGGGCTCCAGCATAAGAGCAGGCTGCCAGCCTGACTTCACCCTCTGGATCATCCAAGCCTGGGTCTGAGGCCAGTCTCTATGTCCCTCATGCTGCGGGGGTCCCAGGTTAAACTCTCCCAGCAGGCTCCTTAAAGCCCTTACTTCGGATGGACTAGACCAGTTACACCCCTCTTCTACCCCCAGGATGGCTCCTGCCCCCACGAAGCTCTTTCTGAGGCCCACCTCTCAGCCTTTCCTCCCTCGATGAAAGGGAGCTTTGAGGGATCATGCAAAGCATTTTCCCAGCCCCTCCGTGGAGATTCTGCAGGTGGTTGCCCCAGGAGAAAAACACAATCTCAAAGCGCTCTCAGGATATTTGCTAGGAAAGGAGATGCTAATGGTGAGGAAAGCCAGAAGCACTGTGGGATTGGGGTTCCCAGGACAGCCGCCAGCCCAGTCCTGGCAAAAAGCTTCCTTATAAGGGTATCCTACTGCAGCGCTGCCTCGCAGCCACCTCTAAAGGCCCTTTCTGGGCCTCATCAGCCAGCAAGCGTGTCACATGCCTGATGTCACAGGGCTGTGGCTGTGGTCATGCACATGGAGACAGCTCCGCTCTCAGCAGGCGCTCTTGTCTCTGTCACAGAACATTTTCATTCTGGCACAGCTGTGCACCTGCTCAGTAATGTCTCCTGTGCCCTCAGAGGGTCAAGTTGAGAACCCGCTCCTCAGCTTCCAGTTAGTTGTATCTGGCCCTCCTCCTTGGTCGCTGTAGAGGTCTGCTCCTCCCTGAAATGCGGAGCCTCTTGTCTCTGTCTGTCTACACCAAACTCTCCGTGTAAGCATCTACTGCACACAGGCAAAGCAAAAGGGGTCCCTCCCTTTCATGTGTATATGTGTATAGAGTGTAATTGAACATCTTTCCATCTTATTGTAGGTACACATTGTAGTGTGTCCCCATGACAAATCCCAGAATCCCTACAAGGCAGGTGTAATGAAACCCCCGCTCAGCTTGGCTTAAGGCCACCCGTTTCTGTTACAGTCACTTAAAGAGCAGTGAGGGGAGCAGGCTCTGGCCAGCAGCCCTTGACAAGCTCTGGATGCCCTGCTCTCCATGGGCCCAGCCTGTGCACTGACCCTGTCTCTGAGTCACCATGGCCCAGGGAGGGTTAGAATAAAGTAGAGAATTATTAAATAAACCAAACCCAAAATAATAATATTTCATGTAAGTTTGCACATAGTTTACAAATTCTAGGTGTTTCATCAAGTTTAAAAGAAATTAGCCCTAATGGAGTAAATATTCACCTTTTTTGCTTCTAATTTAAAATATGTCATCAGCTGAGCTTTGTGATTTTTACTTAAAATGTCCTAAATTTATAAGCAGTATAGAAGACTTGAGAGAACTCAAAATACACCATATTTCTAGATTTAATCTATTGGATTCATAAGTTGTTTAAATATTCAGGAATATTTTAAATAATTCTAATAATTAGAATACTTACAGGAAAAACAGAAACTATTACATTTATAAATACAATTCTAAAGGTTTAAGGGAATTTAATCCTTAAGAAATTATTAAGAAATAAAGTTGTCCTTAAAATGATTGCCAAAAATGTTAGACAAAATATGTACAATTTTCAAAATATACACGTACAATTTTACAATTTGCTGGCTGAAATTAAATGCCTGAGTAAAAACTGGGTTTTTGAATGTGTGGGTTTAATGAGTGAGATATTAACTCTATAAAGCAGAGTAACCTCTGGTTAACCTTTCCTGTAACAAAAACTTTCTTCAAGGACAACAAAAGGTGCCATGAAGGAGGCCTCCTTTCCAGGGCCGGTCAGAGGAAGCCAGAGTGACCCTAAAGCCCACAGCACTGTGGGCAAAGAAGTGGAATAAAGAATAAAAAGAATAACCATAACTTAAAGAGGGCAAGTCTAGTCAAGGTAACACCTGCCTACCCAAGGGGTCACAATCTTTATATATTGCTCCAAAGTTTCATTATCTGGGCAATAATTTCAAAATTCATCACGTATCCCATTATTATATAAATCTACTCTTCAATTCTTTGTAAGGTTGAACCCTGCTCAGCGCAGGGACGTTTTGCTGTGGGGCTGTGCAGCCTCAGCAGCTGGGCCCTTGCTGGCCAGTCCCTTCCATGGCCCTGCAAGGCGACCTGGCAGTGTGTTCACATAATTATGTGTTGTGTAAATTTCACAGACTGTGAGTATATCAATAACAAGTTTAAAAATGGAATTGCTGAGACCCAGAGGCAACTGAGCTGGTTTGGGGCAGAATCAAACACTGTAGTTAAGACCCTGGACTCTGGGCGGGGCACCATGGCTCACACCTGTAATCTGAGCACTTTGGGAAGCAGAAGCAGGAGGATCACGAGCTCAGGAGTTTGAGACCAGACAGGGCAACAACTGGCAAAACCCCATTTCTACAAAAAAAATGCAAAAAACATTAGCCGGCTATGGGAGGTCGAGGCTGCACTGAGCCATGATCGCCACTGCACTGCAGCCTCAGCGGCATAGTGAGACCCTGCCTCAAAAACAAAAACAAAAAAAGACGGTGAACTCTGGAGCCCAAAAGTGCAAATCCCTCCTCTGCCATTTTCTAACCGTTGTGATTCTAGGCAAGTTTTTCCATCTCTCTGTACCTCTGGTTCCTTATCCTTACAGTGGGCATGCCAGCATGACTGCCCTGGTAGAGCTGATAGGAGCTCATCTACAGCAAGACTTGGCCCAGGGACTGCTGTACAAAGACCTGAGAGCTCTGAGTGCTGCTGCCGCCACTTCCCAGTGGAAATCGGGGGTGTGGGCTCTCTCCTTGGGTCTTAGTCAACTCACGCTGCCGTAACCAAATACCACAGGCTGGGTGGCTGAAACAACAGACATTTATGTCTCCCAGGTCTGGGGGCTGGAAGCCCGGAGGCTGGGTGGGAAGGCGGCTGGGGCAGCTTATGCAGAGAGAGGAGAGACAGGAGGCCCTCCCAGGGGTAACGAATGCTGAGGCCGTCGTTTAGTAGCCACTCATATGGGGTGGGCTCAGGACAGGAAAGCCTCCCTTAACCCCTCAACCACCCCACGGGGAAGTACCACCAGGATGCCTGCTTCACCCATGAGCATGAAAGAACTTGCCACAGTCTCCAGATGGTAGAGGGCTCTGGTGTTCATGCCATGTGATCCAGCACCCAGTAGGCCTCATGGAGCTCACTGAGGGCCCATTCCTCAGGCCCTGTTAAACACCACTCCCTCCGCCTCGAGGAGGCCATTAAAACAGTTTTCCTTTCTAATGCTGCTGGAGCCTGCAGAGCTGCAGGAGTGGGGGCCTCGCCTTTCCCTCCTCTCCACTCCATCAGTCCTGCCTTGGGTTCCCTGGGCTCTAGGCCTGGCAGTCTGCTGTGAACAGAGGTCTAGAGGTCCCTGGTGACCAGCAGTCCAGCCCAGCGCAGGCTGGCAGTGACCTGCCCTACTCCAGCTGCAGAGCGATGAAAGCCCAGATTACATTCCAGGGTCTCTCACTAGGCCATAAAGCCTACAGCCCATTGGCAGCCCTGCCCCTCACACACTGCCGCCTGTGTGCCTCCAGCTCCAGCACTTGGAGCTGTGACGGCGAGAGGCCTTCTGTGCCTTGGGCTCTGCAGTGGGCAGATGACGGGACGCGGTCATCTGTGACTTTCTCTAAGACCTCGGGCTTGACTCCATGCTGCCATCATTCATTATTAGCTCCATCCTCTTCTTTGCCTCCAGTCTATAGAGAGAGATTTTTTTTTTTTTTTTGAGACAGAGTCTTTCTCTGACGCCCAAGCTGGAGTGCAGTGGCGCAATCTCGGCTCACTGCAAGCTCCGCCTCCCGGGTTCACGCCATTCTCTCGCCTCAGCCTCCTGAGTAGCTGGGACTACAGGCACCCGCCGCCACGCCTGGCTAATTTTTTGTATTTTTAGTAGAGACGGGGTTTCACCATGTTAGCCAGGATGGTCTCGATCTCCTGACCTCGTGATCCACCCGCCTCGGCCTCCCAAAGTGCTGGGATTACAGGCGTGAGCCACTGCCAAAATTTTTAAAGGCCCAGAGGCGGGTCATGCAGAGGGGCTGGCATCGGTAGTCAAGAGCTGCTTTGTGCCAGGCACCAGGCACCTCCTTCTCAACTCTTGTGATCCCAATTTACAGATGAGGGGACTGAGGCTCAGAGAAGCAGTAACAGCCCAGCCTGCCACTGAGGCAACTGCTCAAAGCATTGGATACACGGGATGGTGGCCAGAGGGAAGAGCAGGCTCTGCATTGAAGAAGGAACCTGGGTTCAAATCAGGCTCCACTATTTCTTTGCTGTGTGGGCTTAGGAAAGTCACTTAGCCTCTCTGAGCATCACTTCCTTTGTTTATAAGGAAGGTTGTAAGGTTTAGAGATCACGAGTAAAAAGCCTTTGGCAGTTAATACATGTTCAATAAGTGGCCATGCCCATCCTGTAATCCTCAGAAGGGCAGGTGGGGCTTAGAGGACAGAAGTGGCCTTCAGATGACTCTATCCACCAACCAGAAGCCTGACAAAGAGCTCCTTGTACTAGCAACCTTGCGTGTAAGTCATTGGTTGCAAGGAAGAGCCCCCAAGCCCCAACAAGCTCACAGGTAAGTTATCATTGGCCATGAGATAGGCTGCCATCCTTTAGAGGGGCTCCCTACCTTCAGGTGCAGTGGCTCATGGTGGCCCAGGTCACGGGTACCAGCACCTTGTTCTCTTGGTCATCAGTCAGCACTTAGATGGGTCTTCAGGTCACCAGAGACAACAACAGAGGGAATGCTCCCCTCTTCTAAAGCTTCCTCATATCTGTCTCCCCAGTGGGGGTCAGACTCTGACCTCCCCTGCTGCCAGAGTGGCCCAGGACTCACCTCAGCCCTGCTGGTCTCCAGTCCTGCAGACCAGGTGGGATATCCCTCCTGAGAGGCCCACACTCTGGCTCCAGGACTGGCCAGCCCCTCCATAGACTCCTCCTCCTGTTACCCTCCAATGAGACATTGGGGCTTGTTATATTTTTTTTGTATAGAATGCACATCAGGCCAGGCACAGTGGCTCATGCCTGTAATTGCAACACTTTGGGAGGCGGAGGTGAGAGGATCGCTTGAGGCCAGGAGTTCAAGACCAGCGTGGGCAATATAATGAGACCTTGTCTCTTCGAAAAAATAAAAATAAAATTATCCAGCCATGATGGCATGCACCTGTAGTTTTAGCTATTCGTGAGGCTGAGAAGGAAAAATCACTTGGACCCAGGAGTTCGAGATTGCAGTGAGCCATGATTGTGCTACTGCACTCCAGCCTGAACAACAGAGCAAGACCCTGTCTCCAAAAAAAAAAAAGAATGCACACGAGATATCATCACATCTGCACAGAGAAATGCACAAACACAGAAGAAACCCACATCTGCTCTGTGCTCCTCAGCACCGTGGAGCTGGGGCCACTGATACACACAGGATCACACAGTATGAGCACAGGACCAGGCTACTTCTGAGTGGCAGGAATAGAATCCCAACCCAGAGAGGCCTAAACAATGAGGAACTGAGTGCCACATCCCACAAATGGAAAGGCTGGAGGCACGGCACCCCCAGACTGAGTAATTCAGCAGCTCCACCCTAGTCAGGGCCCGAGTCAGCCTCTCTGTTATTTCTGTGGCTTTTCACTCATCTTCTCACAGAGGCTGTGGCAGCTCCAAGCATCATATCTTTACACAATAAGGCCTAAGGACATAAAAAAGCCACATCCCAGAAGCAGCCCTCTGTGGTGTAAAGCCTAAAACTAATATTATTAATGACATTATGCACTGCCTTGACATCTGGTGAAACCGGGAGGGCCTCGAATGGCCTAACCACAAGTTCCCCTCTGCACACCTCTACCCTCCTTCTCAAGGGGGCCGGTCACAGTTCCTGCTTGTCCCTGCATTTCCATTCCCTATCAGCCCACAGAATTATTCAAACAAGCCAATCACACCATCAGATAGAAACTAGGGCCACCGCATCCTCTTAGTACTGCAAAGTCCGCCTCCCCCAGCCCGTGCCAGGTCCTTCTGCTCCCACCGCAGCTCCCATGGGCCCTGCGTCCTCCTCTCCCAGGCTGTGGGCATATAAGCCTCAGAAACTTTTGTCTGTGTCTTCTGTCCAGTGTGTCAACGTTGTGTGTTGGGCCATCCCCATAACCCTGGGATGAGAATCCCTCCTTCACCAGCAGGGTGAGTGGGAGTCGATGAAAACACCCTGACCCACAGCAGAGCTCTCTCTCTAGGGCAGAAGCTCCCTGAGGAAGGGATGTTGTTCTATCCCGTGTGAATTCCCTGTTCACACAATAGTGCCTAGAAAAGAGCAGGTGCTTGATGCAGATAGAGTAAATGTGCCAGTGGAAACCGAGCAGATCAACTCTATCATTGGCAGGGGCTGTGTAGCATGCCCACGCCTGAGCTAACAACCGTCAGGGAGACTGGCATCACCAGGACTGGGCTCGACCTGGGGTCCTTCTCTGGTGTGCAGGGGCGGGCAGGTCCAGGGTGCTGAGGTGCTACTTCCTCAGGCCTGGAAGAGGCCTCTGCCACCAGAACCAGTTGTAATAAAATTATATATATATACTGTCTTGAACCAGTTTTGAGGCCCTGGTTAGATGCCAGTTAGTTTACTTTCCTGAGCAGTTAAGTCCACATTCCAACCCCTTCCCTTAGGGGGCTGCCACTATGACCATCTCTCCAGACCACCATGCCCCTGCCCTAACTGCCTGGTGTCAAGTTCCAGACCAACCCGGGATGGCTCCCAGCCTCCTGAGCCTGCAATATTGTGTCAATGAATCAATTCCCAGGGGGCCCATGAAGCCCACCTAAGCCACCCCGCTTGCCGTGTACGAGCTGCCCAGATAGTCCCAGCGTGCTGGTCTGTTGTCCCTGGGTGAGTCCCCTGTGTGGCCCTGCCTGGCAGCTGGCTCTCTTTTGGAGCTGTAAGTAACCAAAAGCTCCGCCTTTCATCTCTTCCAGAGTGTTTGTGTTGTGTCCATCATCAAAAGAACATTGAAATCTTACAAAACAATTGGCATTGTGAGCAGGATGGCATGGCCGTGACACTGGCCCTTGGACAGCTTCGTCAGGGACTGCCCTTGGCTTGTCATTTTCTCCCAGGCCACTTCGAGAGGGTTTGGGGCAGAACTTGAGCCTACACTTCAGCCCAGTTGCCTGCTGCTGCGTCTGCCAGAGATTGCCAAGTCTCTCCCCACCCAAATGTCCTCAGCATGGGACTAATCAAAGTGAACAGAGCTAACTGACTAAACTTCAGGACTAGACACCAGCCCAGGAGGCTCATGTTAGGGTGAGGGGAGTGATGAGAACCAGAGCAGCTCTTCTCTTCCTGGGGGGAGGCGTTCCAGTGTGTGTGGTGGAGGCCTGTCCTAGGGCTCATTACATCTACAGCGTCAGTGTTTATTATTATTTGGGGCAGAATCCTGGCTTGTCTGTGTCTTTCGAGCAACTGCTGTGAAGGAAGGTGTTGCCAGACTCCCCCCTGGTACAGAAGTGAAACCCTGGCCTCAGTGCTGACGCTGCTCAGGTGGGGGCTGCAGCCTACGTGTCTCCTTTGTGCTGCACACCTTGCTGCTGTCACCAGCAAACTTCACACTCTCCTGACCCCGCCACCACTCCCATTAGTGCACTTGGAGACTCCTTCCCTGAAGATTCTTTGGCAGCCTCCTCCAGCCTCCCAGAGTCTCTGGACCACCAATGCAGCCATGAGTTGCCTGTGGGCTTCTGTTGAGAAAAAGCTGTCCTCCTTGGCTCCACGCTGTACACCTTAGAGAAAACATTGCTGGTCACATACTGGGCTCTCCTGAAAATAGAGGCTTTCAGAGCCCCTGAGCCTGTGGGCCTCCCTACAGCTGCCCATTATTCTTTGGATCATGACAACCACACCCCACAAGCTTGGCACAGCTACCAAGTCCTCCCTGATGTTAGATAGAGCCAAGCCTGCACCCGCTGGTCCATTTCACCTGCGTGAAGGGTGGTCTCCCATGTCCTCAGTCCCTTGTGAGGTCACCCTCCCCCGGACCCCTTAGCTATCTGGAAGCCTCTTGGACTAACTGAGTGAGGCCATCTCTAGACACGAGCTCTTGGGCCAGGGCTTGCAAGGTTTTCAGTGGCTGCTCACCAGACTTGCTTCTGCTTTCCCACGCAGGAAGAACGTGATGACCACACAGACCACGGTGAAATGGAAATGATACATCAACGCAGGAACAAAGCCATCCACAAAAGAAAGCAGTAAATCTCTCTAAGGCTGTATTCATCAATATGAGTGCAGGAGCAGCTGGAAACCATGAGACACCCACGGCAACAACGTGTGTGATATCGAGGCCTTTCTCAAAATCGCAGAAACTGTAACCGTGTGTGTGTGCACACTCGCGTATGTGCCTGGGTTCAGGCCCAGAAGCTAGACACTGCTTTCCAGACAGATTTCTTAGGGAAATCCTGAATTGGAGCCTCAGAAAACTCTGGTACCAAACTTCTCATTTGTGAATATCAAATTTAGCCAAGCTCAGAAAGTCCCTGAGGACTCTCTTCATTTGTCCACAAGTTACTCAGAAAGTCCAGAAATCCACTGACCTTTGTTAAGAAGCACCACCAGGGCCAGGTGCGGGCTCGCACCTGTAATCCCAGCACTTTGGGAGGCCAAGGTGGGCGGATCACTTGAAGTCAGGAGTTCAAGACCAGCCTGGCCAACTGTGAAACCCTGTCTCTATTAAAAATACAAAAATTAGCCGGGTGTGGTGGCGCGTGCCTGTAATCCCAGCTACTGAGTCTGAAGCAGGAGAATCGCTTGAACCCGGGAAGTAGAGGTTGCAGTGAGCAGAGATCACATCTCTGTACTCCAGCCTAGGCAACAGAGAGAGACTGTCTCCAAAAAAAAATAAAAAAAAAAAAAAAAGGAACAAACACCCGCCGCCTGGCATGGTGGCTCACACGTATAATCCCAGCACTTTGGGAAGCCAAGAAGGGAGCATCGCTTGAGCCTAGGAGTTTGAGACCAGCCTGGGCAACATGGCAAAACACTGTCTCTACAAAAAAAAAAAATACAAAAATTAGACAGGTGTGGCAGCGCACACCTGTACTCCCGACCCCTTCCTCCCCAACACAGAAAGAGCAGAAAGAACCGAGTCCCTGAATTAGTGCAGCAGGTCCAGATGCATGGGCAGGACTTCTGTGAACCACGTTCGCTTCCCAGCGATGAAATGGAGCCTCTGGGCTTTAAGCCATCCCTCAGGACCCCTGAACCAGGCCTGACCCCAAGCAGAACGTGCCAGTGGTGAGCCTGCCCTGTCATACTTCTGAGCTGGGCGGGCTCCAGCCCTCCCTCACAGGCCCGAGAGGCCACCGGAGGTGAAACCTTTAGAGCCACCTCAGCAGGTGACTAAGGGCTAATGAGACCCCGTCAGTGCACCAGGCAGTCTGGTGAGCCGTAGAGAGAGTGAGCCCATGAGAGCTGGGTTCCCATGAAGGCTGGGCTTCCACTGGGGCTGAGAGACTTTATTTGCTGATGACAACCCTGGAAGCTTTTTGAATTTGCTTTCCTTCCCTAGCATCGCAAGGCCACAGTGACCCCTTGTAAGAGCTCACAGTGAGGCACTCACGTTGTGTCAGCCTTGGGTTTCGCTGGAGGCTCAGCTGTCAGCTGTGGGGTTGGCTCAGGTGGCCGTCCCATCTTCTGCTGTATAGGAATTCACGGTGCGGTGCCTCCTGCAATGAGCAGAACAAGAACTACCACTTGCTAGGAGGGTAGGTACAGAAATAGCCTTAGGCCTGGGAGGTGACAGCCTGGAGACGAGGTAGGGATCTGGGTGTGTGTGTGACAGCCAGAATGTTCCCTAACAGAAGCTGCATTCAAACAGGGGAGAAAACTTTTCTCCTGAGAGTGAAGCTGTGAGACAGGGCATGGCACGTGTGGGACAGCAAAGAATCCTGGGGGAGCCCAGGGGGCCTCTATTTATGTCAACACCAGCTGTCATGTCCCGGGCGCTGCCTCATGCCAGACACTGCCAAGGGCACTCACACACATTATCTCGTTTAATCCACAGACAGCCCTGGGAGAGAGATTAGCATCACTATTGTGTAGACAAGGAAACCCAGGCACCGAGAAGTCAAGTAATTTGTCTAAAGTTGCACAGCAAGGAAATAGCAGAAGGGAGAGTTCGTTTGTTTGTTTGTTTGTTTTGAGACAGAGTCTCACTCTACAGCCCAGGCTGGAGTTCAGTGGCATGATCTCGGCTCACTACAGCCTCCACCAACCGGGCTCAAGCCGTCCTAGAAGGGAGATTTTTAATCCAGGCCCCGAGGTCACTCTAATCTGAGTGCTCTCTGAGGTCTGGCAGAAGGGAGGAATTCTGTGGCACATTCATGATGTGATCAGAGGGAGGATGGTGCCTGTGAAGAAGACAGAGGTGCCGCGCTGACCCTGTGTGCAGCCAACTCTGGGGAAGGCAGTAGGCAGAAGAGAAAGCCAGGGGCCCCAGGTCAGAGGTGTCAGGCACCGAAACAGGCAACCCCTTCTTGGGAAGGAAGGCTAAGGCACAGGGCAGCGAGGCCAGCACGGAGGGGCCGCTCAGCAGCCCCGGGCCGCCCCGGGACAGCAAACATGCAGCCCTTTCTGCCTAGCCCTGCCTCTAGCCCTGCCTCGCAGAGGATGGGACCATGTGAGGGTAGGGAAAAGAAAGAGGATGTCCCCAGAAATGTGGCATCCGAGGTCTCCTGCCCAGCTCTGCAACACACAGGAGTTCCCGGCCAGGCAGAAGGAGGCGACCTCCACAGATCAGCAGGCTGGAGCCAAGGTGTGCGTTCCTTTAGTGGGTTTTCAGTTGCAAATTCTACATCCTTTGTCCACTGTTTAACGAAAAAATGACGTTTCCTGCCCTCAGCCCAGTGCTTTCTCACCCCCCAATACCATCCTACCATCCTCAAAGGGAGCCGTTGTGAGGAGCGCAGTTTCTGTCCGTCCAGGTGTGCATTTACCTCTGTATCTGCAGACACATTTTATTAGAAGCAAAAAATGGATTATGCTTTAAGCACGGATCTGCCACTTCCTCTTTTACCTTGAAAGGACGCTGTCCCGGCATCCTCCGGTGTCAGCACATGGACATCCACTGTCCCTTTTCCACCCACGGCAGGGTGTCATCCCACAGCCTGGACACAGGCCTCCTATGCCAAGTGGATTAAACACTTCATGAGAAGAGACTGTCCTTTCCCACATAAAGAGCAAGTGATCGGGCCTGGAGCTGGTGGGGAGAGACTGTCATGTCTCGGAGGACCGGGTAGCGCCAAGATTCTGACCTCTCTGATTTTTTAAGGGGTTTGGGGAAGGTGATGGATCGAGAGGTGACGGGTTCTGGCAAGTGAGAGTTTGGAAAGATGGTGGGGTCTGGAAAGAGATGGGCCTGGGGGGTTTGGGGTCTGGGAGGTGATGCAGAGGGGATGGGTCTGAATCCTCCTCACGATGCAATGCCTAGTCCTGCACGGTCAGGGTCACTCCCAAACAAACCGGGCTGGTCGGATGCAGGCAGCCCTCCCCTCCACAGCTGTGGCTGCCCTCTGCCCACCAGCCTCTGGTTTCCTACATGCCTCTGAGGTGCACCTCTCTGGGCGCCTCCTCATCTGTCATCCAGGTGGGGCAGTGGCGAGTCCCCTCCCTTCCTTCTAAGGCTTAGCAGTTCTGAATCATAGACCAAGACCCGGGGCAGCCAAGAGCTTTTCCTTCCTTTTCCTTTAGGCCCTACTGCTTCAAAAACAGGTCTGTTGCCACAACAGGAACCAATGCACCCAAAGGACACAGTTTGTGTCATGGGCAGCAAGTTTAGGAAACCAACAGGACAGGCCCTGTGGGGTCTGAGGGTTCCTCAGCTTTCCAGACGCCTGCCTGTGAGCTCATTTTCCCCGCCCTTTCTCCCTGTCCTTCAAGAAGCACTCATGGCCCTGCCCATGGGCCAGGTGCTGCGCTAAGCACTACGCACTGAGACGTGAAGTAGCAATTTCCTACTACCCTCCATGCAAACATTCCATTCTTCTTTTGCAGCAAGTTTTTGCATTCTGCTTTGTTGAGTTTTATGGTTTTGATGTGTTTCTTGATCTCATGCTGTTCCTGATCTCCAAGTCCCCTGTGCCAACTCAGAGACATCTGGGCTGGTCCCTGTGCCCTGTTTCTTCTGGCTGTGCTCCAAGTGCTTGGCCCTGGCCAATCATTCCAGTGACAGAAGAAACAGTAACCCTCACTGGACCCTGCTTTCTTCCCCCAGAGGAGAACCCACATTGGCCTTGTCGAAGGTCTCGATGGCCCCACCCTGGAGTGCCTACACCTGCACCTCTCAGGCTCCCACATGTGCCTCCCTGTCCAGCCTGGCTCCCTGTGCTCGCAGAGCCTGTGTGTGACACTAGGGGAGTGTGTTTGAGGCTGAATGAGTGGCCAAGTCACCAGCTGGAAAGAGAAGCTCAGAGAAGGAACGAATTCACCTCTCTATGAGTTCTAAAAGATCATGTGCAGAAATGAAAATAGTTGCCTTGATTTGGAAGAATCGGGGGCATTAGGACAATGCCGTTTTTGTCTGTTTTCTAAGTAAGGGTGCATTTTTTTCCAACAGAAAATAGGAATGCTAAGAAGAAGGGTATCTATCAGGAGAGCCTCCACTGCCACAGTCTCTCTCCTTGACTATAGGGCCAGGCGGCTTCTCTAGAAGGTGGATTCCTGGTCGTCCACGAGGGAGTGACCTCACTCTAAGGGGCGGGGGGGGGGGCGCCTTTGGAGGAAGCCCCAGGTGGAAGTATAAGTTTGAGCAGGAAAGGCCTGGGGCCAAGGTCATTGCAGGATGCATCTGCGAAATTCTGTTATTTACTTAACAACCACTCCAGAGTCTAAGAAGGCAGGCAGCGGCCATCTGAGGGGTGCTGTAAGTGAAACCTGAAGGGAGATGCTTTGCACTGGAGCAAACCAGCCTAGCCCCAAACATGCTGAGACTACATTCCAAAGATCCACTGGCCCAGCCCTGCAGGTCTGATGTTTCGGGCAACGTGGGCCAAATTCCTGGTGCAACTTGCTGGGCAGGTTGTGAGCTCTCCTGTGGAGGCGCAGGGTCCAGTCCCTCTCTGGGGCAGAGAAGGTGGGCTCCAAACAGGGAAGAAGAGGGGTCTTACTCTTGGGGTTCAACAGAGGGAATGGACTAAGTTCAAGGTATGCGGCATACCCTTTGCATTTTGCCTGAGCCCAGCCTGTCCCTGGCCTTTCTGGGTCTGCCCAGGAGCCACCTTCTCACACAGGTCACAGGCCTCCCTGGCCCCAGGACTCACCTGCACTGTCCCCTTGGCCTGGCACACTCCCTCCCTCTTCCTGCACATCCACATTCCATGCAACCTCACAGGCCTTCCTCAAGTTCCGCCGCAGCATCAGTCCTGTTCTCCTCCCCTTCCAGAACTTGCCCCCATGCCTGTTCCTTCTGCCCTGGACTCCTGTGGTTGTTTACATTCTGCCTCCTCCCTGCTCTATCGCCTTCCTCAGACTCACTGTTGATCTCTGTATGTGCACTTGAAGCCTGCAGTGTGTGGTGCGATGCCAGACCCTCCTCCAGGAGACAGCAAGGGGCCTGGTGTGTGCTGTTCCAGTGTCGGGAAGGCTCTCTCCCTTCACCTGGTAACCACTGCTCACCAATCCAAAGGGCCCTTCCTCCCACAAGCTTCCCTATAGGCCAGGCTGGGCCGGTGCTGTACCTGGGCTCCCTGCAGTGTGCTATGCTTGATTAAGATCTGCCTCCCAAGCCTCATAATAAGCTTCAAAGAGGCAGGGGCCCCTCCTCCATGGCAACCCCATCACCCAGCGCTTACTGAACTTGGGCTGGAGGCAGGAGGCTCTACTGAGTTTACTGTTACATCTGCAGAGCGGGCACAGGGGTACCACCCAAGAGGTTCTCAGAAACAGGGCCCCACTGTGCAGCCTGCCCCCACCCCAACTTTGTTCTAGAACAGTTGGTCCATGTGCCACCTACTATGATCTGAATGTCTGTGTCCCCTCCCCAAATTCCTATGTTGAAATCCTAACCCCCAAGATGATGGTATCAGGGCTGAGGCCTTTGGGAGGTGATTAGGTCATAAAGATGGAGGCCTCATGAATGGTATCAGTGTCCTTAGAAAAGTGGCCCCAGAGAGACCCTTCACCTCCTCCACCCTGTGAAGACACAGCAAGAAGGTGCCGTCTGTGAACCAGAAAGTGGACCCTCAACAGACACGGAATCTGCAACACCTTGATCTAGGATTTCCAGCCTCCAGAACAGTGAGAAACAGGCTCCTGCTGTTGACAAGCCTCCTGGTCTACCGTAGTTTATTACAGCAGCCCGAACAGACTAAGACACCGTCTCTGAGCACTTTGCCTGCAGTCATGGACAAAGCATGCCCAGCACAGGCCCTGACCAGGTGCCTCTCAGCCTCACGTGCTGTCCCTCTTGGAAAGAGCTCTCCTAGGGAGCAGGGACTCTGTCTTTCCTACTCACACACCCTCTACCCTCCATCCCCATCCACAAGTCACCCAGACAATGCCAGCCTGTTTTGTGCTCAGAATATCATGAGGACTTTGTCGGACAGTGGCAGAGTGCCACATCTCCCTGGTTCTAGAAAACATGATCCTACAAGAGGGTGGGGAAAAGAGCACATGCGGATCATTGTCCCTGGAGGCAGTGGGCACACGGAGCCCATGGCCCATCAAAGGACAGTGCCCTGGTGAGCAGCCACCACTTCAGATTTTCCAGTTTGTGGATTTTGTGCAGTAGACACAGAGCCTGCCTGCTGGAATCAAGAGGCCTAGTCACCAGCCATGTGGCCTGCGCACATTACCTCCCATTCCTAGCCTGTATGTTGGGTGACACCCACCAGCAAGCCTCTGTGGGATTAAATGAAGCCATGCAGGCAAAGTGCCTGTGGCAGTGCTGGGACTCAGCAAGCCCTCAGTAACAGGTTCCCCTCCTGCGCTGACGCCATGGCAGCTGTGGCTGCCATTCCCCCATCCGCCAGCAGGTGCCCTCACTGCTTCATGCCTTCTATGGAACCCAGGGCTGTGGGTGACTGTGTCTGTGAGAAAAATAAAATCCCTAGGGGGAAGTGCGCGTTCAGGGTAGCTCTCTGAACTCATGTCGGCACCCGGCCTCGCCATCCATAAATGGGGATGATGACCCCCACTTCCTTGTGTTCCCAGAGGTGAAGGTCCCAAGCCCTGTCCACCAGGGCAGGTGCCTGGGGCCACACCTGAGATGACCATGAAGACTGGATTTGGGAGGCTGCCGATGTCTGCATGGAGCTGGCATTTGACTGGCAATTGCCCATCTTGAGCAGGGTTTTCATCGAGGGCTCGGAGCTTTAGAGGTGCAGCGTCACTCAGGTTCAAGGTGCTCAGCAACTCTGTGCCCTTGGGCAGCTACTTAACACTTCTGAGCCTCTGTTAGCTCATCAGTAAAATGGGAGTCATCTTACCTACCTCAAAAACCAATGCACCTACTGTTACGGATGGGCAACTCCTGCCCATTAATCTTTCCCTGAACACGTCCCTCTCCCCACAATCTCCTCCCTCCCCCTGAACACACACAAACTGGAGGTGGTAACCTCTTCCTTCCCCAGGCTGGCTCTGCAATGGCAACTTTCCAATTCCTACTTTGTGGAAACCCACCCAAGGCCACGTTATTAATATTTGACAGAAGCCCCAGACCCACCCTCTTATTCACACCCACTGGGAAGACCAAGGATACTCACTGAGTTATTATTGGCTGAAATTATTTTTTCATATCCTGCTGGAAACCAAAATATGGTCCTGGGCTTCTGATAAGTATCAACCACCTCATTCACCAGCAGGTGGCCCAGAGCACCTGCAGAAGCTGTGCTGGGGAATGAAGACAGGCCCATCTTTACTTACCAATGCCTCTCTCTTACCAATGTCTCTCTCTCTCACCAATGCCTCTGTTTTACAAATGCCTCCTCTCACCAACGCCTCTCTCTCTCTCTCTCACACACCAGTGCCTCTCTCTCACCAGTGCCTCTCTCTGTCTCACCAACGCCTCTCTCTCACCAATGCCTCTCTATTTACCAATGTCTCTCTATTACCAGTGCCTCACTCCTCACCAGTGCTTCTTACATCCAAACAGGGCACTTCCATGTCCTCCTCTGGTGGTCAAGCACAGACAAAGCTGGAGTCATCCACCATTGGCTAAGGTTTAATGAGCACTCACCAGAGGCTGGGCTCTGCTTGGGTGCTGAGCATATGCTAGGGTGGGGAAGGAGAGGGGCAGATGGGGGTGGCTGGAGGATGCCCTGCCGAGGGTAGAGTCTGGTCAGGAAGATGAACGTCGAGCGGAGAACTCCAGGTGGGAGGAGGGGGTCACAGAGATAGGGACAAACCCCCTTGACCCTGGCCGGGCTGCCTTCCTCATCCTCTGAAGCCTCTTTCAGAGATTGCTGCCCCTCTGCCTTATCAAAGGAGGGCTGGGACTGCTGAGCTCCACTGAGTTGCCCCTGGGAGCGAGCTTTCCCCAAAGGCTCAGGCCCAAGTAGGAATGAGTTAGCAACAAAGGCTTGAAATAAGTAGGAAATCACCAAACCAAACCACAAACAAAAGCCCTCCAGGCCAGGTAAGGACATTATTAGGAGTTGATAGGATCTTCTTGTTCTTAATTAGTATGTGCTGATAGGAAATCTCCAAGCAGCTTTCGCTGGACTGCCTGAGGGTCATCTCACCTCTCTTCAGGCTGCGGCTTCCTGTGGCCACCTTGCTTTAAGGCTTGTTCCCAGGACGGTCTCCTGGGGAGGAAGAAGATGTCCTCTCAGAGGCCAGCAGGTCCAACTAACGAGCTATGAGATGCCCAAGGTGGATGAGGACCTGGGCTCCTAAAGTCCCACAGCCCATTGTGTCCAGAGAGATGCTGCCCTGGGGACCCGACACAATGGCACCTTGGTTGCAGCCGTCCGGGCTGGCAGCTCACAGAGGCACAGTGGGGTTTTCTCATTTCAAATGCCTGGCCCCTTTCCAGAGGCACTTAGAATGGCCAGCTGATGGGCGTGCTACTTTTGCTTTGGAAAATGCGTCCACGAATATACTTCTCTCCCTAGGGACTGGGAAGGAGGAAGAATTGTGCAGCAGGGAGAGGTGAAGGCCCCACTGGAGAGAAGGGGAGCCCCTTGTCCTGCCTGCAGCAGCTGCCAATGGAAAGAAAGAAGAGTTGGGAGTCTAAGCTGGAGGTTGCGGGGCCAATTCCCTTTTGGCAGGCGAGAATCCGGACTCGGGCGGATTTCAGGCTTCAGTGTTTGTAGGAGGAAACACAGCAATCACACTATTAATAGTAAATTAAAATAAATGGGCAACTGCTGCATGGTAATACTTTTTTTTTTAAGGCAAAAAATAAAAAATAGTGAAACAGAGAAACAAAACATGAAACACCGGCAGTCAACAGGCAGGCAAAGAACCTGGGGGTGGGGGTAGCAGCGGTCCCACCCTCAAAAGGCCCGGGCTGCCCAGACCAAGAGAAAGCGATGAATCTCTTCTGGTAACGTCCCTTCCTGTCGCATGGATTCAAGGCCGACCTGCCCCAGCACCACCACCAGCAGCCTTCTGCTGGGGCCGGCACAGCTGGGAGCAACCTCCTACTCTCAGGCAGACGCGCAGCACCAAGCAGAGAGGCCCGGTGCAGGATCCCAGCGCCGAACCAGCGCCGGCTCAGTGGACGCGGAAGGGGCCGGCGGCCGCGGCCGGTCCCATCCCCCACTGCAGACCCCCAGCCTGTGGCGGTGGTCCAGTTCCGCCAGGAAACCGCCGCCTGGAGCTGTGGGTCGCGCACATTAACGCATCCAGCGGAAAAATGAAGGAGACCCAAATTCAAAGTTAAAGTAATGGTGACCCGAGAGGTGCCTTGATGAGAAGGTTTGGGGTCCCGGTTACTGATGGTTATCATTCTTACGAGATGCTGGTCACCTACGAAGGGAGAAAGGCACGAGGAGCGCCTGACCAAAGTGGTTTTGCCCTGCTTCCCGCAAGAGGTGGCACCCACGGCTGGAACGCAGGAGTCAGACCCACAGTCCCCAGCTCTGGACGCCCGCAGCGGGGCCTCGAAGAGGTTCAGGGCGGTGCCCGCGGCGCTCGGGCCGGGTCTCCCGGGGCGTGGGGCGGGGGGCGGGGTTGGGCGGCGGCCGGGGCTCCTCCCTCTTCTGCCCCGGGCTCCCCTGCTCTTAACCCGCGCGCGGGGGCGCCCAGGCCACTGGGCTCCGCGGAGCCAGCGAGAGGTCTGCGCGGAGTCTGAGCGGCGCTCGTCCCGTCCCAAGGCCGACGCCAGCACGCCGTCATGGCCCCCGCAGCGGCGACGGGGGGCAGCACCCTGCCCAGTGGCTTCTCGGTCTTCACCACCTTGCCCGACTTGCTCTTCATCTTTGAGTTTGTGAGTGGCTCCTGGCCGGGGAAGGGACGGGGTGGGCTGAGCCGTGCGCTCTCTCGGGCGCCCAGCACAGCTGTCGGACGGGATCCGCTAGCTGCGCAGGTTCTGGGAGCATCGGGGCAGCAGGCGCAGGGCGGGGACTAAGCCAGGGAAGTCCCCTCCCACCTCCGGTCCTTTGTGCCCTTCTAGACCAACAGAATGAGGGGAACAGTCTACAGGACTATGGAGGAAAAACTGGGTTCCCAACTGGGGTCAGATGTAGGCAGCGGGGCAGGGGGGGACGGCTCTTGGTTCGCTGGTCCCAAAGCTGCGCGCGGGGCCCACTTGACGCGCGCAGCGCCACCGAAGCTCCCGCCGCGCTTTGCGCGGTTGGGTAGAAGTGCGCAGCTTTTACAAGGGAGAAGGTTTCGTTAAAAAAGAAAAAAAAATCAGCAAGAGAAACATTAGTATTACCAACCGAGATTTGGAGATGAGAGGGAGCTGAATCCGGTTTATTTTCTTCTGGCCTTTTAAAGTTTCTGGCGAGGGAACGTATTTGCGACCAATTCGATCTGGAAATGAGGCCATCGTTTGCTTGGCCGCAGTCCTTCTGCCCCGTGTGCGGGGTGGGGGTGGAGGAGATGGGGGGTGGGGGGTGGGGGGTGGCGGCGAGAGCGATCCGCGCGCCTCGACTGACCTTGGGCAGGCCCGGGGCCTCTGCACCTGCGGTCGGTCCCGCCTTGCACGCACGGTCTCTGCCTGAGGCTGCAGGAAAGCGCTTCCTACTGAGAACTCCTGATAAGCGCTCACGGTGTCGCGAAGCCGAAGTGACCTCCCTCAGCCTCAACTCCCCGGGGGCCGCTGGCCTTCACCTGGGAGGGGTGTGCCCTGTATGTCCTGTGGGTGCGGTCCGTCACCGCCTGAGGGACACCTTTTCCGGCACCCCACCCTCAGAAGTGTCAGCGTGGAGAGTTGGGCGGGAAAGAAAATGTCGGAGCCTGGCTGTTTAAAAATTGGACCCCAGGTTGTTATTGCCTGATTGGAGGGGGAGGGTGTGAATACCAAAGGGAGCAGGTCAGTTCATCCAAAGAGGGCTTGCGGGCAGAGGCTAAGAGGGCTGCGGCGGCCTGGGAGCAGGGCTACCATTGAACTTAGGGTGAAAGTCCAGTCGAACCCAAACCTGGGTGGAACCGGTGACTTGAAATCCTAGGGATAGGCGGAATCAAAGCAGTTACATTTAGAAGAAACCCTGGACGCCAATGAACGCAGCCCCACCGTTTACAGAGAGCCAGCCCCCCGCTGGCCTCCTTTTAGAAGTTCAGCATACAAGAAGGAGTGCCCCTGAGAGTAGGAACAGTCCAGTTAGACGGGGCGATCTGATCTGCGGGAAAGGTGACCGGAGACTCCCACCCAACCCGCCAATGCTGCAGAAATTACAGGGGCGTGGGAAACCTTGGAACCATCTACTACTGGCAGCTTGCTCTTCCAGCGTGGCTTTGTGGCCTGCCGGTAGCGGGGCTTCCAGAAGAAACAACTCCCCCTCGCCCAGAACGCTTCTCTCAGCTGACTTAGAAAGTCACTTCTCCACCTCACCCCTGTTCCCCACCTCCCTTCCTCACTTCCCAGGAGACCCGCAATGCATAGTCATCTCCAGGCATCTTCCACATGCTCTAGATTAGGGGTGGGCTCGCAGGTGCCTGGGAGAGAAGAGGAGAAAGCTGACCCCAAGCCTCTCAGTTCTCCTCTGCATGGACTGTAAATACGAAGCTGTATATATTTGATGTGTGGAAGGAGTGGAGAATTAAAGGGCCTGAGAAGGCGCTGGCCACCCCGGGAGAGTTTTTGTTTTTGTTTTTGTTTTTGCTTTTGAGACGGAGTCTCGCTCTGTCGCCCAGGCTGGAGTGCAGTGGCGCGATCTTGGCTCACTGCAGGCTCCGCCTCCCGGGTTCACGCCATTCTCCTGCCTCAGCCTCCCAGCTACTCGAGAGGTTTTTTTAATTATGGAATATTACAACTCGACAACAAAAAGACAACCCAATTAGAAAATGGACAATGGACTTGAACAGAGGTTTCTACAAAGAAGATACACAAATGGCCAATATGCACATAAAAAGATGCTTAACATCATCAGGCATTAGGAAAACTAAATTGAAACCACAATGAGGCCAGTTGCGGTGACTCACGCCTGTAATCCCAGCACTTTGGGAGGCTGAGGTGGGTGGATCACCTGAGGTCAGGAGTTCGAGACCAGACTGACCAACATGGTGAAACCCCATCTCTACTAAAAATACAAAAAAAAAAAAAAAAAAAAAAAACCCGGCTTGGGTGGCTCATGCCTGTAGTCCCAGCTACTCAGCAGGCTAAGGCATGAGCATCGCTTGAACCTGGGAGGCAGAGGTTGCAGTAAGCCGAGATCATGCCGCTGCACTCCAGCCTGGGCAACAGAGTGAGACTCGGTCTCAAAAAAATAAATTAATAAGTAAATAAATTAAATAAATAGAAAGAAAGAAATCACAATGAGATACCACTTCACACCCATTAGGATGGCTACTATCCAAAAAACGGAAAACATCAAGTATTGGATGTGGAGAAATTGGAACCCTTGGTATGCCACTGGCGGGAATGTGAAATGGTTCAGCCACTGTGGAAAACAGTTTGGTGTTCCCTCAAAAAATTACCCTCTGACCCAGCAATTCCACTCCTGGGTATATAACCAAAGGATTCCAAGCAGGGACTTTAGTATTGGCACATGCATGTTCATAGCAGCAGTCTTCACAATAACACACAGCCCAGTGGCCATCAGCAATGAACTGAATAACAAAGTGCGACATATCCAAACAATGGATACTACCTGACCATAGAAAGGAATGAAGTACTGATACGTGCTACAAAGTTGATAAACCTTGAAAACTCTATGCTAAGCAAAAGACACAAGGCACAAAATGTCATATAGTGTATGATTCCGTTTATATAAAATACTGGAATAGATAAATCCATAGAGACAGAACACAAACCCTGGTGGTTTGCCAGGGACCAAGGGGAGCAATTGTTTAATCGCTATGTGGTTTCTTTTTGGGGGTAATGAAAATGCTTTGGAATTAGATTGAGTTGGTGGGTGCACAACACCATGAATGTACTAAATGCCACTGAACTGTCAACTTAAAATGATTGGTTTGATGATATGTGAATTTCACCTCAAGTTTAAAAAACAAAAAATAGAAATATTTCAAATGCCACAGAAGAACATATACAATACTTTAACAGACACCTACATAATTATTGCCCAACTTTGTCAAATCTTAATATTTTGCCTTGTTTGCTGTTATGTATTAAGGAAATGAAGCTTTCAGATGGCATCTAAGCCTCCTAGACATCCTTCTGTTATCTTATTCTCTCTCTCCCTCCGTCCTCAGGGCCACCTGTAGGCTGAATGTGGTGTTCACTTCCAAGCACAGGTTAGACTTTTACTGCACACATATGAACTACACATGGCATTGTTTTACATGTTTTCGCACTTTATGAAAATGCCAGCATACAGTACGTATCCTTCTGCAACATGCTTTCCAGGCAACATTATGTTCTGAGATTTATACATGTTGACTTTGTTTACCCAGTCTTCTGTTAATAGACACTTTGGATAGTTCCAATTTGCTGCCTTTAGCTATTGCAGACAGCATTGCTAAGAACATTCTCATATTTGCCTCTGTAGTTACCTGTTGGAAATGTCTCCCAGAGACACTTGGAGGATGTGACTTGTTGGGTCACAGGGGATATGCACATTGTCATTTTCCCAGGTGTTATCACATTGCCGTCCAAAAGAGTAATTCCAATTTACACACCCCAGGAGCAGATTTACTGGGAAGCTGATGTTTAATTAAGTTCAAGACCCCTACTTACTCAAGCCCCTTCCAAGACTCTGCCTAATTTTGTATTCTCTTATAAAGATGGTCCTCCTGATTGTTTAAGCTTCAGGCTAAACCTGGACCTTCCCCGGCCCCTACCAGCAGCACATGAAAGTCGCCATTGTTCCTCATCACTTGGTAGCGTCAGACTTTATAATTTTCTGCTAGTCCAATGGGTGTGAAATGCTTGATTATTTTTTAAATCTGTAGTCCACTGAGTTGTTGATGACTCATAGTTCAGATTCCCATGCCTGACCTCCCAACAGCCTGGGAGGCGCAGATGTCCAAGCTGATCCGGGTGGAGCGCCACTTCCATGGTGAGGGGACTGCCCACTGGAGCAAGTGAGGGTGGCAGCTCAGGGTGGGGCATAGCAACCTCTCCTTGGCCCAGCACCCCTATCCCAGACCTCCTGACCTCTGAAAGCTGCAGAGTCCTCACAGGAAGAGGAAGGCAGGCCCAACTAGGAAGTGAGACTGCCTTTCCAAATACCTCCAGAGCCACAGAGGCTGTGCCCCTATTGCAGGTGGTGTGGTCATCAGTGCAGCCCCATATAGGCCAAGGGTGAAATAGCCAATGCTCTCCCCTCCTCCAACAAAACCCAGGGCTTTGCTTCTCGTCTGCTCCCCTGCAAAAGTCCCACCCAGTGAGGAACTTTTCCTTTTGGAGCCACTCTCTGTCTCTGTCTCCGTCTCCATTCTAAGCCAGGGACTTCCTTGACACTGGGCCACCATTCAGGGAATGAAAGGTTCACAGGGAAGGCTTTCTGTCTCAGCTGGGGCCCCCAGATGCGAGGTCTCCCACAGAGTGCCAGGAGAGACCCCCTACCCATTCAGGACTTGTGAAGGAAGTGCCTGAAGAGGGTTGTGAGATCATCTACTCAGCCCCCTCCTCCCCAGGCCACAAAGGAGGCAGGGTTGTGAGTGAGGGTGTGAGGAATGCCGCCCAGCCCTCCAGGGGCATGCCCTTCCTCCTCTGTGCCTCAGAAACACGAACAGAAGTGCAGTCACATCACGGGTTGGGGTTGGGGTGGGGAGACACCCGCAATCAGTTTGCAGTTTTGACAGTTACAGTGAACTGGACAGAGTAATGACTAAAATGACACCTTTTCTGTGACCCAAAGTGACTGGACTGTTATTAAGAGTGACCAGAGAGGTCTGGGGACTTCTGCTAGATTTCTACCTGGCTGGGGAATAGCCAGCCCGACAGAGCCGGGACTGGGCCATGGGCCAGCGAGGCAGTTTCGCATTAGGTGGTCCAAGCTGTGGCTGCACTGAGAAGGTGGCATGGGAACTCCTAGGAGACCAGAGACGTAGAATGACAGAAACCTCACTTTCAGAGCTGGCAGGGAACTGAGGCTCAGACAGGGAGCAACTTGCCTGGGTCACCGGGTCTCCAGGGTCCAGTGAGCACTTCTGGCAGTGAGCAGATCATGCCCAGGCTTCTCCTTTCACCTAATCAGCCACACGAGATTTTGCTTGCACTAGAAGGCACACTGGGATCCTGAGTAGGCAGCCCTGCCCACCTGGCAGCTCTGGGCAAGGCTTGGTCCCTTCTCTCCCCCAACAGGAATGAAGGGACAGCTCAGGACCACTGGGAAGCTCACACCTCCTCTGGGTCTCCTTGTCAAAAACACACCCTGCAGGTTCTGAGTCACGAGGTCCAGGGCAGGTTGAAGAACCCGCATTGCACTGCACACCCTCCACTGACTGGCTGAGACTTGGAGCGGACATCTCGAGGCCAGGCCACCCTCTTGATATTTTTATGGGGGATAGAATAGTGGGAACAGTTCTCAGGGAGAGGCTGGGGCAAGCAGCCAGGTGCTCTGAGGTTCTCACAAGTCAGACCAGGGACCTCCTCTGTTCTGGAGAAAGTTCCCTGCTGTGCTAGCTAGGAGCCTCTCCTACAGGCACCAGGGAGTGGGGCAGGCCCCGCTTGGCCAGAATGGGATGGTGGCTGAGTTGGCCTTCTCTGACTGTGTCCACTGGCTCCTGGCTCTGTCCCTTCTCTGTAGCTATTTAGAGAGGGCTACTGCCTGATCTTCCGTGTTTTCTCCTCTCTTCCTCTCTAAAGGGAGGAGAAGTGTTCTAGACAGAGATTTCACAGGGGTTTGGTGGAGAAGTGACTTTTCTGGTTTTTCAAGACCAGAGGCTGGCTTTGGTGAGGACTCAGTAACTTTGAGCTGCTCCCTGGAAACTGCTAAGTGTGATGATGGGGCTCATCTCCACAGGATTGTCAGACATGTGTCATCACACCTGAGCTATATTTTAAAAGATTGCCTTTTAGCTTTTCATAAGTCACTCCCCCACCTCACAGGGATGGGGCAATGCCAGAACTGGTGCAAAGGCACCCTTTCTGTCCCAGTGCTTTCAGAAGTGAGTAGGAAGCCCCACGATGCTGCTGCCAGCAGCGCTCACACTCAGGTCGGCCAGGGACAAGGGCTGAATTTTGCACCTATACTCGCCACACCAGCAGGCGAGGGGCAGAGCATATTGTGCTGCCAGCACAGACTAGCTCTGCACAGCCTTAGCAGTGGCTTGGCTTTGTCCTGGGCCCAGACACATTCTCCAGAGAAGGGGCTGGGAGTAGGGACTGGACCACCTGGGACCTGCCTTGACACAGGACAGAGCCAGCCAGACTTGAACTAGAAGGGGCTGGGGGCTGACTTAAGCCACTCCAGGGCTTCCTCCTGGCCCCTCCAGTGTCAGTGCCGGACATGGTGCTTTGGACCAGCAGGCCTCAGGGACAGGTGCTGATAGGACACCCCAGAGGGTGTACCCTCCTGGTGTTGATGGGTGTGAGGACAGTGGGGGACTGTGCCCCTTGTCCTTGAAGCAGGAACGTTCTGGGGTGTGTGGCCAGCTCCTTCTCACAGCTTTCAGATTGTTCCCAAGGGCATGGAGCATGGAGCAGGTCCCTCGTGGTCTCTCATCAATTTGGAAGGCTCCAAATTGCCTTTGACACCCTGGTGAAAGGTTTGATACCCAGTGAGCTCCTAGCTGGGCATGAGCAGTGTAGCCATTTCCCTTCTTGGGGTCATGAACGTGCCACACTCTGCTTCTCTGCAGCACTTCTCCCCAGGCTCTCTGCCGCTGCTACCTCATTCACAGCTAGTGTTCTATGCCAGGATTGGGTGAATCATTTTAATGTACCCGGGCCCTGGGTCCTGCAAAACATATGTAGGAAATCAAAGGAAAGCCTGTCACCAGCCACAGCACCTCCGCAGCGGGAAGAGAAGGTGCAGGGTCGCACAGCCAGCCTCACTGACCTGCAGTTCCTGGCCACAGCCTCCAGTCCCTGTGAGAATGCAGTGGGCTGGGAGGGGAGGGGCTGGAAGGGCAGGGGGAGGAGACAGAAAGTGAAGGTCCCAGAACCAACTTGGAGGGAGGCCCACGGGGGGCCCGGGAGGTGGGCACTCCAGGAATAGGGCCACGGGGAAGGACAGAAGATGACGTTCCCTGACCTGTCAGTGGAGTGGGGCGGGTGGGGTCTGCATGGCAGCCCCTCCCTCTTCTTCAGACTGAACTACAGGCCTGCATCTGCCGAAGAGGGAGCGGGATCCTTTGGCATTTCATCTTGTGCTGTATGTGTCTTAAACACAAACCTTGCTATTGTTTTCCTCTGAAGAAACAGAGGATATTGAGACTCATTGTTTCAGTGGCGGGCCAGGGAGGGAGAAGCCGGCTGGGAGTGGCCTAAAGACTAAGTGGTTATTCGCCACTTAGTTAACATGGAGGAGGCTCCATGTTAACGCGCCTGTAATCCTGGCACTCTGGGAGGTCAAGGTGAGAGGATCACTTGAGGTCAGGAGTTTGAGATCAGCCTGGGCAACATAGCAAGACCCCATTTCTACAAAAAATGTAAACAATTAGCCAACTATGATGGCTTGCACCCATAGTCCCAGCTACTCAGGAGGCTGGGATGGGAGGATTGCTTGAGCCTGGAGGTCAAGGCTGTAGTGAGCTGTGATCGCATCACTGCCCTCCAGTGTGGGTGACAGAGTGAGAACCTGTCATCAAAACAAAAATCTCATGGCCATTTCCAAAGCTGACCCTAGACACAAGAGGTAACTGTCACACCCATGGGGGCCTGGATCTGGGCCTCAGCCAGCTCATCAAAGGAGCACCCGGCAGCTGTGGGAACGTGGGCAGGTAACTGTGCCTCAGTTTCTGCATCAGTAAAATTTGGACATAGCAGCACCTGCCTCACATAGCTACTGCCCCATAGCTATCAAGTGCTGTTATTATTAGTTGACTAATAATTTAAGCATCTGCTCTGAAACCAACTGGCCGACCTGTGCCGATGGCAGGGTCCGCAAGGCCCGCCCCCATCACCTTTGCCATAGGTGCCCTCTGTTCCATTCTCAGGCAGGTGCTGCATGAGGATTGGGATTGGGCCAGGCTGTGGAGGGCACACTTGACTTTTCCCTGGAGTCACCGAGTCCTGCACAGACACCACCTTCCTGGGGCCTTCCCAGTGGCTCTCCTCTCACCAAGAAGGAACAACTGAGGGCAGAGGTCAGTGTGTCCTCAGCTAAGAGCTTGATGGAGCAGCCAAGGGGTGGAGGACAGTGTGGCAGCCCCAGCCTGCCTTCTGCCCAGGGAGCAGGCTGCTTTCTAAGCCTCTCTGCATCACCCTGCCAGCCTGGTGCCAAGATGGGCAGGCAGAGCTTTGTGGATTCTGAGTGTGACACATAGCTACATCTGCCCGCAGGCGTAGGAATGAATTATCAGCAGGCTCAGATTAAAGCTTTCAAAAGCGATTTGTCATCAGTGTCAGTGTGTCGGCTGTATGCAAGGGCATCAGTTCAGGGAGGGGGCAGCCTCTGGCAAAAACCTGTGCCCTCACCTCCCCCAGCCTCCATCCTGGCCCCCAGCTGCTTGGCAGGAGGGCATAGTTGGATTGAGGGGCCTGGCAGGAAAGGAACCGCCGAGCTTATGGGTCTCAGGACTATTTCTAAAACCAGCCACAGACCTCCTTCATCTCCATCTGTGGTCAGGTTGGGGGCAGCAGTGGGAATGCTTCTTTGTTGGAGGTGACCCTTTAGGCCCGAGCTAACCCATCCCCTCCACCGGGAAGCCCACCCTTCTAGCACCCTTTCCTGGCACTCAGAGCACATCCTGCAGACCTTTGCTTATTGTCTGTCTCGTGCCTACACCCTAAGTCTGCCCACATCCCTGGCACAGATCAAGAACTCTGAAACATTTGTTCTCAGCAAGCATCGGTAGGGAAGGGGCTCGGGTCTCCTCTCTCACCTACCTAACACTGATGAATCATAAGATGAGTCCTTGACCTCAAAGGCGGACAGAGGGTGAAACTGACAAAGGCTGCCAGTCCCCAAGAGACTCTGGGAGTTCCATCTCCCTTGGACCCTCCCAGACCCTGGGCGGGCAGCCTTCTGTCGCCTCTGGCAGGTGTACACCTGTTTTGTTGGTTTGTTCACATTACTAACCTACCTGGTGACTCCCATAAATCCCTTTTGTTTTTCTTGCATTTAAGCCACTCCTGTCTGGTCCAGCATTTCCACGGATTTTGCCTTTTACAGGTGGCTTACCCAGTATTTTCACAGAACCTCTTGGTTTCTGTTTATCCTGCTGGGTAAGGCCAGCAGGTGTAGATGTGGTAGGCAGAATTTTCCATTCAAATGAAGACATGCCTATCAGAAAGCCCCTAGATTTGTGGATCTGAGAGGAGTTTTTGTGCATTCAGGAACTAGTGACCATCCTCTAGCTCATGAGGGAGGTGGGTGTTAAGTCAGCAGTCACTTTGTCCTGCTGGCAGCGTGTGCTATGGGAGAGGCTTCCCTGGGGCTCAAGGGGGGTGAGATTGCAAGCCTGAACAGGGGGCTCTTCCCAGTCCAACTTGCCTTGTTAATATAAACTATGGCCCTCCACTCAGCTCTTAGATTTTTTTTTTTTTTTTTTTTGAGACAGAGTCTTGCTCTGTCGCCCAGGCTGGAGTGCAGTGGCATGATCTCGGCTCACTGCAACCTCTGCCTCCTGGGCTCACGCCATTCTCCTGCCTCAGCCTCCTGAGTAGCTGGGACTACAGGCGCCCACCACCACACCCGGCTAATTTTTTGTATTTTTAGTAGAGACGGGGTTTCACCGTGTTAGCCAGGATAGTCTCAATCTCCTGACCTCGTGATCCGCTCACCTCAGCCTCCCCAAGTGCTGGGATTACAGGCGTGAGCCACCGTGCCCAGCAACAGCTCTTCGATCTTTTAATCCCAAATCTCTATCCCCTTCTTCACAAACTGATCCAAACCCGCTGAGTCCTGCTCTTGCCTTCAGATTAGATAAGGAACACTGTCTAAGGCTAGCTGGGGGTGATGATGGCATGAGGGGTCCCTCTGGGAGGAAGAAGCCTGCTAATGAAGAGGCCAGGAGGGGAGAGTGACTGGTGTAGGTAAACCAAGTCAGGTCCCAGCCCCGCTCCCAGGGTTCTCTTTGGTAGCAGTCCCAGGGGTCAGACTCCCAATAATCTGCCTTTTCAGTTGATGCAGGGAGAGGGTCACCACCCAGAGAATCTCGGACCCCTCCCCCGATCTCTCCTCATGGGCTCAGGTGGGGATCTTGTGCCAACTACCGGGCTCTGTACCTGTCCTGTGTGACGTTTGGTATCTGGTCACCATTGCTCAGACACTGACACTTTCACCAGGCCTGAATCCACCCTTGGTGGACCCAGAACTGCTCCAGTGGGGACTGTGGCAAGACTGCATGAGAGAGGAGAGGAAGGGAGAGATGGGCTACGTTCATTAAAGTGTGTCTTTGAATGAGATCCATTTCCCTGGGTGTGCCTGCCTTAGTGTTGACCATGCCACTGTCAGCATCTGTTAAATGCGTGAGTGAATGAATGAATGAATGACCAAGTGAGTGAGTCAGTGAGTGAGTAAGAGAGTGAGTGACTGAGTGACTAACTGAGTGACTGAGTGAGTGAGTGACTGAGTGAGTGACCAAGTGAGTGAGTGAGTGGCTGAGTGAGTGACCGAGTGAGTGACTGAGTGAGTGAGTGACTGAGTGAGTGACTGAGTGACTGAGTGTGTGAGTGAGTGACTTAGTGACTGAGTGAGTGACTGAATGGGTGAGTGAGTGAGTGAGTGACTGAGTGACTGAGTGAGTAACTGAGTGGGTGAGTGAGTGACTGAGTGAGTGACTGAGTGACTGAGTAGGTGAGTGACTGAGTGAGTGACTGAGTGACTGAGTGACCGAGTGAGTGAGTGACTGAGTGAGTGAATGAGTGACTGAGTTACTGAGTGAGTGAATGAGTGACTGAGTGGGTGAGTGAGTGACTGAGTGGGTGAGTGACTGAGTGGGTGAGTGAATGAGTGAGTGAGTGGGTGAGTGAGTGACTGAGTGGGTGAGTGAGTGAGTGAGTGACTGAGTGAGTAACTGAGTGGGTGAGTGAGTGACTGAGTGAGTGACTGAGTGACTGAGTAGGTGAGTGACTGAGTGACTGAGTGACCAAGTGAGTGAGTGACTGAGTGAGTGAATGAGTGACTGAGTGGGTGAGTGAGTGACTGACTGGGTGAATGACTGATGGGTGAGTGAATGAGTGAGTGAGTGGCTGAGTGAGTGACTGAGTGGGTGAGTGAGTGACTGAGTGAGTGAGTGACTGAGTGATTGACTGAGTGAGTGAGTGACTGAGTGAGTGACTGAGTGGGTGAGTGAGTGACTGAGTGACTGAGTGAGTGACTGAGTGACTAACTGAGTGACTGAGTGACTGAGTGAGTGACTGAGTGACTGAGTGAGTGAGTGAGTGAGCAAGCGAGTGAGTGACTGAGTGAGTGAGTGAGTGACTGAGTGAGTGAGTGACTGAGTGACTGAGTGAGTGAGTGGGTGAGTAACAGAGTGAGTGAGTGACTAAGTAAGTGAGTGAGTGAGCAAGCGAGTGAGTGAGTGACTGACTGAGTGACTGAGTGAGTGAGTGAGTGGGTGAGTGAGTGACTGAGTGAGTGACTGAGTCAGTGAGTGACTGAGTGGGTGAGTGAGTGACTGAGTGAGTGACTGAGTGAGTGACTGAGTGACTGTGTGAGTGACTAAGTGAGTGAGTGAGTGACTCAGTGAGTGAGTGACTGAGTGACTGAGTGTGTGAGTGACTGACTGAGTGAGTGAGAGACTGAGTGACCGAGTGGGTGAGTGAGTGACTTGGTGAGTGAGTGACTGAGTGAGTGAGTGAGTAACTGAGTGAGTGAGTGACTGAGTGAGTGAGTGAGTGACTGAGTGAGTGACTGAGTGGATGAGTGAGTGACTGAGTGACTGTGTGAGTGACTGAGTGAGTGAGTGAGTGACTCAGTGAGTGAGTGACTGAGTGATTGAGTGTGTGAGTGACTGACTGAGTGAGTGAGAGACTGAGTGACCGAGTGGGTGAGTGACTTGATGAGTGAGTGACTGAGTGGATGAGTGAGTGACTGAGTGACTGTGTGAGTTACTGAGTGAGTGAGTGAGTGACTCAGTGAGTGAGTGACTGAGTGACTGAGTGTGTGAGTGACTGACTGAGTGAGTGAGAGACTGAGTGACCGAGTGGGTGAGTGAGTGACTTGGTGAGTGAGTGACTGAGTGAGTGAGTGACTGAGTGAGTGAGTAACTGAGTGAGTGAGTGGCTAAGTGAGTGAGTGACTAAGTGAGTGAGTGAGTGAGCAAGTGAGTGAGTGACTGAATGAGTGACTGAGTGACTGAGTGAGTGACTGAGTGAGTGACTGAGTGGGTGAGTGAGTGACTGAGTGAGTGAGTGAGTGACTGAGTGAGTGAGTGGGTGAGTGAGTGACTGAGTGAGTGACTGAGTGACTGAGTGAGTGAGTGAGTGACTGAGTGACTGAGTGAGTGACTGAGTGACTGAGTGGGTGAGTGACTGAGTGAGTGAGTGAGTGACTGAGTGACTGAGTGAGTGAGTGACTGTGTGACTGAGTGAGTGACTGACTGAGTGAGTGACTGAGTGACTGAGTGGGTGAGTGACTGACTGAGTAAGAGACTGAGTGAGTAAGTGACTGACTGACTGAGTGAGTGACTGAGTGAGTGAGCAAGTGAGTGAGTGACTGAGTGAGTGACCGAGTGACTGAGTGAGTGAGTGAGCAAGTGAGTGAATGACCGAGTGACTGAGTGAGTGACTGAGTGGGTGAGTGAGTGACTGAGTGGGTGAGTGAGTGACTAAGTGAGTGACTGAGTAGGTGAGTGAGTGACCGAGTGACTGAGTGAGCAAGTGAGTGAGTGACTGAGTGAGTGACCGAGTGACTGAGTGAGTGACTGAGTGGGTGAGTCAGTGACTGAGTGAGTGAGTGACTGAGTGACTGAGTGGGTGAGTGAGTGAGTGAGTGACTGATTGAGTGACTGAGTGAGTGAGTGAGTAAGTGTCTGAGTGACTGAGTGAGTGAGTGAGTGAGTGAGTGACTGAGTGACTGAATGGGTGAGTGAGTGACTTGGTGAGTGAGTGAGTGACTGAGTGAGTGACTGAGTGAGTGAGTGAGTGAGTGACTGAGTGACTGAGTGAGTAAGTGTCTGAGTGACTGAGTGGGTGAGTGACTGAGTGAGTGACTGAGTGACTGAGTGGGTGAGTGAGTGAGTGAGTGACTGAGTGAGTGAGTGAGTGAGTGACTGACTGACTGACTGAGTAACTGAGTGAGTGAGTGAGTGAGTGAGTGACTGAGTGAATGGGTGAGTGAGTGAGTGACTGAGTGACTGAGTGAGTGAGTGAGTGAGTGAGTGGGTGAGTGAGTGAGTAAGTGACTGAGTGACTGAGTGGGTGAGTGACTGAGTGAGTGACTGAGTGACTGAGTGGGTGAGTGAGTGACTTGGTAAGTGAGTGACTGAGTGAGTCAGTGACTGAGTGGGTGGGTGAGTGACTGAGTGAGTGAGTGACAGTGGGTGAGTGAGTGACTGAGTGAGTGACTGAGTGAGGACTGAGTGAGTGAGGACTGAGTGAGTGACTGAGTGAGTGACTGAGTGACTGAGTGAGGACTGAGTGAGTGACTGAGTGAGTGAGTGGGTGAGTGAGCGAGTGAGTGACTGAGTGAGTGAGGGAAGCTTCCCTCTGGCTTGCTGGGACTGAGTTCCTTCGTACCAGGAGGTAGGTAGGGCTAACACAAATAAAGAAGCCAAACGGTGTTACTCCTTGCCTCTCAGAACTGGAACAGAGTCCCCTATCCTCCCTCTCAGATGCATTTTCTTAGGGGAAGAGCCGCAGGACTTTGCGGAAGCCTTCAGCATTTAGGGGTCTTGGGTCTTCCCCTGACCTCCTGCTCTGTGCATATTCATTCTCCTACCACCTGGTGCTCGGTGCCCTCTTAACTTCATCCGGGCATCAAAGCCTGTTGTGCCATTTACTTGCTCTACAGTAGCTCATCCTTAACCCAGCTCTACCTACCTACACACACACACACACACACGTGCATTCACATGCACACACATGCATGCACGTGCACACACATATACACAGGCATACACAGGCACATGCACACATACATATACACATGCATATGCGGCACCATACACATACATACACATGCACAGACATACACACATACATACATGAATACACACCTGCACGCAAACACATACACATGCATACAGAGAAGTACACACATGTGCATACATACACATACTTATAGGCACATGCATGCACATATACACAAGCATACATGTACACACACACACACATACACATACATACGCACAGAAAAATGCTTCCTACCCTCTATCTCACTCTTAGAATGATTAGCTTTAAATCAATCAACCCATAGAGCTGGGCAAAGCCTGCTGAGCCTCTCCTGAACCACACAGTTGTTTTTCTGGTCAGATGACCTACACAAAATGTCCTCCTGGCATTGAAATAACCCTTGGCTGCTAAGACGACTCAGTGAGTGAATAGATTGCCAGAAACATGAGTGGGGGGTGCTCCTCCTGGTGGCCTTGGGAAAGCACAGAAGGGCTGGGAGCTTCCCGCAGTCCTCCCAGCAGACGGGGATGAGTCCACATGCCTCCCTCGTCTGGCGGGGACATCTCTTCTTTTCCTTTCTGGGGAGATGATTTTTGCCACTTGACCTAAGTGGCAGGGGAGCTCAACAATGGTGCACAGCCTCTGTTCTGTGGCTGGTTTCCTTTACACCTCAAGAATTCAAGGCACAAACTGTTGTTCACATATGCCTTTAAAGGCACACACCACGTGCTCGGTGCTGTTGGGAATTCTGATGCTGGGCTCTGGGGACCACACCACCAGGTGTGTAGATGGAAAGCCTTGCCTGGGAAGACCTCTTTGGTTCATGTCTTGATGTGTCCTTGGAAGAATTTCCGTTTGTGGAGGCCCTAACAGAGTGAAATGGAGCCCCAGAAAAATATCCAGAGAATTTGAGCAAGCCCTCTGCATTGCCTCTGTTACCCAGCCCTGCAGCGGAAACACTGGGGACTGTGGATGAAGAGTTCTTTCAGCCACAGGGAATGGAAACTCCAGACGAATCTCAAGAATGTGCCAGAGAATGCGTCTTCCCGTCCTTGATGACCAGGCCCGTTGTTGGAAGGAAGGCCGGCTCATATCTTAGTGCCCTTTGTGCTTCCTTGTGCGGGTCAGGCACATTTTTCTCAACTTTTGGTTTCTGGAGACCATAGGTTTTCTCTTTTTGATTCTTTTGAGGTTGTTTTAAAATTCTGGCTCTTTTTGGACAAGTTTTGGAGTAGATGATTGTGTGTATTGAGATCATATTCAGACTGCTGGGATTTTTCACATAGTTACAGAAGAGGCTGCTTCATCTAATGACAGTTGTGACAACAAGCGCTTAGTGGCAGCCGGGTGCTGGTCCCCTGCAGATATAACCTGAGTCACAACTACTGTTATCACTACTTTTCAGATGAGGGGACAGAGAGATTCAATAACTTGCCCAGGGACAGCAGGTCACCCAGCTAGTGACACAGCTCACTTCAAACTCGTCAACCCTGGCTCCCAAGTGCACACCCTTAACCACCTCTTAAGCACCCTGGCTGCCTCCCATGATTAATTTGGAAAGAAAACATGAGAAGCTTCTCCAAGTTCACACAAGAGCTCCCAGGAAGACAATTCCTGACAGATTTTTTTTTTCACAAACATCATTTCATTGGGTAGACCATGGATGTGAACTCTGGAAACTTTTTGTCCAGTTTTGTACATTACCCCATGTTCTTAGAGAAGCTCAACTCTGCTAACCCCCCGACAACTGGACAGAATTAAAGATGGGTGGTTTCCAGCTCTGTCATACCAGGGTTGGGAGGGGCCTCCAAACGCCCATGCACCCTCTCAGTCCCCATCCTGAGACAGTGAGGCTGCATCTCAGAGTTCAGAGGAAACCCAAGGACGAGCTAGTCTCATGTTCCAGGCAAGAAAGGGTTCCAAGCTCGAGGAGAAGAGAGGAGAGGAGGGGAAAGGAGAGGAAACACTAGGGCGACATTTTGCACTGAGAGGCTGGGCAGGACCTGGAGGGGGGCAGTCGGCTGGCATCGCTGGAAGGCAGGCAGGGCCTTGAGACAGGAGCCGTTTCCTCTTCTGTCTTACAGGAGTTACAGAGCATCGCCCATGGCCTTATGTTACGGCAACACATCACGAGGCCTTGGCCAAGAGTCTGGGACATCTGCCCCATCACTCTGCTTCTTTCATGGGAATCAGACTCTGGGCATGAGCCCTGGGCTTTGGTGGTTTTTTTCTAAAGGTGCCCCAGGTGACTTAATGTATAGTCAGGGCTGAGGAGGATAGAGTGTTTGCTGAGGCCCCACTCCCATCTTCTAACTCAAGGCCCTGGGACTCAGAGCACTCAACCCTTATCCCTCTGCAGCCACCCAACTGGAGACCTTTGAGATCACCCAGCCAGCTGTCCCATCTCTATTTTGATGGACAGTAACAGGGTGCAGCTGTGGGGTCGGAGGAAGTCTGGCCAGTTGGCAGAAACAAAGGGGACACAGCACCGTGCCTCCAGGGTGCCAATAATGTTTTCAAAATAATTGCCTCTTTGCACTGCCACCTGGAGGCTGGGAGCCACCTGGAGTCTCCTTGATGAAAGGAAATGCTTGAACCCTCACATACTCCCTTGCTCTGGACAAATATTTGGCCAGCGGGGTCCTGAGGCCAGGCTGGAACAGATTGCTCTGTGCCCAGGAGTGCCTTAACTCCCTGGTGTGGGTGCCCTTCTTACTCTGTTTGCTCTCTGTACATTTAGTAGGTGGAGCAGGGCAGGAACCAGATTTGACTCATGGTTTACAACAAATCTCAGCTTTGCACACAGCGGGGCTGGAGGCTCACCCTCCCTGGAGCCCCACCTTCTGCTACTCCTTGACCCAAGCCCGGCTGCCCAGCCTTCAGCCTCCAAAGCCCTCACAGCTGCTTCAGCATCCTCTGAGCTTGGCATGTGCCCTTTCTGCCCTCTGGAGAGCCCCTCCCAGTCCTTTGGCCTGGTTAACCAGTTAGGTCCACCTCTCTCTCCAAGGCTCGACTGACCCTATGCACCTGTCCAGGCTGCTCTGCCCACTCGGGGCTGGTTGTCCACCTGCATGTTAAGTGGCTGCTTATGCATCTGTTTCCACTGAGCTGTCAGCCTCCTGCATGAACGACAACTTATTCCCAGGTATTGGTAGTGCTGGGCTCAGTGCCAGAAGCTTCATACTCACATCTGTAGTTTTAGCCAGTTCACACCAGCCCCCAGTGTGGGGAGACTGCTGTGAGTTGCCATTTGCAGAGAGGAAGCTGGGGCCAAGAGGCAGAATCACTTGCTGCAGCGTCCCACAGTGACTTCGGAGGACAGCTCCTCTGAGAACGGGAGTCCCCTGCCAAGGGGAGGGAGCTGGCAGGGCGCCTCTGCATTAGAATTCTCCCAGAGAAGACCGCGGCAAAGGCCTGTGCTCCAAAGGCAAGGGGCATGACTCAGCTGAGGCAACAGCTGTTTCTGTTCCACAGACACCTAGCCGGGAATGAAATCTCTCCTGACTCGGCTGTGCCTTTCCCGTATCCTCCTCTTCTTCTCAGGATTGCTCTTCACCCTCCTCCGCCCTGTCCCCCAGATGGCCCCTGTGACCCTGGGCTCTGCAGTCCTCCCTGGGCATCTCCTGGGCAGTGCTGAGCGGAAGGTCGACCGCCCCACTGCCCATCCCCTGGGAGCAAACCCCTGGCTTTCATGATGTCATCTGTGCTGAGACATCTGTGACTACCTTCACCTTCATATGTTTCTGGGACAGGCAAGGACTGGTGTAAGAGCGTCCCTAGGAACGTGGTTCCTCAGAGGCTTCTGGGTTGGAGGCTCCAGGGACATGAGACACACTCACCCAGGGCCCCCTGAATGGTGGGGTCCAAAAGGGGCACTGTGCAGCTGCAACGGTAGAGATATTCTGTGTAAGTCCCCTTGAGAGAGAATTTCTCACCTGAAGACATTATACTAAATGAAAGAAGTGAGCCACAAAAGTCCATATGTTGAATGATTCCATTCATATGAAAGTTCAAAATATGGAAGTTTGTAGAGATAGAAAGTAGATTAGTGGTTGCTTGGAATGGGGGCAGGGAAGCCACAGCTCATGGGATTTCTTTCCAAGGTGATGACAATGTTCCAAGATTGACTGTGGTGATGGACGCACGTATCTGCGAATATTCTGAAAACCAGGGAATCATACCCTTTCAATGGGGGAACTGCATGGGCTGTGAATTATAGCTCATAAAGCTGTTTAAGAAAAGAAAAAGATAATGTCTCCCCACCATCTCACTATGAAACATACTGCTATAAATATACCATGCAAAGGAAAAAAGTCGGCCTCATTTTTTAAAGGACTCACTTGCAAGGTGATGCCCCCAGAGGCTGGGTGGGGTCCTGAGATCTGTCAGGAGCTGGGGTTAAACCCATAGTGGGCTTTGTTCTATGGACAACTGTGGACAAGGTTCCCACTATAGACTGCAGGAACCTGCGAGCCAGTGTGGGGAGCATGGAATTTCCCAGGGAGCTGGAAAATAGTCTTCATCAGGTTGGTAAAAGCACACACTGGAACAGGGCAGAGTCTGGCCTGACCTCAAGGCCCTCCGCGCAGCTGCCGGAAGCTCAGAGCCCAGGCTGTGGCTGCAGCCAGCAAGGTGCACACAGGAGGCTGTGACCAGCTCTCCACACACTGACTTCCCCTCACTTTTCCTGCCATTGATTCCTCACACCAGTCACATCTTAAGCCACGTGGGAAGAATGGAGTGGAGTGAGATGACTCTGCAGACAGGAGCTGAGGACTACCTTCTCAGATTTGCCATTTCCAGCTGCCATCTGTGCATTAATTTACCTCATATGTATTTTACAGTTAATTTTTCCCAAAATAATGACATTGCAACCATAAGCATAGAAACAATGTCACTATCCGGTTTACCTTTGCCTATCCACGCTATTAGAGAACTCCAGACACCTGGCTCCACCCTGAGCCCTTCTTGCCTTCATCAGAAAAACCAAAGAGAGTAAAGGAGGAGGAAAATCGTTTCCTCACTGTGAAATTCAGTGTTCCTCGATAGCATGTGTATAGGTCACCCGTAAGCGCCTCTGGCCCACGGGGTCCCACTGGGATTCCATAACGGAGTCTCTTCCCAACCATGTGCAACCCAAGCTGCTCCTTTGGGGTTTGGTTCATAAGTGGCTCTAGTTCAGCCACACCCAGGTACCAGGAGACCAAGGCCCGTTAGCTGACTTGGACACCGATGCATGGCTGGATGGGTCTTCTCCTGGTCCCCACCAGTGAGGCAGCTGTGAGCAAGGCAGACCTCAAGCCCACCATCACCTGGTCAGGGAAAGCGCCATGTTATCCCTAACCCAATATACCTGTGTTTGTGCTGAGTGCTACAGAGAAGACGTGCAGGACTCCCTGAGACTGTGTGAACGAGGAAGCAACTTAAATTGGTCCTCCTGGGAGGGTCACGTAGCCACCAGGCAAAAGGCACTTAGGAGAGGGGTTCCCAGGCCAGGGCCTCCCTCTTCCCACTGGATGTGCCCGCTGGATCCTCCTCCTATTTCTCCATGCCACCCTCGCATGCCTCCTGAATCCAAGCCCTGCCTGTACCAATGTGCTCCTGTCCCTCCGTCAGTGCCCGTTATGGAAAAGGCCACATAATCTGTTGAATCTTAAACTCAACTGTGGATGAAATCTACACACACATCTTATTCCATGGTGGTCTGGGCATTTTTATTTAATTGATTTTGCTCCCATTTTTGTAAGATGCACAGTGCATCCCACCGGCCCTGCCACGTGCCTTCAGGCAACCTAAGATCCATCAGCAGAGGACGCTTTCTGGTCAGAGATGCCCACATCTGATTCCTTAGGGACAACTTGGTTTTAATAAATCCAAAGTCTTCATTGCACTGATTTTTCTACCCAAATGCAATTCTCTCCTGATTGCTTCTCAGTCAAGCAGCTCAGAGAACACCTGTGAAGACAGCGGTATCTCTCACCCAGCAGGTGGGCAGCAGGTGCAGGGAGGTGGGGGGGTCAAGGTGCTATGTGAATTCAAACCACAGGGGACATAGGCCTGGGAGGGCAGCCCCATCCTCAGCCCCCCAGACACTTCTGTAGTACCTTGGAGACTTTTGGCTGCAAAGGAATCTCCACATAGGCCTGGAGTGCTTCGAGCCCAGTCCTCATCCAAGTGGGGAACATGTGGATGAGGCTGAGCTGATTCTTACTGGGTGGGGGTGGCGCTGGGGGAGATGAGGAGAAGGGAAAGAGAAGTGCAGAAAGTCCCCGCTGGGGTTTGTACACGCCTGTCCACAGTGAGGAACGGAGTTTGTACGTACCCATCCGCGGTGGGGAGCGGGTTTGTATGTGTCCATCCACGGCGAGGAGCGGGGCTGGGCTACTGAGGGGTGCTACTGGCCCCCATGTCTGCTCCTCTTTGACTGTATGGGGCTCACTGACCCTGGCGACATCAACTGGGGTGTATTCTGGATAACCACGGGACTGTACTTTCCTCATGCCCATCCTCAGCCATCCAAAGAGACAAGGCTGTCCTTGGTTACTCCATTCCAACTCCAAATCTGATCATCAGAACACTTCCTGGACTTGGGAATATAAACAGTTGAATCCAGAAAAAGAAATAATGAGCAAGAGAAAGAAAGAGAGAGAAAGAGAAAGGGAGAGAGAGAGAGAAAGAGAAAGGGAGAGAGAGAGAGAAAAGAAAGAGAGAGAGAGAAAGAGAGAGAAAGAAAGAGAGAAAGAGAAAGAAAGAAAGAGAAAAAAGAAAGAAAGAAAGAAGAAAGAAAGAAAGAAAAAGAAGGAAGGAAGGAGAGGGAGGGAGGGAAGAAGAAATGAAGGAAAGAGAGAGAGAGAAAGAAAGGAAGGGCAGGGCAGGGGACTACTGACAGTGTGGTTAATTTGTTTTGCCAAATAAAGACCAAAAAGATCTGCTGGTCACTACCATTGCATAAAGGAAAGGACATTTTAATATCAAAGCAAGTAGGAGGGCTAGAATATCAGAAGAAATAGCAGCTCTTCTCATGACAATACCAAATGGCATAAATCCTTTCTCAGAATGATGAATTACTTAACTTCCACCTACCTCAGTTTCCTCATCTGGCAAACAGGTCAGCATTGCTCAGAGGGTTACTGTGAGAATCACTGAGTTATTATTTGTAAAGTGCTTAGGATAGTGCCTGGAATGTAGGTCTGATATAAGTGTTTGTTAAATAAAAAAATTAAACCCATATTTAAAAAGTTACTCAGGCCAGGTGCAGTGGCTCACGCCTGTAATCCCAACCCTTTGGGAGGCTGAGGAGGGCAGATCACCTGAGGTCAGGAGTTCAAGACCAGCCTGGCCAACATGGTGAAACCCCGTCTCTACCAAAAATAGAAAAATTAGCTGGGCATGGTGGCATGCACCTGTAATCCCAGCTACTCAGGAAGCTGAGGCATGAGAATCACTTGAACCCAGGAGGCAGAGGTTGCAGTGAGCCACACGCCACTGTACTCACGCCTGGGTGACAGAGCAAGACTCTGTCTCAAGAAAAAAAAGTTTTAAAAAGTTAATCAGGGCAAGCGTGCCGGGGATTGGGATTGAGATCCAGCACAGGGCCCTGGGGGGACTAAAGATGCATTTTTGCAGAGGAAAATGCCTGCCCTGTTCTCTTTGCCTGCTTCCTGTGTTTTTGCACTCCAGTCACCCCATGTGACCGCTGGTCGGGGGCCCTTCCTGGGCTGGGGCTCTCCTCTAGGCCAAAACTCACCCCTCCTCCTCCCCCGCAGATCTTCGGGGGCCTGGTGTGGATCCTGGTGGCCTCCTCCCTGGTGCCCTGGCCCCTGGTCCAGGGCTGGGTGATGTTCGTGTCTGTGTTCTGCTTCGTGGCCACCACCACCTTGATCATCCTGTACATAATTGGAGCCCACGGTGGAGAGACTTCCTGGGTCACCTTGGTGAGTCCAGCCCAGGGTGGCTGCTGGTTGTAGGGGGGCGCAGGAAGTACTGGTCCCTGGCCCAGTAGGATGGGCTTTTCCAGTGCCAGGTGAGACTTCTCCGTAGATGTCACCCCACCATGTTCCAAGGCTGAGCCTGCCCAGGGCTCCTGGCAGCAGAATCAGGAGAGGCAGGGGCAGAGGCAAGGTCGCCGCTGCCAACCCTCACTGGACCTGTTCTGTGTTCTCCTGCATGACTGCCTTTCCATGGATAACCAGCTGCCCAGCCCCCACACCACCTGTACCCGCCAGGTGCCTGCCTGCCCCTCCCATCACCTGCAAGGGCTGTTTTCACCTCAAGGCAGCAGGGCCCCAGAGGCCGACCAAGGTGTTGGGCTCCAGAAATTGGCCCTGGCTCTGAGGGTCAGGCCATGCTTACTGTCCAGCTCCTCAGCCACTGCCTTCCAAGCAGGGCTGCCAGAGAGCACTGGGAAACAGAAGCGGCCTTTGGTCATTATTCTGTATAAATTCTGCTTTGAGACCCATGAAAAGGTAACTTTTACATGTAGGACACTTGCCTGTTACCTGCTGTAGGGGTGGTGGGGCCATTTGGCCAAGGCTGTCACTCTCAAAAGCTCTGCTACTTAGACTTTTGAAATCACTTCCAAATCACAACTACACAAAACCCTGTTTTAGTACCTTTTTGCTTTCATTTATTACTTTATTTTGAGTTGGGGGTCTCATTCTGTCACCCAGGCTGGAGTGCAGTGGCGCAATCTCATCTCACTGCAGCCTCAACCTCCCAGGCTCAAGTGATCGTCCTGCCACAGCCTCCTGAGTAGCTGGGACTACAGGCATGTGCCACCACACCCAGCTAAGATGTATTGTTTTGTGTAGAAATGGGGATCTAACTATGTTTCCCAGGCTGGTCTCAAGTCCTGGCCTCAAGAGATCCTCCTGCACCAATCTCCCAAAGCTCTAGGATTACAGTCATGAGCCACCACGCCCAGCCCTTTTTTGCTTTTAAATATACCAGGGGCCAAAAATAAGCAATGAAACAAAACAAAACAAAACAAAACAAAACGAAAGAAACAGCATGGTCCTCCCTCACCCTGCACTGGTCAGCGAGGCCACACCCAACCTGGACTGTGGCCATGCACGACACTTCTCAGATCCAGGACCAGCTTTTCCCTGGGACACCCCAAGCTGCTGGCCCTTCCTCCACCTCTCCCTTGACCCTTCCTCAGGGGAGACCAGTGTCCCATCCCCAGCAAAGTGCTCACTCTGGCCCCACAGCAGTGAAGTGAGACTCAGCACAGCAGGGCAGGCATGGGACCTCCGTGACAAGGTTGGGAGGGGTGGGATTCAAAGGAAGTGGGGGGAGAGGCAAGGGGCGGGGGTGGAGGGGACCTCAGCTCTGCATCTGGGCCCCGTCTCTCTCTCCCCATCCCTCTGACACCCCGTCTGCCCCATAGGACGCAGCCTACCACTGCACCGCTGCCCTCTTTTACCTCAGCGCCTCAGTCCTGGAGGCCCTGGCCACCATCACGATGCAAGACGGCTTCACCTACAGGCACTACCATGAAAACATTGCTGCCGTGGTGAGTCCGGGCACCTGGGGCTGTGTCCACAGCGGGCGGCTCCGTGGCTGGCAGGGTGTGTGTGGAGGCTGCCTAGGCCCTTGGTCTGTTTTCAGTTCACTAACTTTTGAGTGAGGTCAAACCTTGCCTTCATGCCTGGAGCAGGAAAGCCCCCGAGAAGGGCAGTGTCATGTTGTGCCCAAGACTCCGCTTAGTCGTCCGGCCAGGGCTGCATGCCCCAGGCCTGCGTGGGCTTTGCAGAGGGCAGATGTGTGAGGGGATGCGGCTGCCCAGCGCCCTGTCCGAGTGCTCCCTGAACAATCTTATTTAACATCCATGGCAACCCTACAACCCAGGATTATGACACCCATCTCACAGATGGAGAAGTGGGGCCAGAGAGTGTGACTGGCCCAAGATCACCAGTCATTGTGGGACCTGGCATCAACGCTGGAGGCCCAGTCCCCACACTCTCAGCACCAGTTTGGGGCTGTGAGTCTGACCTCATGGGTCTCCTGACTCTCCCCAAGTGGTCGTCCATTGAAGCATCCAGCCAGGGGTGGGGACGCTGAGGCCAGGTGGATTTTCTTCTTAATGGACTGGATCAGAATGACAGGGTAACAGAATATATTGTTTCATCACATGTTTTTCAGAGCTGTGCATGTGTGCCCTTGCACCAGTCTACGATATAAAACATGCTTCTGACCATGGGTATTGTTAAAAAGTAAGAAGTTTCAGAAAGAGCACTCTTCAGATCTCTAGAACTTAACCTATGAATTATGCAAATCCCAAGGTAGAATGTGGTGACAGATCCTGAGATACCAGCTCTAGTAGCCAAAGCTGTGTCATCCCCTCTTTTTGGAAAGTGTAGGGCAGAGGCTGAGAGAAGACCCACAGATAGGCTTTAGAAATGGGGTTGGTGAAGTGCCTCTTCCCACTCCCAGAAGGAGGGCCCCAGGGGAAAATCCCTCAAAGCCTCACTTGCTGGTCCCCTTGCACAGTCCCCTGCCCTGGGGAAACCACACACTGCCCTCAAGCTCCCAGCCTACAATCGCTCCCCTAAAAAGGGCCCCCTCAGGATCCTGGCATCCCCCCAGGGGTCCCGCGGTGTGGAAACATCTCCCGTGTTGGCCCATCTCCCAACATGGCTGGTTTCCAAGCAGCAGCACAGCCAGGGGGCATCTTGACTGATCTTCCTTCCTGGGGAGGCTGGTGAGCCACCCTCCATCTTCTTCACACAATTCCATCTCATCTCCCTCTCCCAAGACTGCCTCATACCTCCCCCATCCCAGCCAAGCCTTCTCTTTTAACAAACATCAACAAAGTGTCTGACAATAATTTCCATAAAATTGTTGTGAACAAAGGTTGCGAAATGTAGATGGGATGTGGTTAGTGGGTCAGCACTTGATGGAAAAACCCAGCTAGGGGAATGAACACCCCTTCCCGCTGGGCAGGTCTCTAGTTGAGAACCACTAGGCTCTACTGCCTTCTGACTTTCCTCTTTTACCTTTTATCAAAGGCAGCACACAGCCAGAGAGGTGTGCAGTTACAAGCCCACAGCTTGATGGATTTCATACAGCGAACTCCCTGTGTGGATGGTGTCTGGACTAAGAATTAGGGCCAGTTACCAGCGCACAGTCTGATGAATTCTCATAGAGCAAACTCCCCAGTGTAGTTGGCATCTGGACTAAGAATTAGGGCCTGATAAACAACTCCCAGAAATCCCCTCAAGTCCTGTCCCCATCACTGTGCACCCCCACCACCACCCAATTCTGATTTCTAGCACCATGTTCAGTTTTGCCTGCCTTTGAACTTCATATAAGTGGAATTATACAGTGGGTACTCATGTGTGGCTTCTTTCTCTCACCCTTGTGTTTGTGAGACTCACCCAAGTGGCTGGGTGTAGATGTGGGTTGTTTGTTCTCATTACTGTATAGTATTCCCTTGTAGGAATAGACCAACATCTATTTATCCATCCCATGACTGACCATGTTCCCATTTTTTTTTAGTTGAGTTGGATAGACACGAATATGTTCACGCAGACAGGAGCGTTAGAATTGAGAACCAGAGTGTTCTCAGCTGGCAGATGTGCCCAGATAAAACCACCAAGGGGAAATCTGCACGGCGTTCGATGTAAAGTCACACCTTTCAACTCACGGTATCAACTGCATCCGTCTGTGAGAGAGAAAGAAGTTCGTTACTCAGGATTCAATCCCAGACCCGCCCAACCACAGCATGCCCAGTCCAGGGGATACTTGGGTACAGGGAGGCACCTCACACCCTCTCTCACACAGCCTGGTTTTGGAAGCAGCCAGCCTGCCTCACATCCACTGTGTGGCTACTAATTAGGGTCTGTTCCAAGCTGAGCTCCTCCCTCTCTCCTTTGTGGGTGGCGGAGCTGCTTTGCCAAAGGGACCCCAGGGATGGGTGGAAGTCGCCTGGGGCGAGATGGAAATTTCTGGAGAAATCTGGAGGTTTCTAGATTATACAATGGTGGGCAGTGATGGCTACAGTTTAGGGAGAGGGCTTTCTGAAGCCAAAATTTGCCCATTCGTGCCCAGCTCTACGTGTTCCCAGTGGGCCATTTCTTGACCCCACTTGGAAAATGAGTCTCCACTGCTCTTCCTGCTGGGGACTTCCAAGGTGCTTCTGCCAAAGGCTTTCATTGGTCTGGAATGCCCACCTTTTATGGAGGGCTGCCCACTGGTGTCTGACTGCTCCTGCCCAGATACGTTCTCTTAAATGTGTTATTCAATAATTCAGCTTACTCACCGCCTCCAGGCAATGAGGGAAAGGGCTTGGCCAGGTGTAGGGGCAGGAGAGCAGGCACCCTGAGGGCTGGGATTGATGAGCATTTTCAGGAGTCACAGAGGCGTAGCCGCCCTAAATGGACGTCGTGCCTGAGCTGGAAACTCTTGACCCCTAACCAAGGTCACAAAACCAGGTGCAGAGATTGGACTTGGCAGCAGGCAGGCCTTCAGGGAGTAGGGTGATGGGAGCAGACAGTGCCCAGGAGGACACAGCAAGTCCCCAGAAAGCAGGGCCATCGCTCCAAGGGCCACAGTGGCTGACTGGATGGTCCCAACAGTAAGGCCCCTCCTTTAGACAAAAGCTCAAAATCCCTTCTCCCCTTCTCTGTCCCTCACTTCCTATGAAGTCTGGCTCTCTCAGCCACACCTGTGATATTAAGAATCCTAAAACAAAATAATGATAGGGTGAGAATGTCCAGGCAGCATGGAGACTTTCACCAGGGCCAGCAAACCCAGGTATTTACAATCTCTCAACCGAGCTACCAGGACCACAGCTGGAGGGCGCTGGTCTCACTGGTGTTGGGGGAGGAAGTTGTCCCTGGAGAGTTACCTGCCTGAGATGCTTTCATTGGAGGGGTCTTTGAGGACTCCATCTCAAGTCAGCCGAAACCTCAAGCTGAGACGAATGTGATGCTGGGTGATAGTGGAGAGTCTTACCTTCCACACCAGATCCAGGAGACTGTTAGGTCACATGGAGCTCTGTACTGAGAGGATTTGGTGCACACCTGGGCTCAGCAGGGAGGGCGTCCATGTGAGGGTGAGAAGCAATGACAGCCCAAGCTCTCTGGGTCTGGCCCCCCCTACGCCACGTGGGGCTGGATGCAGTGCAGACGCTGTGCCTCGCCCTCCCTACACAAACCCATTAACGGCCATTTCTCTTGGTTCCAGGTGTTCTCCTACATAGCCACTCTGCTCTACGTGGTCCATGCGGTGTTCTCTTTAATCAGATGGAAGTCTTCATAAAGCCGCAGTAGAACTTGAGCTGAAAACCCAGATGGTGTTAACTGGCCGCCCCACTTTCCGGCATAACTTTTTAGAAAACAGAAATGCCCTTGATGGTGGAAAAAAGAAAACAACCACCCCCCCACTGCCCAAAAAAAAAAGCCCTGCCCTGTTGCTCGTGGGTGCTGTGTTTACTCTCCCGTGTGCCTTCGCGTCCGGGTTGGGAGCTTGCTGTGTCTAACCTCCAACTGCTGTGCTGTCTGCTAGGGTCACCTCCTGTTTGTGAAAGGGGACCTTCTTGTTCGGGGGTGGGAAGTGGCGACCGTGACCTGAGAAGGAAAGAAAGATCCTCTGCTGACCCCTGGAGCAGCTCTCGAGAACTACCTGTTGGTATTGTCCACAAGCTCTCCCGAGCGCCCCATCTTGTGCCATGTTTTAAGTCTTCATGGATGTTCTGCATGTCATGGGGACTAAAACTCACCCAACAGATCTTTCCAGAGGTCCATGGTGGAAGACGATAACCCTGTGAAATACTTTATAAAATGTCTTAATGTTCAATACATTTGTTGGGTGTTTTTTGGGTTTGGGTTGAATTCCTCAGCATCAAGAATACCATCAATTCAGCTTTCTTTCTGAGGAATCCTTTGACTTAACCTGAATCTCAAGAGACAGCATCAGGTGGCAGTTCAGACGACGGACACTGTGTGTGCCAGGCCACTGCACTCTCAGAGCCCGGTGCTGGGGAGCCCACCCTCCCAGCTACCTGCCCAGATGGCTTCCCCTCTCTCTGGAAACTGGCCAAGTGCCAGCCAGGGGCAGCTTCTCCTTCCTACAAGACACAACAGTCTGTGCCCCACTAGAACCTCCTTCCACCAAAAGAAAACACGGTGCACAAGTTTTCATTCACTCATTGTGAAGCTCATCAGCGTGTTCCTGGGCAGTCTGCTTTGTTCCCATTGTGTGGATAATACATTATTTTAGAATTTCCTCGGGCCACTCCATAGGAGAGAAAGGAGAGGAAATTACAGAGTGAAAGGAAGTACGGTGACAAGGGGTGAATGCCATGTTTCAAGTCTGAGATGTCTGGGTTGAAAGGAGATGGGATGATTAGGAAGGAGGCACTGAGTTAGGAATCTGGAAAGCCCAGCTCTGTTATGAAACGCTCCCTTATCCCATGGCTCCGAGAAGTTAGTGCCATTCCAGAGATGGGACGCTGGAAGAGGTGCTTGAAGACCCGTGAGCTTCCTGCCATGGAGGTGTGTGGTAGAGCATCTGCAACCTCTTGCTGGCAGCCATGGGGACAAAGATTCAAGCTTCAGGCTGTAACGGTGTCATGTACCTGTGGTCCCAGCTACTCAGGAGGTTGAGGTGGGAGCATCACTTGAGCCCAGGAGTTTGAGGTTGCAGTGAGCTGTGATGGTGTTACTGCACTCCAGCCTGGGCAGCAGAGCAAGACCCTGTCTCTAAAATAAAATGATAAAATAAAATAAAAATAAAATTCAAGCCTCAAGTGGTGAGTTTAGTTGACATTTTACTGCTCTTCAACTTGGAGAGTCTACAACTAAATTGGTCTATTCAGGAGGTCCTTTGTTAATCCAGGATAACTGGTACCAGAAACCAGCCACTCTTAGTAAGTACACGTCAAACAGCCAACATTTCATAGTATATCATGAGCAAAAGGTTTGACTGGGGCTTTACCTAATGAGAAGTAATAGGAAGTTTGTTACATGTTTAACAAAATTTCCATCCAGTGTTGATTGAGAGAAGTCTCATTTTTCAACAAAACTGTCCACAGGAAGCCATCAACATGTTAATGAAGCTCACTTTTTACCCTCATCAAAAAGAAGAAGAAGAAGGAGGGGGAGAAGGAGGAGGAGAAATGGAAGGCTTAGTTTCCCAAGGGCTTCTCAATGTTTTGACATTTTAATCATTCTCTTTTTAAAAAAATCTTTCATATACTCTTTCTCTATTTTTAATTTAGCCAAAGGCTTTGCAGATGGTTCTCTGACGCCACTTTCTTATTCCTTCTAGCCCTGGGCATATTTTAAATTTGCAGTTTCATTTCACATTTGACTTGCATCCTATTCACATTGGATGTAAATTGGATGGGCAAGGTTTCATTTCCAGCCTCAAAAAATGCCCCCTTCCGGTCTTGCTCTTCCTCCTCACCCCCCACCCTCACACCCCAGCCCCTGTCGGGTTTCTTTGCTCCTGCATCTCTGTTCCCAGCTCTGTCCCTATCTGGCTGTTTTGTGCTTGCAGGTACACATGAGTGCTGGCGGCAGCCCTGCCAGCCATGGGTGCTGCTCCCCTGGGAGCCCACGATGCCTGGGTAGGAAGGGTTGGGAATGGGGACATTAGAGAAGCCTGCTGGGTGAAGCAGGCTGCAGAGAGGGGCACCGGCTGAGCACCTTCTGTGTGCTGGGACCATTGAGGGGATGGTTTCTAGCCCCCAAAGCTGCTTCTTGCTGGCACCCCTCACCTCTCTGCCTCTGTCTTACACAGGAGGGGACCTCCTCTAAGGCAGAGCCTGGTGCCACCCAAGGCACTCACAGACTGCCTGCTTGTGGCCCTCACTTAGATCAAACGCAACTGCCCAGAAGACCCAAATTCACTCTTGTGTAACCATCTTCCCTGCCATTTTGGGGGCTCTTGCCTTGTGCCAGGCACTGTGTAAGCACTTTCCATATATAGCTTTCTGTCACTCTCCCAGTGGCCACGTCATCCTACAGGTGAGAAAACTGAGGCTGGTGCAGGTGGTGAGAAGTGCAGTTGGACTGAGGGCCGCCTCCCTCTGGCCCTGAAGCCCTGGGCTTGATATGACCTCAAGGCACCCAGACCTGTCCTCACGCGGGCCGTCCTCCCGTCTCCCAGGAAGTGGCAGTGAGATTTAGTGGTTGACAGGATGCTGGTAGGCAGGAGCCTTCAGAGAGTGATGAAGCCAGGCACTTAGGATAGCCCCAGTCCACCAGCAGGGCCTATAGCAGCCCACGGCCACGGCCAGGCCCTGCACTCAGCGTCTCCTGGAGAAGAGCTGGCTGCTCAGAGCTGCAGCCACAGCCACGCCAGCTCAGGTAGCTGCTGGGTCCACTTTGCAGCCCCCATAGAGCCAAAGCCAAAGTCCAGCTGATACTTTGCAAAGGTGAGGAACTGGGTATTTTTAAGCTCACAGAATAAGGAGCTAAATCTATCCACAAGCCTGAGAAAGGATTAGGAAGAGGCCATTGTGTATGCTGTGACTCAGAGCCAAAGCTTGCAGAATAGGCCAGACCATAGTCAGTCACCCCACTTTTGTCCCCACCAAGTTGTGGGCCCAGCAGAGAAGAGAACAGAGGGGTTTGGACCAACTGGGCCTCGTGGGTCACTGCTAAGGGCTTCCCCCTCCCCTGATTGTCCCTGTGGCTTGTGTGCTGTCCATGGACCCAGGAACGTGCAGTGCCCGGTCAGGCGCCAGGAGGGACACGGGGCCAGTGCTCAATAAACACGGCCGCATAAGTGAGCAGGCCCAGCGCCCCAGGGCCGCTCCAGCTGACCTGTGCTCATGCATGTCTGTCCTCTGGCCTCTCAGGAAATGACAGTGAGATGAGACCTTGTGGTGGACAGATGCCAGGTGAAAGGGAGTTTCTGATGGGGGTGCAGCCAGGGTTTGGTACAGTGTCTGGGAGCGCTCTGGTGTAGATTTCACTGGACAGTGATTTGGTCACTGCATTCCTTCTTGCTTTCCATGGCCCTCGAGCAGCTCCATGGGGCTTATGATTCATTATGGACACGTGTGTGGGGAGGGGGCACATCACCAGAGAGCAATCAGCAAAAGGTAACTATAAGCCAAATCCAGCCAGGACATTTTGGAGGCTATGGCCTGTGACTTCCCAGGCTGTGGCCCCCTTGCTTCAGGGGGCGATCCTGGGAGTATCCTCCTGGTGGCCTTCCTTGTGCAGGGCAGGGTGGCCTGGGAGGTGTCCCAGGGAGCTAAGCTCCTGCCCCCCATTCTGCACATGATAGAGCCCCATCGATCTTCCCTTCTGGAGAAGACACAGCTTATATGAGCCGGGCTTCTTCAACATTTGAGAGCCGAATTCTAAAAAGCATCTCGTACCCCCACTCCCGCAGGTTGTAGGACTATTTTTGCAAAGCAGCCCAAATGGAGGATTGAAGGCTGCCTTACGCTGACCTTAAAGAGACAGCAAAGGGTTTGCGCTGCCAGCCGTGGGCTGGAGCGAGCCTGCCTTCGGGGCCCACACAAGGGCCTGTTGTTCTGGGTATCAACTGGGGCCGGTGTGGGGTTACAAAGAGGCCTTTCAAAGAGACAAAGCGCCTCTGGACAGGCTGAGTGTCCCTGCACACGTGGGCATCCGCCCAGGGCATTTAAAATAACGCGATTTGAAAAAACAGATTTGAAGTGATTTTTCCTACTCCGCGTTATTCAGTGGCCTTTGTTCTGTCTGCATCATACCCGGCGACAGCAGCTTCTAAGAGCTGGGGCGCTGGAGCAGACACGGGGGTTCCTAGCTGTGGCTGCTCTCTTCCTTCACAGGTAACGAGATCATCACACTGCCAGGCTCTCTAGAGGGTACCAGAGAGGTTGGATTCACACGGGGTGCTCGGCTGCCAGGACTTCCTTCAGCTGGAGGCAGGCACCCATGACATACGGCGTGAGATGACTTCCCAGCGCCGCTGGGTGCCAGGTGCTGCTTGAAGTGCTTTACTTCTTCACTTAATCCTGTGACGACCTTATGTGGTAGATACAATTTAGATGAGGACTCTGAGGCACAGAGAGGTTAAGTGACTTACCCAAGGTCACACAGCAAGTAGGCATGGATCCTGATTCCAGCAGAGTGGCTCCCGGGCCCCTGAGGCTAACCGTCATGCTTCATGTCTCACTGTGACAGGGTCCTTGTCTCTCTGGGAGCAGGGGGCACATGCTAAGATGTCCTTCATACTCACAATGCTGACTTTACCAATACTGAAAACTCCAAATGGCACTTGAGGAGTGTCAGGAAAACCTAGCCAGGAGCCCAACCTGCTGCGGAGGGATGTCTGAGATGAGGGAGACTTTGCCATACAAAGAAGTCGGAAAGGGCTTCCCTGGGCAGAGCAAGGGTGATCTGGGCCAGGTGTGTGTCGAAGGCTGGGGGGTGAGGGGGTGTCTTAGGAGGTTACGAGGGCCTGGGCTGGTCCTGGAGGCAGAGCTGAGCTTGGCTTTCACCCAAGGGGCAAGCCCTGTGGGGGTATCTCTTGGGCAGTGGCAGCCATCCAGCCGAGAGATGCTGTGGGTGTGAGCGGGCAGGCTGGACCAGGGAGATAGGAGAGATGTGGCCAGATCTTGGTGAGCTGAGAGCAGCCAAAGGGAGTGGCCGAGGGCATGGATCCCTGAGCCAGCCCAAGTGTGTGGTCCCTCTCAGCCTCAGCTTCCTGTCTGCAGAATGGGAATATTAATTCTGCCTCACAGGCAGCTGGGAGGATTTGAGGACTCGGTTCAGATAAGTCCCTGGGACCAAGGACATCTCAGGAAGTACCGGCCGCTGTTATCATTGTGGGAATGAAGAAAAAGAAGGTCTAGAATGATCCTGAACTTTCCAGCCTGGGCAGACGATGGCTATTCACATTATGCTTATTCATTAACCATGTTGTTGGCATTCTGTCATGAACTTGGGCTGGTACTTTTGCTTTTTCCCATAGAACTGAACGTTTAATCAGCCATGACATAGTTTAAAACAGTCCCACTTAGGAAACCAAGCTCCAGTGCTTTGGGGAGAGGCCATTCCTGCCACAGCCCCTGACACTGAGGGAGGAGCTCCCAGAGGGCCTGAGAGGGTCACAGTCACTGGGCGGGCCTCTTCTCTCCCTCGCCCAGGGCATGAGCAGCCAAGCCAGAGAAGCCTCAGCCACCGGCACAGCAGCACCGGGAGAAGCCCAGGAATTTACAGATGAAGAGCCCAGGTCCCAGGAGGGTGGGAGTCTGGCCCAGGGCACCAGACAAGTCAGCGCCAGGGTGGCCTCGGCCCCGCCTCCCAGGCTCCCTCCCCTGTGAGCCCCTGCTGCCCACCTCTCCTATGGTACCTCACTGCTTCCCACACTGAGGCAGAGGGAGAGACGGGGGCTGGTGAGAGCAAGGAGTAACCCACGATAAAGACAGGGCAAGGGGGCAAAAAGGGGCTGGGGAGGCTCACTGAAGGCAACTTCCAGGTCTATTGCCCACTGGGAGTCTGGCCCCGTGGCCTCCACTTTCTAGGGTGAGAGCTGGTGACACCTGTGGATCATGCAGGACAGACCTCCACCGGTGGCTGGAATGAGGGGCACGGCTGCCCCTCACATCATGCACCCATCACCCAGCACAGTCCAGGTGTGTTGTACCATGGGTGTTAGGTGGCACGATGGTGGTGATGAGGATGTAATCCACTGGCTTAAACCCTGCCCAGCTCACATACTCCCTCCTCCAGGGCGCTACACCTGTCCCACTCCTGCTTCTGGGCATCCTGGCTCCCCACACCCCACCTGCTGTCCTTAAGCCTGCAAGCCCCCACCCTCCAGACCCCACTCCCGATACTCCACTGCCTCCCAGACACCATGGCTGGGTCTCAGCTGATGCTCACCCATAGCCACCCTCAACAGGCTAGGAGGACTGAGAGGCCCCACGCAGCCCCCCAGGACAGCTGTTGGCCGAGGGAAGAGGAAGAGAATTGACCCTGAGGGCCCCACCCATGGTTCATCCCTGCCACCAAGCCAGGAGACGGTGGCCCGCAGGGGAAGTGCAGGTGGAAGGACAGCATATTTTCATGGACTACTCACTTCTACAATCGGGGCTGGGGCCTCCAATCTAGGCCCGTGCCCCATCTTGGACAAACAATGACAGGAATGTGCACCGAGATGGTGTGCCCAGCCAAGCCAGCCTGGGTGGCCAGATGCTGGGATAGGGCCTGCCCTGCCCTTCACCCTACTTTCTGAGGTGGGCAGTTTTCTGGCTCTGGTGCTGACAGGCGAAGGCTAAAGATACCCAGTTCTCTGGTGGCTGTCCCCACAGAGTACACTCTCGGACACTGGCACTGTCCCTGCTGGAATGGAAGGGGCAGGGTTTCTGGCCTCACTTGGCAGGAAGGTGGGTAGAAAGAGGTTAAGGAGGGACAGAGAAAGCTGGCCACATGGTCAGTCTCGTGCCCCATCCCACTCGCTCCATCTGCTGAATGTCGTTACCTCCTGTATCAAACATGAGGCCCCACAGCGGCCGGTGTGCATTCTCCATATAAGTGGAACTAAGAGCTCCGCACGTGTTCTCCACTGTCACCTCAAGACAATCCTCCTAGGGAGATGCTACGATCATTTCCACCATGCAGATGAGGAAGCAGGTTCTCTGAGGCTGAATCGTGCCTGGCTAATGCCACACACAGATGAAGCCAGGCAGAGGCATCACGTAGACTTCTGCATCCTCAGTGTTCCCTGTCTCCCTGTGAGTCTGTCTTCCCTTGAGCACTCTTCCCACCCTAGCCCTGTACGCAGACTGCGCTGGATGCACGCTCTCCGCTGTCCCGGCTTCCCTCTGAGGCTTAAAAGGGCTATTGTTCCCAACGATGCCTGCACTTTGGCCAGGGAACCTCTGGTGCATGGGGCACCAGAATGGGGAGTATTTGGGGATTTGGAAAGAAAAAACTAATGTTTTACAGTAAAACTTACTGGTGGGGTGCAGTGGCTCTTGCCTGTAATCCCAGTACTTTGGTGGGAGCTTCGCTTGAGGTTAGGAGTTTGAGACCAGCCTGGGCAACACAGGGAGACCCTGCTTCTACAAAAAAAAAATTAATTATCTGAGCATGGTGGTGTGCATCTGTGTTTCCAGCTATTCAGGAGGCTGAGGTGGGAGGATCTCCTGAGGCCAGAAGGTTGAGACTGCAGTGAGCTATGATTGGGCCACTGCACTCCAGCCTGGGCAACAGAGCAAGATCCTGTCTCCAAACAAAAAAGAAAAAAAAGTGTTTACTTTACACCCCAAACAGGAATGGTGCTATCTTTTGACCTAACAGGACTCAGATGAGACTTTAGTAAAGAAGACAGTTGCCTGATCCTGTTTTGCTTTCTGTATTGTTTCAGGGGAATAGAATGCAAGCATTTCCCAGTCCAGACAGGCAGGTCCCCTGGCCCCAACAGTGGCCTGGTCCTGACATAGGGTCCAGGTTTGGGAAGAGGCTGGCTGTTCAGGTCTGTTCACTCCTTCCTGCTCTGAAGCCTGTCTTGCTGAGCATGTGCTTCCCGCAGGGGTGAGAGGACAAACCCAGAGGAGCAGCCCCTCCACCCAGTGTTTGAGGAGCTGTAAGCAAGCCCCAGCAGACTCAAGCAAGCTCCAGTCGAGTTAATTCCCAGACAACTGTGAGAGAGAACAGGCTGCAGAGGCCATCTGAGGTCTGCAGCGAGTGGTTGGGGACAGAGAGAGGTGCAAGGGACAGGCATGGATGAAAGCGCCCCTTCCTTGGGCACCAGCACACTGACAGCTGTGGTTCTGGTGTGCGGCCTTGGCTCCGTGGGGCCTCCACATCCACACACAGACCCTTGTGAGGTGCAAAGCCGTGGTCCAGCCACCTGCCCAGACAGTGGGTGCCAGGGAGCCTTCCTTCCTCCCCAGCCACGGAGACACAGCCCTCTCCCTTCCTGCCCTCCTACCCGGGGTGCTGAGAACAGTCTGTGTCTTCACAGAATCGGTGCACCCTTGCCTCCTACCCAAGCAGGGCCTCAGTCAGCGACTGAAGCATCCTGTGGAACTCACTCAATCCTCAAGCCCCTATTGGTCACTCCTTTGGCACAAGGAGTAACTTCACCTCCTACTTCTAAAAATAGAAATTTTTTAGTTAAAAAAAAAAAAGAAGCTTCCCTATTAGAGGAAGGGACCCTTCCTGGACCCCTTCTTCCTGCCCATCCCTCCCTCTCTACAAACCCACCTCCATCCTCCCAGTCACATCCACCCCCACTGCCAGACTCGGGCCTCCTTCCAACACAGCTGTCTCCCCCATCTTCAGTGGCTGTTCTGCTCCCTTCGGGGTCGCCCCCACGGCATCCAGTCCAATCTCAGCATCCTTCAAGACAACAGCACCACCAACACACCCAAAACCAGATGAATACATAAGCAAAAATGAAAATGCGAAAATCTCACAACACCCAAATCACACCAGACCCAAGAAAACCACCAATCCCGCTCCTCTTGTCCCCTGCCCAGCCCGACTCCTTGAAAGAGTCAGCCCACAGCTCTGCCCATTCCTCTGCCTCCAATGTGCTCTCTTCATTTGTGTTAGTAATCCTTACATTTTTATTTCTACCAAGCATAGATGTGAACGTGGTTTGAAGGCTCAAATAGTTCATAAAAGCTCCCAATACTCCCTGCACTCCTGCCCTCCTGCACTCTCCTCTTCCCCTAGAGGCAGAGAGGCAGCTGCTTCCACCTCTCATGCTAATCGTGTTGGCATTTGCTCTGTGTGTAAATAACAAGTCTGTGTTGAAGCTTCCTGGGTTTTTAGATTTAGGTTTTCTTGCTGGGCGTGGTGGTTCACACCTGTAATCCCAGCGCTTAGGTAGGCAGAGACAGGAGAATTGTTTAAGCACAGGAGACTTGCCTGGGCAACATAGCCAGGCCCAGTTCTCCACAAAAAGGAAAAAAAAAAGTAGATTTACAGACTCCTCACTTCCTCACTTTGGATGATGAGAATTGAGCTCTTGTCCTTCTCCATCCCCACCTCCTGCATTCAGTTCCTCTCCCTCCACCCTCCTGTGTGGCTGCGTGGTAATCTTGTGCAGGTCAGAATTCATCGTTTGTAGTGCTGTATTAAGCTATGTCATGCTATTCAGAGACAAGCCATTCAGTGCACCAGAACTACTTCTTTCTTTTGTTTCCCATGATGCTAATAATTGCCTGCGGTTTGGGGTTTTGTGGGGTTTTTTGGGGGTTTTTTGTTTTTTTGTTTTTGTTTTTCAAGAGAAGGGGCTTATTTTCTTCTATTTACTTATTAATTCAACTCAAATCTGGTGACAATTTTTTTTTTTTTTTTGAGACAGTCTCGCTCTGTTGTCCAAGCTGGAGTGCAGTGGCACGATCACAGCTCACTGCAGCCTCAGTGTCCCAGGGTCAAGCCGTCCTCCCACCTCAGCCTCCTGAGTAGCTGGGACTACAGATGTGCACCCACAAGCTTGGCTGATTTTTTTCTTTGTAGAGACAAGATCTCGCTATGTTGCCCAGGCTGGTCCAAACTCCTGGGCCGTGACAATTTTTTAAGTCTCCCTCAAGATCATCAGACACATCAGGTATTCTTCCTCCTCCTGGGGGGTCTCTCCCAGAGCCTTCCCACTCTCACTAGGTGCCCTCAATGCCTGGGGCCCGCGGTCCCTGCGTCATCTTCCTGGATGCCCCTCCTTGCCCCTGTACCCCTCTCCCCTTTCCTGCTGTGTGCACAGCTAGCTCTTGCCCCTTTAGGCTCACTCATGCGGGGACACATGCTCTGGTGACCTCCTAGGAAACTGTTTAATGGGAGTTGAGATGGCTGAGTTTTAGACTGCTACTGTTGGACAATGTTTTATTCTACCTTCACCCTTGATTAATAGTTAAGCTGAGAATAAAACTGGGGTTAAATAATTTTCGTTCAAAATGTGAGAGGCATAGTTCTATTGCATTCAAGCTTCCAGAGTTACTATTTCTTCCATGATTTCCTCTGCTATTTTTCTGTCCTGTTTAGGGCTTTCTATTATTTGTGTATCCAATTTTCTGAACTGGCTCGCTAAGCTTCTTTATTTTACTGTCTTCTTCTTCTTTTTTTTTTTTTTTCTGAGACGGAGTCTCTGTCTGTCGCCCAGGCTGCAGTGCAGTAGCGCGATCTTGGCTCACTGCAACCTCTGCCTCCCTGATTCAAGTGATTCTCCTGCCTCAGCCTTCTGAGTAGCTGAGATTACAGGCACACATCACCACGCCCAGCTAATTTTTGTATTTTTAGTAGAGACGGGGTTTCATCATGTTGGTCAGGCTGGTCTTGAACTCTTGACCTCGTGATCCACCCGCCTCGGCCTCCCAAAGTGCTGGGATTACAGGCGTGAGCCACCGTGCCCAGCTATTTTACTGTCTTCTATCTCTGTCATTTTGCTCTACTTTCTGGGAAGTTCCTCAAATTTGTCATCCTATTCTACTGAGTTTTTAATTTTTATTGTTAATTTTTAAAAACTTATTTCTAAGAGCTTTCTTCTGTGCTCTGATTTTCCTTTTCAAAGTCATCCTTCTTTGCTTCATGGATCTGTTATCTTTTCTTTTTTCCCCTCCTAGGGTATGAATAATCGTATGGATGTTTTCTTCTCCTTTATACTCACTTTTTGTTTCTTTTGAGCTCTCTGTTTTATATTAAAGGCATTCCTGGGATTTCTGGAAATCTTTGTTTAATAGCTTATATTTGAAAAACAACCTTATTGGGGCTGGGCACAGTGGCTCACGCCTATAATCCCAGCACTTTGGGAGGCCAAGGCGCGTGGGTCACCTGAGGCCAGGAGTTTGAGACCAGCCTGGCCAACATGGTGAAACCTCATCTCTACTAAAAATACAAAAATTTGCCTGGCATGGTGCTGCACATGCCTGTAGTCCCAACTACTCGGGAGACGGAGGCAGGAGAATCGCTTGAGCCCAGGAGGTTGCAGTGAGCCAAGATCACATCACTGCACTCCAGCCTGGGCGACAGAGCGAGACTCTGTCTCAAAACTAATCATAAATAAGTTAATTAAAACAACCTTATTGAGGCACAATTTGCATTTAATAAAAGACAACTATTTTCCACATACATTTTGATAAGTGTGGCACATACATGCATGCATGTAACAACCACGACAATCAAAAGAAAGAACATTTCCGTCACATAAGACAGTTCCTGTGCCCTTTCCCAGTCAATCCCCACCACCCTCACCCCTCAGTCCCACGCAACCACTAATCTACTTTCTTCACTATGGATTAGATTTGTCATTTCTAGCATTTTGTATAAATAAAATCTTACACGGTATACTCATACACAGTGTACACGGTGCCTGCATTCTTTTGTTCAGCATGATGTGCCTGACATTCATTCATGTTGTTGAGTGCTTCAGCAGTTCATTTCTTCTTATTGCTGTTTTTCCCCAGTAACCCATTGTATGAATATGTCTTTATTTATTCATCCATCTGCCAATGGACATTTGGCTTGGTTCAGTTTTAGTTATTATGACTAAAGCTGCTAGGAACATTCACATAAAAGTCTTTGTGTGGGCGTATCTAGCTGGAGTGGCCAAGTCAAATTGTCAGTGAATCTTAGGTTTTTTAGGAAACCATCAAAATGGTTTCTGAAATGGTTGTACCATTTTCCATTCCCATCAAAAATGTATGAGAGTTCCAGTTTCTCCACATCTTCTATTATCAATCTTTTAAAATTTTAGCCATTCTTATGGGTACATAATGGTAGCCCTTTGAGGTTTTAATATGCGTTTCCCCAACAATTAATGATGTTGGACAATTTTTCATGTGATTATTGGCTATTTGTATAGCTTCTTTTGTGAAGTGTGCATTCAAATCTTTTACATATTTTCTATTAGACGATGATAGATAGATAGACAGACGCAATTCTTGTTAACCACAGTAGTTATGTTCTATAAATTCAACACAAACACTGAATTAGAGAATACTGAACTGCTGCTCATACGATAAATATAGGATTAGGTTCTTATGAGCCTATGGTCACGATATTTTTATCAGCTGAGAAATATGTAACCTTGTTTTATGTGAATTTCTGTTTAGAGACACCCTTATTTAACATATGTCATTGATTCATTAACATGGAAATAATAGCCAACAGCGCTATAACTCATGCCTGAACAAAGCTGGTCTAACACATGTATTTTCTCTGCAAGGCACATGGAAGCACACTCAAGCGTTCGACAGCACTTCAGCACTGTGCTTGAGGCCATTGAACACAAAAGCACCAAATGTGAAAAAAGCGGCACTACGTAGGCAACAAAAAGAATACTTGTTTACAGTGTGAGCTCACAACGTTGGGTTCGACAATGACTGCTTGAATATGATACCAAAAGCACAGGCAACAAAAGAAAAAGTGGGCAAATTGGACTTCATAAAAATTTAAAAGGCCAGGCGCGGTGGGTCACGCCTGTAATCCCAGCACTTTGGGAGGCTGAGGTGGTTGGATCACAAGGTTAGGAGATCGAGACCATCCTGGCTAACATGGTGAAACCCCGTCTCTACTAAAAAATAAATACAAAAAAATTAGCTGAGCATGGCAGCGTGTGCCTGCAGTCCCAGCTGCTGGGGAGGCTGAGGCAGGAGAATGGCGTGAACCTGGGAGGCGGAGCTTGCGGTGAGCCCAGATCGCGCCACTGCACTCCAGCCTGGGAGACAGAGCGAGACTCAGTCTCAAAAAAAAAAAAAAAATTTAAAGTTTTGTACACCAAAAGGCAACATGAACAGACCAAAACACAACCAGCAGAATGGGAGAACATATTTGCAAATCATGTATCTGATAAGAGATTCATATACAGAATATACAGAGAACTCCTGAAACTCAGCAACGTGAAAAGAAACAACCTGGCTGGGCGCAGCGGCTCACACCTGTAATTCCAGCACTTTGGGAGGCCAAGGCGGGTGGATTGCCTGAGCTTAGGAGTTCGAGACCAGCCTGAGCAACATGGTGAAACCCAGTCTCTACTAAAATACAAGAAACTAGCTGGCTGTAGTGGTGCACACCTGTAATTCCAGCTACTAGGGAGGCCGAGGCAAGAGAATCACTTGAACCTGGTAGATGGAGGTTGCAGTGAGCCGAGATCATGCTACTACACTCCAGCCTGAGTGACAGAGCAAGACTCTGGGGTGTCTCAAAAAAAAAAAATTCTTTCAGCAACGTTTGGTAGTTTTCCTTGTGCAAATCTTTCTTCTCCTTAGTCAAGTTAATTCCTAAACTTCTTTGTAATACTGTTGTAAATAGTATTATTTTTTCATAATTTCTTTTTCAGATTGTTCATTATTAGATTATTAGTATACAGACATGCAATGGATCTGGGTTTATTTACTTGGTACCCTGCTACTTCGCTGAATTCATTTATTTTAACAGGTTTGTGCATGTGTGGAATCTTCAGGTTTTCTGCATATGAGATCATATCTTCTTCGAACAGAGATAATTTACTTCTTCCTTTTCAATTTGGATGCCTTTTATTTCTTTTTCTTGCCTAGTTGCTCTGGCTAAGACTCAGTACTATGTAAATAGAAGTGGCCAAAGCAGGCATCCTTGCTTTGCTCCCTTTTTTTTTTTTTTTTGGAGACAGAGTTTCGCTCTTGTTGCCCAGGCTGAAGTGCAATGGAGTGATCTTGGCTCACTCTAAACTCCGCCTCCCGCGTTCATGCCATTCTCCTGCCTCAGCCTCCCAAGTAGCTGGGATTACAGGCATGCGGCACCACACCAGGATAATTTTGTATTTTTAGTAGAGGCAGGGTTTTTCCATGTTGGTCAGGCTGGTCTCGAACTCCCAACCTCAGGTGATCCGCCCGCCTCAGCCTCCCAAAGTGCTGGGATTACAGGCGTGAGCCACTGCACCTGGCTGCTTTGTTCCCAATCTTAAAGAAAACATTTCAGTCTTCCAAGGATTGGTTTTGAGCTGAAGCTGCTCTCCTTGGCTTGCAGATGGCTGTCCCCTTGCTGCCTTGTCACATGATTGGCCCTCTGTCCACTTGTAGCTCTCGGTGCTTTGCATGTCCAGATTTCTTCTTATAAGGTCACCAGTCATATTGGACTAGGGCCCACCCTAACGGCCTCATTTTGACTTAATTTCTTCTTTAACGGCTTTGTCTCCTAATACAGTAACATTCTGCAGCTCTGGGGATTGGGACTTCAACATGTGAATTCGAGGGAACAAAATACAGCCCATAACAATGAAGAAATGGATCCATGAAGGGATGGAAAGGAGGGCTCACATGCAGCTCTGAGGGGAAACGAGGAGGCCATGACCACATTTTCTCCTAAAAATAAATAAATAAATAAATAAATAAATAAATAAATAAACAAACAAACAAACCACAACAGATAAAGTTAAATTCCTCTTCTCCCATCACTCCCCTGCCAGAACCTCCCCAGAGGTGGCTGTGGTCATCTGTTTGGTGCACAGCTGTCCAAACCTGATGCCCTAGGCTGGAGGATTTCATCAGCTCCTATCTGTAAAGTGAAGTGATCTCTAGGTGGATCCATTGGAAGGGTCTGGAGAGGCACGCATACTGATATTTTATTTGCTTATGGGCGGGGGCGTGTTTGTGTCCCACAAGCTTGTTTTCAGACACTTTTCTCTGCATGATCATATGTCCTACAGAACTCTGCACGTCTGGATAGATGCATATTATACATTGTTGATGAGGACTTTTGTCAACAGTCATTTAATTGTTACCACTGTTTCAAAACAGTACCAGGACTATCATGAATCCCTTCTGGGAGCGTTTCTCGGGGTAGATGCCAAGAAGTGAAACTTCTCAGTAGTAGGTGATATATGTGCATTTTAAATTTTGACAGATAATGTTAAATGTGACCCCAAAATGTATGAGTCTATTTCGTTCTATCCTCTCACCAATACGCATTATCAATATTTTTAATTTTTGTAAAAAAAAAAGTCATTTGAACTCACATTTTTCTAATTGCTGGTGAGTTTCTGCACCTTTTTCATACACATATTGGTTATTTGTGTTTCTTCTTATGAGAATCATCTATTTATATCCTTTGCCTACTTTTTTACTGGGTTGTCCTTTCCTTCCAATCTGTCCCTCATATTTTAACATTGAGGATGTAATTTGTTGCGGAAAGTTTTTAGCGTGGATGTCAAATTGTCAATCGTGACTTCATGGCTTCAGATTTTTTGAGATTAGCCAACTTTCCCTATTTCTAGACCACAAGCATATTTGTTTAGCTTTTTTACTCAAATTACAATAAATACTTTATACGCATGTTATTTTGTTCAAGGAAAAAGATTTTTTCTTCTCCGAGAGAAAGGCAGAGAGATCAAATCAGGACCCATGAACCCAGGCAAGTTCCACCACGATCTGTGATCCCCTTCCTGGGAAGGTCAGCTCAGGTTGCTGCGTCATGTGGGTCTGCAGTTTCCTGGTCGGATCCGTCTTTGGAGGCTGTGTTTGCTTATTGTTTAGTGACCAGATACCCACTTCAGGTACTGGAGGAAGAAGTCAAGCAAGGCTATGGCCCAGACCTGTGCTTTCTGCTTTAAGGGCTATAACCAAGCTCCAGAACACCCCATAGTTTGCGTTCACATCCTAGGCTCCTCCACTCACTAGCTGACAACACTGGGCGGGGACCTGACCTGCCTGTGTCCACTTCTCGGGGCTGTTGTGAGGATCAAATGAGATGATGCAGGGGAGCGCCGGGCCCAGAGCCTGGCCCACACAGCACTTAGCACACTCACAAATGACTGCTGTTAACTAGCATACCAATTACTAACAGGCATACGCATTAACAATTAGTAACATAGTGGTATTAATAGTGGAATTTGGTTATCATTGCTTTTACTTTTCCATGAAGTTAATTAGTCAGTATTGTGGGGTAGGAGTCTGACTTTATTTCCAAATTGGATAAACAATTGCTCCAACAGATAATCTGAAAGATCTTCTAAATTCCCATGCATGTATAGTAAACATTCCAACTCTCTATCCTGTTCCATTAATTTCTTTCTTTTTTTTCTTTTTTTTTTTTAGACGGAGTTTCACTCTTGTTGCCCAGGCTGGAGTGCGATGGCGTGATCTCGGGTCACGGCAACCTCTGCCCCCCGGGTTCAACAGATTCTCCTGCCTCAGCCTCCTGAGTAGCTGCGATTACAGGTGCCCGCAACCATGCCCAGCTAATTTTTGTATGTTTAGTAGAGACGGGGTTTCACCATGTTGGCCAGGCTGGTCTCGAACTTCTGACCACAGGAGATCCGCCCACCTCGGCCTCCCAAAGTGCTGGGATTACAGGCATGAGCCACTGCGCCTGGCCTGTTCCATTAATTTCTTTGCCTATTCTGGAAATGATGCCAACTTCTTAAAGGTGTTGCAAGAACAGAATAGTCAACACACTGAAAAGAATGTCTGGCATTGAGTACTATATATATATTATATATATATATATATAAAATGTGACCCCAAAATGTATGAGTCTATTTCGTTCTATCCTCTCACCAACATATAATATATATAATATATATACATATTATATATTATATATAATATGTATATATATTATATTATATATTATATTACATATTATATATTATATTACATATTATATATTTATATATTACATATTATATATTATATTTTATATTATATATTATATCATATATATGTTATGCATTATATAATACATAATATATTATATATGATATAATATATATTATATATTATTATATATAATATAATTAATATATTATGTATTATATAATATATATTATGTTATAATATATAATATATATTATATAATTATATAATATATTATGTATTATATAATATATATTATGTTATAATATATTATATTATATATATTATATATATATTATATATATAATGTATATTATATATAATACATAATATATTATATATTATATATTATTTTATATAATATATTATATAATGTGATATATTATATAATATATTATATAACATAGTATATTATATAATATATTATATAATGTAATATATTATATATTATATAATATATTGTATGTAATATAATATATAATATATATTATATATATATTTAAATATAAGAATACTTAACCCATCCTGGCTAACATGGTGAAACCCCATCTCTACTAAAAATACAAAAAATTAGCCGGGCGTGGTGGCGGGTACCTGTAGTCCCAGCTACTTGGGAGGCTGAGGCAGGAGAATGGCATGAACCCGGGAGGCGGAGCTTGCAGTGAGCCGACATTGTGCCACTGCACTCCAGCCTGGGCGACAGAGCAAGACTCCATCTCAAAAAAAAAAAGAATACTTAACCAACAAAAATTGTATATATTTATGGTGTACAACACGATGTTTTGATATATGTGTACATTGTGGAATGGCTAAATCAAGCTAATTAATATATGCATTACCTCACATATTTTTCTGCAGTGAGAACATTTGAAATCTACTCTCTTAGCAATTTTAAAGAATGCAATACACTATTATAGCTATTGTCACCATGTTGTGCAACAGATCACTCCTGAATTTATTCTTCCCCACTGAAATTGCGTATACTTTGACTACTATCTCCTCAAAGTAACCACCATTCTACTTTCTGCTTCTATGAGTTCAACTTTCTCGGCTTGCACATGTGAGATCATACGGTATTTGTCGGTCTGTGTCCAGCTTATTTCACTTAGCATGAAGTCCTCCCGCTTCCTGTGGTCTCTGTAACTTGTGCTCCATGCCTGGGATCTCTTTTACGTTACTTTTTCTAACTGGCCATTGCTGGGGCATTGGCCACCTTATGATTTTTTATGGGGTAACCTGTATCGGGCCACCTTGAGCCTTACTTGCATTTGCTCTAAGAGTCTGCCATTGATCCTCTTGGATTATCTGTGTGGACAATCATGTCCCCTGGAATGAAGACTGCTTTGTTCCTTTCTGTCCCTCCTCTTGGCTTGCTGTGCTGGGTCAGCTCCCAAGACAGAATTGAGTGGTTAACGAGCAGGCATGCATGCCCTGTTCCCTACAGCAAAAGAAGAAATGCTTCTAAGGTTTTACCATTCAGTCCCAGGCTTACTCTAGTAAGCACATTTATCTCAACGAGGTTCCCTTCTACTCCTAGTTTGCCAAGAGACTTATCAAGAATGGGTGTGACTTATCAGTTTTTAGGGTCTCTCTTGGAGCAGATCGATCACAAGCCTTTCTTCTTTTAAACTGATGCCCTAGAAAATTACAGTCATAGACTATTGTTCAACCAGTCCTGGGGCCATTGTTCTGGCAGCCCTAGGGACACCCCAACCCCATCATATGAGGATATTTCCTTCTCAGGGAGAAAGGCTGAGAGATCAAATCAGGACCCATGAACTCAGGCAAGTTCCACCACGATCTGTGATCCCCTTCCTAGGAAGGTCAGCTCCCATAGCCTGGGAAGGCTATGGCCCAGACCTGTGCTTTCTGCTTTAAAGGCTATAACCAAGAGCCAGAACACCCCGTGCCCACCGAGTCCCAGTCTCAGAGCCTGCCTGTGGATTGCAGCCAAACCCATCTGTGTCCACCTGTGGGGCCACATGAGCCGCCAGTTCTGGAGTCCAGGACATTCAGGCTCAGGAGAAATTGCACCTTGAAAGAGAGATGACCAGAGATGAGCAGCCTTTTAACTGGCCTCCATCTGTTGGTGTCTCAAAACTTCATCTGTCAGATACCAAAGGAATCTAAGAAAAGCTTCACCTAGAAAAGGGAATAATTCTTATTTCAGAAGTTTCCACCACAGGACTACTGTAATGTTCTATAGAAGTGCCATAATTTTTTTGGGATTTTCACCTTTGGAGGCATCCATGGAATTGACATGCCATTTTCTTTGTGTGTTGCCTGGACTTGAGAGCTTTAAAAAATACAGCCCAGGACCCAAGCCTTGGAAATTCTGATCCAGTTGCCAGGTGATGGATATTGAAATCTGCATTTTTTTTTTTGAGACAGCATCTCTCTCTCTCTCTCTGTTGCTGAGGCTGGAGTGCAGTGGTGCAATCACAGATCACTGCAGCCTTGAACTCTTGGGCTCAAGCATCCTCCTGCCTCAGCCTCCTAAGTATCTGGGACTACAGGTGCATGCCACCATGCCCAGCTAATTTTAATTTTTTGTAGAGACACGGTCTCCCTATGTTGCCCAGGCTGGTCACAAACTCCTGGCTTTAAGCAGTCTCCCTGCCTCAGCCTCTGAAAACGCTGGGATTCCAGGGGTAAGCCACTGCATCTGGCGAGAAATCTGCATTTTTAAAGAGCTTTTTCAGAAGGTTCATTTATGGTCAGCCAGGTTTGAAAACCACTGACTGAGAAGGTACTGGAAGGTTCTGGCCTCAGCCTCATCATCATTGAGATCAAAGGGTTCCTGGAAGGTCTCAGAGATGGCATGGTCACCATGCTAATTCTAGCCCAAGTGGAGCAGGAATGTGTGTGTCTGGGTGCACACTGCTGAGTCCAGCTCTCACTGGGAACTCAAGGGGACCCTAAACCTGTGGCTTCCATCCTGAGGGCTCTGGGAACTAGCTTTGTGCATTCATAAGCAGTCCAAGCCCCTTATACCCTCCAGTGTTGTTTTCCAAAATGTATACCTGTGCTCATGGTGCCTACGTTAAAAACACCGCTAACCTCAGAGCAGCTTTTTACAAACTTATATCTCCATCGACAGTTACTAGAAGTGTACCTACTATTAACATGCGTATTGGGTAGAGGACCAATGTGCAAATTTAAAATATATGTATATTAAACAGAGCTCTTCAAGCATGGACAGGCTGGGAAGTCCTGGGGAGAGGGCCTCCCTGAAGCCAGTGGCTGCCTCTGAGTTAATGAGCAGCTGGGTGGCTGCTGCCCTGACCGCTGGGCAGGCAGTCACCCCACTCCCACCCCACTCGGGTGACAGCTGGCCCGGGGGCAGTCCAGGACTTGAGTCATCCCAGTCTGTGACAGGGAGGGCAACGTTAGAGAGGAGGGCCTGGGACAGAGTGAGCCTTTTGACCATGGAACTGCCTGGGGTGAGGGTGAGGGCACCGTGGCTGCCATCCTAGTGAAGCCCCACCCCACCCGATACTTCAGGCTGACTCTTAGATTCTTAGAAGAGTTCTCAGCCTGCCCAACATTGAGTGGAAGGGTTTGGGTGTTAATGGCCTCAAAGGCTTCTGTCAGGCCCACAAAGACACCATGAACAAGCCCTCAATACCTGGCCAACCGCATGGCTGACCCCATTGTCCTTCCCTAGGCGTGGGCAGGGGCTATGGAGGGTGATCTGGCCAGCGTCTGATTCATAGGCGCAAATCAAAACGGCCACTGAAGCCCACGTGGCTTCCTGCGGGCAGGAAAGGAGATTTCACTCCTGCGCAGCCCAAGGACACAAGAAGCCCTGGCCATATGGCCATCTGGAGAGGAGAGCACACCGGACACCTGAGGCTGTGTGAGGTGAAGGCCAGCAGTGTCCGAATGCTCTCAGATGCCCCTGTGCTCAACAGCACGATCCCCAGTCCCCAGGCGCCCAGCTGGGAAATTCTGCTTGGTCTGTGGTAAATGCCCTTTCTGAGAAGCAACCATGACCTTCTCAAGAATACTTCAGAGGCACTTTTGCTCCTTCTCCACTAACCGACATCCTGTTTTGCTGGAACACATGGGGCAGAGCGCACACAGCTTTGTTCCTGCACCCGCCCTCAGAGCTTTGCCACCTGTTTTCAGGCTGCCTCTGCCTCCAAACCCTGCGGAGCCCTCCCTGCCCCGTGCTTTGAAGCAGTTTCTTTGGAAGCTGCTGCACAGGGGTTAACAACAAGCAACAACTCAGGTCGCATTCTTGTCAACGGAAGGGAGGGCCAGGTGGAACCGCCAAGGGGGCCATTTCTGGCTTTGCTGGAGGCTGTCAGCTTCTGGTGGGAGCCACAGCCTGAGGGCAGCCAGGATGGCTCTGCTGGGAGGGACACCCTGCCCAACCCTGGGAGCAGGTGACGAAGGCTCCTGGAGGCATGGTCACATCCCTGGGTCCCAGAGGCAGGAACAAAGCCCCCAGGGCAGGTGGGTGAAGGCTGCTGGGGGTCGGAGGGGAAGCCTTGCTGCCCAGGAGCTCAGGCCGGGCTGAAAAGGGCAATGCCACAGAACCCCTGGAAGGAGCAGGACAGCAGACAGTGTTCCAGATGAGACTGCAGAGGGCCGGGGAGCCAAGTACCAAGGGGACGTCAGGAGGGGCCATGAGGCCTCCTCTGAAAGCCACTGTGGCACCAGCATTTGCGAAGGGCCTGAATGACTCCTCTTTTAATGGACAGGCATCCAAGGGCTTCCGGAGAGCCACAGAAAACCTGGCGTGGAGGTTGCTGCTTGCCTTCTAGGAATGATCTTGGATGTGCTGGTGGCAATTCCCCCTCCCTTTGGTGATCCCCCTCACATCTGCCCCAAGCGACTTCTCCAGGGCCAGCCTTAGGAGGCAGAGAGATCCCGCTCTGGACTGCTGTCCCAGGCCCTGAGGGTGCCATGGGTTACATGTGTGTTTACATGAGTCTATGAGTTGAATCCCCATAAGCCTGGGGGAAGCACCATGTCTGAAGCAGCAGCTGCATTTGTAAGATGAAGATCTGAGCCAGTTTTTCATTATATCTGCAGTGTTCATCAAGAAAGGGCCTCCGGGTTTGTGTTTACTGGACATGAATTGAGCTGCTCTCCAGAGATAAGAAAAAAATATTACAGCCCTGCTATGTGGGCACCCCACGGCAGCCCCCGGGGTTAAGGGGCAGCTTTCTTTCCAAGGAATCCCATTGCCAAAGATGAACCTTCAGGTAAGGGCTCAGAGCTGCTTGCTTGGGCAGATACTTCCAGCAGGGTTCCCAGGGATGTGAGTCCATCTCCCCACAGAGGAATCTGTGCTCAGGCGCTGTGCCCAGGGAATATCAAGATCTGCACCCTGGAAACCTAAGGCTGTAGCCTCAGCCCCAGTTAAGGATCATGCGGTCTGGTCTGTCCCTTTGTTTTACAGATGGGGAAACTGAGGACCCAGAGGAAGCAAGAGCAGCCCCAGGCCACACAACCCTCTTTTTATTATTCATTCACTGACTACACTGCAGAGGTTGGACCCATATCTCATTATTTGAATAGTAAATTGTTTTTTCTTCCTGACCCTTGGTCTGTTGGGTCTCTCATTGCGCCATGCATCCAAGAAAGAACGTTCTGAAGCTTTCCAGTGCCACCCAATCCCTGTATCCTACTTTATGCTTGAAAGTAAAGCTCACGGGTTTTTTTCTACTTCGGGTTGTTTAAATAACCACAATCGGTCGGGAGCGGTGGCTCACGCCTGTAATCCCAGCACTTTGGGAGGCCGAGGCGGGTGGATCACCTGAGGTCAGGAGTTAGAGACTAGCCTGGCCAACATGGTGAAACCCCGTCTCTACGAAATATACAAAAATTAGCCGGGCGTGGTGGCGGGCCCCTGTAATCCCAACTACTGGGGAGGCTGAGGCTTGAACCCGGGAGGCGGAGGTTGCAGTGAGCCGAGATTGCGCCATTGCACTCCAGCCTGGGCGACAAGAGCGAAAAACCGTCTCAAAAAACAAAAACAGTGAAAAAAAAAACCACACAATCAGTGCAGAGTGCTGAGCCCTCGGCCAGCAGTACCTCCCTCCCTCCCGGAACACCCTTCCTGGCTACCCTCAGGCAGGCCCCGCCCACTAGGTCACCCCTGGCAGGAGGGTGCCTCCTGGGTGCAGCTCACCTGGCGGGACCGGCGCCTCAGCACTCTCGTGAAACTCCAGTGCCCAACCCAGTTCGGGCCAGCAGGTGGCGTTCGCGGAGCAAACACCGAGTGGTGCTCGCTTACTCGCCCCCTCTAGAAAGCACCTTGTTCAGGCGGGGGCGTCCAGACCCGCACAGAACGCTCCTCAAACCAGCAGCAGCTAAGAGGATGAGACTGCCGGGGACACGGAACAAAGCCTCCTTCCTGCGGCTGAGCGCGCCGCCAGCCCGAGGGTGGGGGCAGGGGACGCTCCCCAGGTCCCAGCAGGCGCCACCAGCGTCCCAAACGCCAGCGCACTCCGCCCGCGCCTCCCAGAGAGCCTGGTGAAACAGGGAGGTTTTCCTGGCCGCTATCCTGGCGGGGCGCCCCCAACCTGCAGGGACCCTACCAGGGCTCAACAGCCCGCTGGGCAGAGCTGGGGGGGATCGGAGGGCCCCATGACTACAGCGGGGCGTCCCACCCACCCTACAGGGGCCTGTGCAGCTGCCGGGGTCCTCTCCCTTCCCCCCTCCCCACAAGCCTCCGCAACCACTATGTGTCCCACTGTACACAGCACCCTTGACATAACTAACTCCATCTTAGAAAAAGACTGCATTTTACATATCATAGGACACTTTGCTAACAGGGACCCGATGTTTCGCCTGATCAATAAAGACTGCATCCAGCCAGACAAGGACATAACCAAGCACACTCCTCCACTCAGTCCTCATCAGAGGACACTGTGGCCATAAGAGCAGGACTTCAGCAGCCCCAAGTGGCCGTCTTAACAGACCCAGTCTTACAGTCACTGGTGATCAGCACCTGACATCTGCTCACATCAAAGACACTTCCTAAAAGTACCGAAGATTGCACCAGCCCACACCAGGAGATTTCTTTTTCTCTGTTACTCTCCTTGGACTGGTTTGTTAACCTTTTTCCTGCCGCCCTTCTCTTCATGTTAAATGTTACTGTGTGCTGTGGAATGTTTAATATATAACATCTATATATTGATTAAGTATATATGACTCTGCATGGCTTGTAATACTGACTGGCTTGTGGAGTGGCTTGAGCATATGTGCTCTGACTTGGGAAGTGAACAGAAAGTACTAAGGAGAACTGCCCCCTGGGGAACTCCATGGCGCTCATGGCTCCTGTGATTGAAATAACATCAATCAAAGTCTGACACTGTGGAAAGACAAAACATGTGCGGACCGGGTTATCCTTGAATTTGCACCGCTCACGACAGATGGCTCGGGACCCACATGCACACACAATCCAGCTTCAGCTCTGAACTAGCCATAAGCTCCCCGAGGCCACAGTCCCTTGGCCCTCTACCCAGTGTGTGCACGCACATGCACACACACACCTCCTACTGTCCCTTATGACCCTACGCAAAAATCCTTTCACTCCTCAGTGCTCCTTGAGCTTTCTTTCAAAGGCCTTGAAACCCTTGCCTCCCCTCAACTCTCTGAGCTGGGATTCCCAGGTAAGGGAACTTGTCCAGCCTCATTGGGGCAGCTTGTCTTAGGAGCTGGGCACTGGAGCCAGCCTGCCTGGGTGTCAACCGTGGCCTCACCTCTTACTAGCTATGTGTTACTTTGAGCAAGTTTTTTAATTTGGGGATCTAAGTGCTCAAGGTTGTTAATTTAAATATGTAAGTGGATTACAACACTGTCAAGCACATGTCAAGTGTTCAATAAATGTCAGCACATAGAAAAAAAAAAAAAAACCTTAAAGTCACAGGACACTAACACACACCAAACAATATTCTAGTTAAGAATGAGGAGCTCAATCAATATCAAAGTAACGAGCAAATCTCTGAGGGTCCAGAATCACTGATTTGAGTGCTAAGAAAAAGCCAAGGTGCTTCTCCCTGTCGCAGGCTGCAGAGCTGTGGCAGCCAGTGACAGCACTGTGCAGCATAGACACTCATTGCTTCTGCCTGCACCCAGAGCTCGGCTCTCATTTGCTTGCCTTTCTAAAAATAAATGAGCCTCTGGCCGACGCAGTTACTCACGCCTGTAATCCCAGCACTTTGGGAGGCTGAGGCAGGAGGATTGCTTCAGCAAGGAGTTCAAGACCAGCCTAGGCAACAAAGTGAGACACTGTGTCTACAAAAAGAAAAAAAAAGATTAGCTGGGTGTGGTGGCATGTGCCTGTGGCCAGTTACACTGGAGGCTGAAGTACAGGATCGCTTCATCCCAGGAAGTCGAGGCTGCAGTGAGCTGTTTACACCACTACACTCCAGCCTGGTCAACAGACCGAGACTCTGTCCCTAAAAAAAATTAAAAATTTTTTTAAAAATGAGCCTCTTAGAAGTAGCAGCACTGGGCTATTGAGATGCTGACTCAACTCACATGCCACAGGTCTAGGAGCTGAGCTGCTGTTTGTCCCCTGCAGCCCATCAGCCACCAATGACACACAGCAGGATGCTTTACTCTCCACCCATGCTACACTGGCTGACAGTGTGGATTTTATGTAACACTTACGCGATGGAGAGCTCATTACTTTCAGAAAGCTAAGATGGTGGTGGAGGGTGCTGGGGGCGGACAGAAGAGTTAAGCAACACGACTGACGTCACACAGCAAGTTGATGAGTTTTCAAGCTGCAGTCCCCAGATCCTGTGTGCGTTTTGCCTCTGCCCCACAACCCTGACTTACACTTTAGGCTAGTGATAAACTGCAGTGTGAATGCATGATCTGCAGCTGAAAGGTGTTTGAAAACCGCTCAGGAGAGGAAGAAAAGCAAATGCAATTCTTTCAAGGTAGTCTTTGTCATGCAAATCTGGAATCATGTTGCTAGTAGGTATTTATAGCTTGAAGATCCCACATCTAGCATTTCAAACAGAAATGATTACCTCTGTAGGACACAAGCATTTCTTTTCTTTTCTTCTTCTTTTTTTTTTTTTTTTTTGAGATGGAGTCTTGCTCTGTAGCCCAGGCTGGAGTGCAGTGGCGCAATCTTGACTCACTGCAACCTCCGACTCCCGAGTTCAAGCGATTCTCCTGCCTCAGTCTCCCGAGTAGCTGGGATCACAGGCATCTGCCACCATGCCTAGCTAATTTTTGTATTTTTAGTAGAGACGGGGTTTCATCATGTTGGCCAGGATGGTCTCGATCTCCTGACCTCGTGATCCGCCCGTCTCGGCCTCCCAAAATGCTGGGATTACAGGCATGAGCCACCGTGCCTGGCCCGGACACAAGCATTTCTAACTGCAAACTATTTCACTAAAAGGACAGATAGATTTCTACTAGAATCATCAATGTCTACATTGCAGCATCCAGTAAACAGGGACTGCTATATTTGGGAAGCTCTTCTTGCCCCCTGGTGGTTGTAAAGATGTTTAGATAAACTGCACACTAAAAAGTGTACTCTTGGCTGGGCGCGGTGGCTCATGCCTGTAATCCCAGCACTTTGGGAGGCCGAGGCAGGCAGATCACGAGGTAAGGAGATCAAGACCATCCTGGCTAACACAGTGAAACCCCGTCTCTACTAAAAATACAAAAAATTAGCTGGGCATGGTGGTGGGCGCCTGTAGTCCCAGCTACTCGGGAGGCTGAGGCAGGAGAATGGCATGAACCCGGGAGGCGGAGCTTGCAGTGAGCCGAGATCGTGCCACTGCACTCCAGCCTGGGCGACAGAGCAAGACTCTGTCTCAAAAAAAAAAAAAAAAAAAAAAAAAAAAAGTGTACTCTTGGTGAAGTTTTGAGATATATATATATACACTGTGAAACCATCACACAACCAATTTGTTGAACATATCTGCCACCTGACCTGCAAAAGCTGCTTCATGCCCCTTTGTAATCCCTCCCTCACACCCATTTTACCCCCTCCCAGCCCCAGGCAACCACTGATCCACTTTCTGTTATTATAGACTAGTTCGCACTTCCTAGAATTCTACAGAAATGAAATCATACAGCATGTGCTCACTTTTTGGTCTTACTTCTTACACTCAACGCATTTTGAGATCCATCTGTATTGTGTATCAATAGTCCATTTCTTTTTTTTTTTTTTTTGAGACGGAGTCTTGCTCTGTTGCCCAGGCTGGAGTGCAGTGGCGCAATCTCGGCTCACTGCAAGCTCTGCCTCCTGGGTTCACGCCATTCTCCTGCCTCAGCCTCCCAAGTAGCTGGGACTACAGGCACCCACCATCACACCTGGCTAATTTTTTTGTATTTTTTTTTAGTAGAGAAGGGGTTTCACCAAGCTAGCCAGGATGGTCTCGATCTCCTGACCTCGTGATCCACCCACCTCGGCCTCCCAAAGTGCTGGGTTTACAGGCGTGAGCCACCACGCCAGGCCCAATAGTCCATTTTTATTGATCATTCATTTATCAAATGTATATCAACAGGTAAATGGCTACACAAATTGTGGTATATCCATACAATGGTTATTACTCAGCAATAAAAATGTAGCCATTTACCTGTTGATATACATTGGTGTTGTTTCCAGTTTTTATTACAAATTAAACTGCTATGGACATTTATATACATGTCTTGGTAAGGGCAGATGCTTTTGTTTCTCTTGGATACATACCTAGGAAGGGAATTGTCAGGTTATGTGGCAAGTATATCTTTAACATTTTAAGAAACTGCCCAAGCATTTTCCAAAGTGACTGTACCGTTTTACATTCCCACTAACAATGTACAAGAATTCCAGTTATTTCATCCTATCTTCACCATTTGGCAGAAGGATCTTTAGACATTCTAATGTATGTGGTGGTATCTCTCAGTGGTTTTAATTGCATTTCTCTAATGACTGATAAGCACCTTTTCATGGACTTATTTGCCATATCTGTATCTTCTTTGGTAAGTGTCCAAATATTTTGCCCATTTTTATTGTTATTTTCTAATTACGAGTTTTGAGATTTATGTATCCTGAATACAGGTCCTTTATTAGATATGTCTGGCAAACATTTTCTTCCATGTGTGACTCACCCAGTCTGTGGAAGACTTTTTCAAACTATCTTTTCAAGAGAAGAAATTCTGAATTTTGATAAAGTTCAATTTATCAACATACAGATTGTGCCTTTGATATTGTAGCTATAGGTCACAAAGATTGCGTCTAGGTTTTTAGCAGTTTTAGTTTTGGGTTGTAAATGTAGGTGTGAAACATCACTGGTTAGTTTTTGTATATAGTGTGATATATGGTTCAAAGCTCATATTTTGCATATGGATATCCATCTATTCCACCACTCCTATCTTTCTCCTATTCTCCTATCTTTTCTTCACTAAATTTCCTTTGCATCTTTGTCAAAACTCAACTGACCACATTTGGAGGGTGTATTTCTATATTCTATTTTCTTCCATTGATCTGTGTCTATCTTCACTGGTACCACAAGGTAAATGACTGTAGCTTTAGTCTGTTCAGTTCAAAATGCTAATTTCCCCCTTTTTATTTTTGTTCTTTCTCATGGTTATTTAGGTGTCATTTAGTTTCCAAATATTTGGATTTTCCAGATGCTACTGATTTCTAATGTAAACCCACTGTGATCAGAATATATACTCTGTATGACTTAAATCCTTTTAAATTTATTGAGACTTGTTTTATGGCCCAGAACATAGTCCATCTTGGTAACTGTCCTGTATGCCCTTGAAAACAGTATGTATTTTGCTGTTGGTGGTAGAGTGTTCTATAAGTCAATGACAGGCCACAGCAGGAGGATTGGTTGAGGCCAGGAGTTCAAAACCAGCATCGGCAAAAAGGTGAGGCCCCCATCTCTACAAAAAAAATTGAAAATTAAAAATCAGCTGAGTCCAGTGGCACAAGCCTACAGTCCCAGCTGCTCAGGAGACTGAGGTGGGAGGATCCCTTGAGTTTCATTGTTCCAGGCTGCAGTGAGTTATGATTGTGTCACTGCACTCCAGCCTCTGCAACAGAGAAAGGCCCCATCTCTTAAAAATGAAAAGAAGAAAAAAGAAGCCAATGAAGTCCAAGCTGGCTGATAATGCTGCTCACATCTTCTATATCCTTACCAATTCTATTTGCGCCAATTACTGAGACAGGGATGTTAAAATCTCTATTAATTGTGGCTCTATTTTTCTCTGTAGTCCAATCAGTTTTTGCTTTATGCGTTTGAAGTTCTATTTGTAGGTGTCTGAATGTTTAGGACTGCTATGTTGTCCTGATGAATTATTATTATAAAATGGCCCTCTTTATCCCTAATAATAGTCCTTGCTCTGAAATTTACATTGTCTAGTATTAACATATCCTTCAGCTTTCTATGAACTTACATTAGCGTGGTTTATTTTTCCACCCTTTTACTTTCAACCTATCAGTCTTCATATCTAAAGTGGATTTCTTATAGGCAACATATAGTTGGGTCTTGCTTTTTAAAAATGAAATCTGGTAATTTCTACTGTTTAATTGACATGTTTAGACTTCTGGTTTCTGGTCTGGTGTATAAGGAGCCTGGAGGCCAACACTCCATACTAATAAGTAAAAACTTAAATAAACTGAAAAATCAAAACCTCTTCTTAGATTTATCAAAGAATTGAGTTCACAGGGCAAACTGGTGTCTCCAGAAGTTGAGAAATTGGCTAGACTCAAAGAATCACAACTTACCAGAGCAGAAACCCACTGGCAGAACCATTCCAGGAAGAAGTTCAGGGTAGGGAAAACTCAACTTAACTGATGAATTGCTAGACGCTCAGTGCGGCCAAATTTGAAAGGTGAAAACTCCAGAGGGACCCAGTCCTGGTGGGGAACATTTCTACGAGTTTTACCTCCAGGAACTTACCATGTCCCCACAGTGAACACCTACCAGGCTCCTCCTGCTTCTGGCTTGTTTCCTACAAGAAAGCTGCTGTCATCTTTACCTTTGTTCCTCTGTACCTAATCTTCTCTCTCTTCCTCACTTCTAAAACTTCCTCTTTATTGCTAGTTGAAATTTGATTGATAGTTATTATATTTCTTGGGTCTCAGTAGTTGCCATCAATTCAGCTATTATTTCTTCAAAAAAACTTTTTTTTGAGACTTGCTCTGTCACCCAGGCTGGAGTACAATGGCGCGGTCTCGGCTCAGTGCAACTTCCGCCTCCTGGGTTCAAGTGATTCTCCTGCCTCAGCCTCTGGAGTAGCTGGGGTTACAGGCGCCTGCCACCATGCCTGGCTAATTTTTGTATTTTTAGTAGAGACAGGGTTTCACCATGTTGGCCAGGCTGGTCTCGAACTGCTGACCTCGTGATCCACCCGCCTCAGCCTCCCAAAGTGCTGGGATTACAGGCGTGAGCCACTGCGCCCGGCCATTTCTTCAAATTGTTTTTTATACCTCCCTTCTCCACGGACTCCAATTATACACGTATTTGGCTCCCAAAGTTGTCCCATAGTTCTCTAATGCCCAATTTCTCCTACCTTCTTCAGTCTTTTTCCTGTTTAAGTTGCTGTCTTCCAATTCTTTCATATCTTTTTCTGAGATGTCCAATCTGCTGTTAATCCCATTCAGCGTTTTTCATCAGATATTGCAGTTTTCATCTCTAGAGGTTCAACTTGGTGTTTTGTATCTTCCATGTTTTTCTCTCTAGCTTTCTGAACATATGGAATACAGTCATAATACCTGCTTTAATGTCCTTGTCTACTGATTGTCATTGTGCCATTCCTGGGTCAGTTTTGATGGACTAATTTTTCACTTCATTATGAGCTTATGTTCATGCTTCTTTGCATGCCTAGTATTTTTGTTTTTGTTTTTGTTTTTTTTGAGATGGAGTTTCGCTCTTGTTGCCCAGGCTGGAGTGCAATGGCATGTTCTTGGCTCACCACAACCTCCACCTCCCTGGTTCAAGCGATTCTCCTGCCTCAGCCTCCCAAGTAGCTGGGATTACAGGCATGTGTCACCACGCCTGGCTAATTTTTTTGTATTTTTAGTAGAGATGGGGTTTCTCCATGTGGGTCAAGCTGGTCTCAAACTCCTGACCTCAGGTGATCCGCCTGCCTCGGGCCTCCCAAAGTGCTGGGATTACAGGCGTGAGCCACCGCGCCTGGCTGCCTAGTGATTTATTAGATGCCAAGTATTGTATATTTTACTTTATTGGGTATATTTTTTGTATTCCTATATTCTTGAGCTTTGTTCTGGAACACAATTAAGTTACTTTGAAACAGTTGTGTTCCAGTTTGGTCTTGTTTTTAAGCTTTCTGAGTTGGGACCAGGGGTAGTTTTTATGTAGAGTTAATTTTTCTACTACTAGGGCATCTTAGTTCTCTTCCAATGCCACCTAGATTACAAGGTTTTCCACTGTGACTGTTGATAACAGGCACTATTTTCCACTCCAAACACTGTTCCCTCTAATTCTTTTGGGTGAGTTTCCTCACCGGCATGCACTATTAGTGTGTAACTAAATATCTGATGGAAACTCTCTGCAGATCTTAGTTCTCCTGCTGTGCAACTCTCTCCTCCAAGGCATTCTCCCCTGTGAACTCTAGTCATTTCGACTGCCCAACTGCACCTCAACTCCAGGAGACCGCCAGGTCCTGATGGGGTAACCCTTCCTAGAACCACGGACTCTCCGCAGATAGTAAGTACAGATAATTTTGTTTCCCCTCTCCAAAGGATCATTGTCTTTTATTGCTTAAAGTTCATTGTCTTTATATTTGTTAGGTACTTAAGAAGGAAAACTAACAGGACAGATAAGTTTTAGGAAATAACTACCTTACTCTAGCAAAATACCACACACAAAAAAAGGGGACCCACCCACACCAGACAACGTCACAGGCTGAAAACTTTCACCATCCAGCCTAACATGGCCTGCTCCCTATCCCACGGTGCCATTAGGGTGCTCCTCCTACTTCCAGCAGAAAGGCCTCAGCAGAGGTCCCGAGGACAGCGACAGGAGGAAACCTGGATCTCCATCCTCACCAGGCAGTAACGAGGCAGTGCCCCATCCCATACCAGCACCGTCAGAGGAAGCATGCTGAGAGATTTAAATAACTCCCAGAGCTTCATAACAGTGAAGATGACCAGGATACAGCCAAAGTCACTCATCATAACAAGAACTAGGACATTGTAAACTTGAATGAGAAAAAACCTCAAGGGATGTCAACACTAAGATGACACAGATGTTGAAACTTTATGACAATTTTTTTTTTTTTTTTGGAGACAAGGTCTCACTCTGCCACCCAGGCTGGAGTGGCATGAACAAGGCTCACTGCAGCCTCAACCTCCTGCAATCAAATGATCCTCCCACTTCAGCCTCCTATGTAGCTGGGACTACAGGCATACACCACCATGTGTGTCTAACTTTTAAATTTACTTTTACTTTTTGTAGAGATGAGGTCTCACTTTGTTGCCTAGGCTGATCTCAAACTCCTGGGCTGAAGCAATCCTCCTGCCTCACCTTCACAAAGTGCTGGGGTTATAGGCGTGAGCCACCACACCTACCTGATGACAAAGATTTTAAAGCAGCCACCATAAAAATGCTTCAGTGAGCAATTATAAACACTCTTGAAGCCATTTAAAGAAAAAAAAAGTCTCAGCAAATAGCCTCAGCAAATAAAGAGAAGACATAAAAAATAAACCAAATGGAAATTTTAACTGAAATATACAATGACAGTCAAAGTTAAAGTACTGCATGGATGGTTCAAGAGCAGAATGGAAAGGAAAGAGTAAATAACCAGTTATTCTGAAGATAAAACAATAGAAATTACCTAAACTGAGCAACACAGAGAAAACAGACTGGAAAAAAAATAAACAGCGCCTCAGGGACTCACGGGACAATAGTAAAAGATTCAACATTTTGGTCATCAGTGTCCCAGAAAGAGGATGTGGGTGGGGCAGAAAGAGTATGCAAAGAAATAAAAATATATATATTCCACAGAATGGGTAAAAACTTCTGTAAAGCATGTATGATAGGGGGGCTTATATCTAGAAACTATAAGGAACTCAATAATAATAAAAAATAACTTTTTAAATGGGCAAAGGCTCTGAATAGACATTTCTCCAAAAAACATATACAAATGGCCAATCAGCACATGAAAAGATGTTCAACATCATCAGCCATCAGGGAAATACAAGTCAAAATTGCAATGGTATACAATTAATATACCATTTAACATTCCCAATAGTAGCCTACAACTTCCATTTCCACTGTGGAAAACGGTTTGGAAGTTCCTCACGGTAGTCAAGTTACTTAACTGCTCTGTAAAATGAAGTTAATCACATTCACTTTGGATGAATGAGTTCATATATATTAGCTATAATTACTACAGCAATTATCATTGTGTACATTATTACTGATTGGGTCAAATTATTAACCCCGTCTCCCTAATTCATTTACTTTTGTTACTTTGGATGAATATTTAAAGTAGTCTTGAACTGAGATATGTATGTAAAGGTTCTATCACATTGGCATATAACATGTGCTCAACAAATGAAAGCTATAATTATTTATTTCCAAAGAGTTTAAAGATTAAACTTCCCTCAAAACAAACAAAAGGCAAGGTAACATCCCAAGCTGTGAGGGGCTGAGTCTCTCCTAGGTGCAGGGCAGCACAGGAACTGGCTGCACAAGGCCAGAGAGGTTACGTGGCGGCTCTCTTCAAATTAGACCACACAGAGCGCTTCATTCCCTGTGCAGTCTTCACATCTTCCCAGTCCAGTTTGACGTCTGGAACCTCATCTTCTGGCTCTGGATCCTTCCTCAAGGGCCCCCGGGGGGACGCAACCACAATGGGCAGAGGGCCACATTCCTCCCGGATTTCCACAACATGGAGGCCCTTCTTATCAGCCAGCTGTTGATGGGTTTCCTAAGCAAGACCAAATTCAGAACAGGTTAGGTCTGAAGTACATTTGCAACATAAAGAGCAGGAACTTCCACAGGCCACAACAGTACAGCCTGGGGGTATTCAAAGGCCATTTCAGTGGATTTGGGTTAATGTGTTTTGTGGCTAAACTCTAATAACCTGTCATGGGTGGAGTCATTTCAGCCTCATCTGCTGCATCTGCCCACCCCAAACTTGGATAGAGGAAGGGCCTTGGCCTCTGGTCTCTTGCCTTCTAAACCCTCCTGATTATGCACCATGCTGTGCCAAACACTGAACTTGAATCTCACCAACCCCCTAGATCTAACTACCAATTTACAGTAAATATAGGGGAGATAAGACACTAAGGACCCTACAGGTATTTTAGTCAGCAACAGGCCAGGAAGCACTACAAAACAAACAACCTGGTTTCCTCAACAAAAAATCATAAGCGGGGCGGGGGTGGGGGAAGAGGAGGGGAACCTATTTAAAAGGCATAGCAAAAACATACATTAACCTGTTCTGCAACCTGATTCAAACACATTGTGTAAAAAAAAAAAAAATTTTTTTTAATCTAACAAATGGAATTTGCTCATTTGTATGAACATTGATTGGATATTTGATGATACAAGTTACTGTTAACTTTTTAGGTATGATAATAGTATTACAGGGTATTTTTTAAAATCCTCATCTTTTCGAAGATACATACTAAAATATTTAGGGTTGAAATAAAATGTCTGAGATTTGGTTCAAAATAACTGGGGGTGTACTAAGAAGCAAGACTGGTCATGAGCTGGGTAACAGGGCCATGGGGATTCACTGCAGAGGGAAGCCACAGAGATCTGGAAGCAGGCAGATTAGTTCAGTAGACGTTATTCATGGTACAATGACATACCTGCTATGTCAATCCCGTGATCCCAGGCCTTATGGCTGCCTTGCACTATTCTAATTATATATCTAATGCCCTGCAGTATGTGTGAAATTAGAAAACAGATGAGCCATTTCATAAACAAAATAATTTATATTGGTGTATCTTTCAATCAAAGGCATATCACCTAAAGTGGTGGCATCTTTTCCTTTTTGAGTGACATATTAAATAATGCAACCTTTTATAGCTGATGGCATTTTAGGAGAGATGACATATGGTAACTATATCAGAAGGTTTAAAAGACTAAAAGAAAACAAAGATATCACATAAAAGAACAAGTCTAGGCTGGGCGCGGTGGCTCACGCCTGTAATCCCAGCACTTTGGGAGGCCAAGGCGGGTGGATCACGAGGTCAGGAGTTCAAGACCAGCCTGACCAACATGGTGAAACCCCATCTCTATTAAAAATACAAAAATTAGCCGGGCATGGTGGCACGTGCCTGTAGTCCCAGCTACTCAGGAGGCTGAGGCAGGAGAATCGCTTGAACCCGTGAGGCGGAGGTTGCAGTGAGCTGAGATGGAGCCACTGCACTCCAAGCCTTGGTGACAGAGCAAGACTCTGTCTCAAAAAGCAAAAACAAACAAACCAAAAACCAAAAACAGAACAAGTCTACTGGATCATAAATACAACCTATCTAAAATCAACATCTTAATTAAACCTCTAATGTTTCAATTTACAAGTGCTCTGAAGGGTGTTTTAGACAGTAACACACACAAAAGCTGTTCAGAAAACAGAAGGCTTTTACCCAAAGCCTTCTTTTTCTTTTAATTTTCCTACTTTAAACAGAGACATGTAAAATTACTCCATGGATCACTTTACCTAAAACCCACCACTGTACTCCTGAAATGTCAGGAAGCCTGCCAAAGTCCTCAGCTAACAGAGTTCAGCAAATGGAGCCTATTGAACCTGGTTGTCTTTTCTGTTCATCCACCTATGCTAAGGTCTACCCATCCTTTCAAGAGACAGGCCAGCCCTCCTGGGCAGGTAGGGGAGCTGCCCAAGAATGGGGGCCCGGTGCAGTCACAGCCCTGCCCTCCATGGTGGGTGATTGGGAGCCGGGCCCAGGGCTCCCACCTATGAGGAAAAGTAACCTGATATGTTAATGTTCATAGTTCCCTACCAACCCAGGCATCAGTCCGAACCACCTACACAGGTAACAGGGAACTGACTGTGCCTGCCCTGTGTGCAGAGGTGCCCTGGGTGCTTCATCCTAGCCCCAACTGAAAGGACTAAATTAGGAAATGAACTTTCTCTTTTGATTTTACTTTTCTATACTGTTGGAGCTTTAGAACAAGCAGGTGTTATTTTCATAATAACATGTAGATTGTAATTATTGGCTTTAAAAATGCTGCTTAGAAAAACCCATGAAGTACTTTTTAAAAGGTAATTTTCAGGCCGGGCGCGGTGGCTCACACCTGTAATCCCAGCACTTTGGGAGGCCGAGGCGGGCGGATCACGAGGTCAGGAGATCGAGACCATCCCGGCTAAAACGGTGAAACCCCGTCTCTACTAAAAATACAAAAAATTAGCCGGGCGTAGTGGCGGGCGCCTGTAGTCCCAGCTACTTGGGAGGCTGAGGCAGGAGAATGGCGTGAACCCGGGAGGCGGAGCTTGCAGTGAGCCGGGATCCCGCCACTGCACTCCAGCCTGGGTGACAGAGCGAGACTCCGTCTCAAAAAAAAAAAAAAAAAAAAAAAAGGTAATTTTCATGAACTTGTCAATGGATTTAACTAAACTGATGCAGTCACAGACAACAAAGAATGCCCAACTCCTCAGGTGGCCCCAGGAAAGCATCTCCAGGAGGCCCCAGGGCATCGTAGCCCCAACACACACAACTGAAATACAAACTAGAACCTCTGTTTCAGACCCCGGGAAAGGATTACCTGTCTGGAGAGCCCACGGAAGAGGCCCTGGGTGAGGCTGAGCATATTAATGGACCCAGAGACCTTGGCATACATGTCTTTGATGCCAATGAGCCGGCAGATGGTGATGATGGCCCTGTGGCAGCGGAGGCCGTAACCTAGAAAAGGAGAAACCGGGTGAAACACAGCCCACTCGCCTGCAGCCGGAGGAGTCACCCTGCTGGCTTTCGCATGGCTTCAGGCTCTGGGCTTCGGGAAACTGGTTCATATTCTGGTATCACCACTTCCTAGTGAGCTGACCCTTGACAACTTACTTAACTTCCAAGATGACACTTACTCAAACAGGATACTACAAGGATTAAGAAGATGACATCTACAAATATCTTGAACACATTTTGAGGGCAAAAAAACAGGATTGTTATTGAGATTAATAAACATGCATGAAAATTCTTGGCACCCCAGACTCATTTAACTAAGGATGGAGGGACACGTCTCTTCTCACCCTCCTTGATAGTTCCGTTGCCCTGAGCAGAGGGTCCACTTCCTCCTCCTGAAGAAGCTCCTCTTTTCGTTTTGGTAACACATCCTCTCCTGGATTTCCTCCTAGCTATTGGCCTGTCCTCTCCTCCTTGCTGGCCTCTAAATCTTGGGGGGTCTCCCCTCCAGCCACTGGCCCTACCCTTTTCTGCCTGTAATTCCTTCTCCAGAGAGCTTTAAAAACACAAACCAAACAAGTTGCTCCCCATTTAAAGATCCCTCCTTCCCACTGTTCTCGAGATTAATATAAAGAGCACCATGGCCTATTCAGAGCCTTCTGTGCCTGAGTCCTGCCCGCCCACCTCCCTGACCTCATCTAGAGACACGCCACCTCCTGCTGGCTTCCTCACCTTAAGGACTGCACTTGGGATTCCCTCTGCCTGGAATGTCCTCCCAGCTCTGCCCCCTTGGCTCCTTCTCACCTTCAAGGTCCCACTCAAATTGCTCCTCTTCAGACAGGCCTTCTGTGACCATGCTATTCAAGGTGGCATCCTTCCTTCTGCCTTCCTCCCTCCTACTCTAACACAGTACCCTGATTAGGGCACTCAACGAAACCTGTTTATCCAATGCTTCCCCTGAGTAGAAGATGGCTCCCATGAGGGCCAGGATATTGTTTACCGCGGTGTCCCCAGAGCCCAGAGCAGTACCTGGCAAATGCAGGTGGAGTGAGGGAGCTGCAGGGCCCAAGTTTGGCCTCTAACATTATTTGCCAGACATAAAACTCGGCACACACCTCTTCTGCTCCAAGGCAGAAAATCTACTCTGGAAGTTGGACATTAATGGCTTTCTAGTTTGACTTTTTATGGTCAAAAACTATTCCTTCTACTTGAAAGGGCCAATGAACTGTGGCCTCCATAATTATGCCAGAGCATGCAAGAACTTAAGGGGATAGCTAAAGACAGGTCACAATGGGGTCCTCTGTTCTTCCAGGTGGAGTTATGTACACACAGAACAGGTGCCGCCGACACGTGAACATAATGCACCCATGTCTGGATGAGCACTGGTGTGCACACACCTAGAGAGAGGTACACGTGGAAGGGGGTATCATGCAGATTCTGGAAGGAGCTGAGAGGCAGCCTCTACCCTGCCACTGCTCGCTGAATGACTGTGGCAAGAAGATCCCTCCCTACAACACCTACTTGGCAGTGCTGCTGATGAGCACTGAGATGTGTAATACACAGTACCTGGACCAGCACAGACACTGCATGAACACTGGCCACTGTGTGACACATACACAAACACCCACGTGACAGTGGTCATAGTCCGATGGTAATGATTTGACTACCTTCCAGGCACAGACTGTCAAAAAACACTTGTTTAATAAATATGGCAAAGTTTTGCAGTGCTGTGTGTGGAACTGAATACTGTTCTATAGCCGAAGTAGAAGTGTTCCATGGTTAAATACATTTGGGAACACCACACCCTCCATTTCTCTTGGGAGATTCATATTGCATGGCAGTGCATTAAAGATTGCAACATTCACAAAGATGCAAAAATACTTTTGGTGCCTTTCCTTAATCCAGTTCTGCCATCTGGCATCCTTTTTGGAGTAAAACCTTTTCTATCTCCTACAGAACTAGTAACACATAGGCACATCATTTAGGAAATGCCTATTTGTACACGTATGTACAAAATGTCTATAAATGTGTATGTATTCAGGAAACGTCTAAAAGTATTATATACTGTTTTAGCTTCAAAATCAGAATATTAACCCCGATACATAGGTAATGGTCTAGATCATACAAAAACCTGAAAAATACAGCTTTGATTAGAAGACAGGAAAGATTTTAAAAGGTAGGTTCTTCAATTAAATTAAAATTACAGCAGTCATTTGAATAGGATTCCGTTCCAAGATGGCCGAATAGTAACAGCTCCAGTCTGCAGCTCCCAGTGTGACTGACGCAGAAGACAGGTGATTTCTGCATTTCCAACTGAGGTACCTGGTTCATCTCACTGGGACTGGTTGGACAGTGGGTGCTGCCCATGGAGCAGGGCAGGGCATCGCCTCACCCGGGAAGCACAAGTGGTCCAGGGATTTCCCTTGCCTAGCCAAGGGAAGCTGTGACAGACTGTACCGGGAAAACCGGGACACTGCCACCTAAATACTGTGTCTTTCCAATGGTGGTAGCAAACGGCACACCAGGAGATTATATCCCAGGCATGGCTCAGCAGGTCCCACGCCCATGGAACCTTGCTCACTGCTAGCGCAGCAGTCCGAGATCAAACTGTGAGGCAGCAGCCCTGGCTAGGGGAGGGGTGTCCGCCATTGCTGAGGCTTGAGTAGGTAAACAAAGCGGCCAGGAAGCTCGAACTGGGTGGAGCCCACCGCAGCTCAATGAGGCCCACCTGCCTCTGTAGACTCCACCTCTGTGCACAGGGCATAGCTAAACAAAAGGCAGCAGAAACTTCTGCAGACTTAAACGTCCCTGTCTGACAGCTCTGAAGAGAGCAGTGGTTCTCCCAGCACAGTGTTTGAGCTCTGAGAATGGACAGACTGCCTCCTCAAGTGGGCCCCTGACCCCCGTGTAGCCTAACTGGGAGACACCTCCCACTAGGGACCGACCGACACCTCATACAGCCAGGTGTCCCTCTGAGACGTAGATTCCAGAGGAAGGATCAGGCAGTAATATTTGCTCTTCTGCAATATTTGCTGCTCTGCAGCCTCTACTGGTGATACCCAGGCAAACAGGGTCTGGAGTGGACCTCCTGCAAACTCCAACAGACCTGCAGCTGAGGGACCTGATTGTTAGAAGGAAAACTAACAAACAGAAAGGAATAGCATCAACATCAACAAAATGGACATCCACACCAAAACCCCATCTGTAGGTTACCATCATCAAAGACCAAAGGTAGATAAAACCACAAAGATGGGGAGAAACCAGAGCAGAAAACCTGAAAATTCTAAAAACCAGAGCGCCTCTTCTCCACCAAAGGATCCCAGCTCCTCGCCAGCAACAGAACAAAGCTGGATGGAGAATGACTTTGACAAGTTGGCAGAAGTAGACTTCAGAAGGTCGGTAATAACAAACTTCTCCAAGTTAAAGGAGAATGTTCAAACCCCATCACAAGGAAGCTAAAAATCTTGAAAAAAGATTAGACAAATGGCTAACTAGAATAAACAGTGTAGAGAGTACTTTAAATGACCTGATGGAGCTGAAAACCATGGCACGAGAACTACGTGATGCATGCATAAGCTTCAGTAGCCAATTCAATCAAGTGGAAGAAAGGGTATCAGTGATTGAAGATCAAATTAATGAAATGAAGCAATAAGAGAAGTTTAGAGAAAAAAGAGTAAAAAAACGAACAAAACCTCCAAGAAATATGGGACTATGTGAAAAGACCAAATCTACATTTGATTGGTGTACCTGGAAGTGACAGGGAGAATGGAACCAAGTTCGAAAACACTCTTCAGGATATCATCCAAGAGAACTTCCCCAACCTAGCAAGGCAGGCAAACATTTAAATTCAGGAAATACAGAGAACACCACAAAAATACTCCTTGAGAAGAGCAACCCCAAGACACATAATTATCAGATTCACCAAGGTTGAAATGAAGGAAAAAATATCAAGGGCAGCCAGAGAGAAAGGTCGGGTTATCCACAAAGGGAAGCCCATCAGACTAACAGCGGATCTCTCAGCAGAAATTCTATAAGCCAGAAGAGAGTGGGGGCCAATATTCAACATTCTTAAAAGAATTTTCAACCCAGAATTTCATATCCAGCCAAACTAAGCTTCATAAGTGAAGGAGAAATAAAATCCTTTACACACAAGCAAATACTGAGAGATTCTGTCACTACCAGGCCTGCCTTACAAGAACTCCTGAAGGAAGCACTCAACATGGAAAGGAACAACCGGTACCAGCCACTGCAAAAACATGCCAAATTGTAAAGACCATCGATGCTAGGAAGAAACTGCATCAACTAATGGGAAAAATAATCAGTTAACATCATAATGACTGGATCAAATTCACACATAACAATATTAACCTTAAATGTAAATGGGCTAAATGCCCCAATTAAAAGACATAGACTGGCAAATTGGATGAAGAGTCAAGACCCAGTGTGCTGTATTCAGGAGACCCATCTCACGTGCAGAGACACATATAGGCTCAAAATAAATGGATGGAGGAAGATCTACCAAGCAAATGGAAAGCAAAAAAACAGCAGAGGTTACAATCCTAGTCTCTGATAAAACAGACTTTAAACCAACAAAGATCAAAAGAGACAAAGAAGGCCATTACATAATGGTAAAGGCATCAATTCAACAAGAGCTAATTATCCTAAATATATATGCATCCAATACAGGAGCACCCAGATTCATAAAGCAAGTCCTTAGAGACCTACAAAGAGACTTTGACTCCCACACAATAATAATGGGAGACTTTAACACCCCACTGTCCATATTAGACAGATCAATGACACAGAAGGTTAACAAGGATATCCAGGAAGCAGACCTAATAGACATCTACAGAACTCTCCACTCCAAATCAACAGAACATACATTCTTCTCAGCACCACATCGCACTTATTCCAAAGTTGACCACGTAGTTGGAAGTAAAGCACTCCTCAGCAAATGTAAGAGAACAGAAATCACAACTAACTGTCTGTCAGACCACAGTGCAATCAAACTAGAACTCAGGATTAAGAAACTCACTCAAAACCGCTCAACTACATGGAAACTGAACAACCTGCTCCTGAATGACTACTGGGTAAATAACAAAATAAAGGCAGAAATAAAGATGTTCTTTGAAACCAATGAGAACAAAGACACAACGTACCAGAATCTCTGGGACACATTTAAAGCAGTGTGTAGAGGGAAATTTATAGCACTAAATGCCCACAAGAGAAAGCAGGAAAGATCTAAAATCGACACCCTAACATCATAATTAAAAGAACTAGAGAAGGAAGAGCAAACAAATTAAAAAGCTAGCAGAAGGCAAGAAATAACTAAGATCAGAGCAGCACTGAAGGAAACAGACACACAAAAAAAACCTTCAAAAAAATCAATGAATCCAGCAGCTCATTTTTTGAAAAGATCAACAAAATTGATAGACTGCTAGCAAGACTAAGAAGAGAGAAGAATCAAACAGATGCAATAAAAAATCACCACCAATCCCACAGAAATACAAACTACCATCAGAGAATACTATAAACACCTCTACACAAATAAACTAGAAAATCTAGAAGAAATGAATAAATTCCTCGACACATACACCCTCCCCAGACTAAACCAGGAAGAAGTTGAATCGCTGAATAGACCAACAACAGGCTCTGAAATTGAGGCAATAATTAATAGCCTACCAACCAAAAAAAGTCCAGGACCAGACAGATTCATAGCCAAATTCTACCAGAGGTACAAAGAGGAGCTGGTACCATTCCTTCTGAAACTATTCCAATCAATAGAAAAAGAGGGAATCCTCCCTAACTCATTTTATGAGGCCAGCATCATCCTGATACTAAAGCCTGGCAGAGACACAACCAAAAACAAAGAGAATTTTAGACCAATATCCCTGATGAATATCGATGCAAAAATCCTCAATAAAATACTGGCAAACCAAATCCAGCAGCACATCAAAAAGCTTATCCACCACGATCAAGCCAGCTTTATTCCTGGGATGCAAGGCTGGTTCAACATATGCAAATCAATAAACATACTCCATCACATAAACAGAACCAAATGTCAAAACCACATGATTATCTCAATAGATGCAGAAAAGGCCTTCAACAAAATTCAACAGCCCTTCATGCTAAAAACTCTCAATACACTAGGTATTGATGGAACGCATCTCAAAATAATAAGAGCTATTTATGACAAACCCACAGCCAATATCATACTGAATGGGCAAAAACTGGAAGCATTCCCTTTGAAAACTGGCACAAGACAGGGAAGCCCTCTCTCACCACTCCTATTCAACATACTGTTGGAAGTTCTGGCCAGGGCAACCACGCAAGAGAAAGAAATAAAGGGTATTCAATTAGGAAAAGAGGAAGTCAAATTGTCCCTGTTTGCAGATAACATGATTGTGTATTTAGAAAACCCCATCGTCTCAGCCCAAAATCTCCTTAAGCTGATAAGTAACTTCAGCAAAGTCTCAGGATACAAAATCAATGTGCAAAAATCACAAGCATTCTTATACACCAATAACAGACCAACAGACAGCCAAATCATGAGTGAACTCCCACTCACAATTGCTACAAAGAGAATAAAATACCTAGGAATCCAACTTACAAAAGATGTGAAGGACCTCTTCAAGGAGAACTGCAAATCACTGCTCAATGAAATAAAAGAGGACACAAACAAATGGAAGAACATTCCATGCTCATGGATAGGAAGAATCAGTATCGTGAAAATGGCCATGCTGCCCAAGGTAATTTACAGATTCAATGCCATCCCCATCAAGCTACCAATGACTTTCTTCACAGAATTGGAAAACACTACTTTAAAGTGCATATGGAGCATATGGAACCAAAAAAGAGCCCGCATTGCCAAGACAATCCTAAGCCAAAAGAACAAAGCTGGAGGCATCATGCTACCTGACTTCAAACTATACTACAAGGCTACAGTAACCAAAACAGCATGGTACTGGTACCAAAACAGAGATATAGACCAATGGAATCGAACAGAGGCCTCAGAAACAACACCACACATCTACAACCATCTGATCTTTGACAAACCTGACAAAAACAAGAAATGGGGAAAGGATTCCCTATTTAATAAATGGTACTGGGAAAACTGGCTAGCCATATGTAGAAAGTGAAACTGGATCCCTTCCTTACACCTTATACAAAAATTAATTCAAGATGGATTAAAGACTTAAATGTTAGACCTAAAACCATAAAAACCCTAGAAGAAAACCAAGGCAATACCATTCAGGTCATAGGCATGGGCAAGGACTTCATGACTAAAACACCAAAAGCAATGGCAACAAAAGCCAAAATTGACAAATGGGATCTAATTAAACTAAAGAGCTTCTGCATGGCAAAAGAAACTACCATCAGAGTGAACAGGCAACCTACCGAATGGGAGAAAATTTTTATAATCTACCCATCTGACAAAAGGCTAATATCCAGCATCTACAAAGAACTCAAACAAATTTACAAGAAAAAATCAAACTACCCCATCAAAAAGTGGGCAAAGGATATGAACAGACACTTTTCAAAAGAAGACATTTATGCAGCCAACAGACACATGAAAAAATGCTCATCATCACTGGTTTTGCAAATCAAAATCACAATGAGATACCATCTCACACCAGTTAGAATGGCAATCATTAAAAAGTCAGGAAACAACAGGTGCTGGAGAGGATGTAAAGAAACAGGAAGGCTTTTACACTGTTGGTGGGGCTGTAAACTAGTTCGACCATTGTGGAAGATAGTGTGGCGATTCCTCAGGGATCTAGAACTAGAAATACCATTTGACCCAGCCATCCCATTACTGGGTATATACCCAAAGCATTATAAATCATGCTACTATAAAGACACATGCACACATATGTTTATTGCGGCACTATTCACAATAGCAAAGACTTGGAATCAACCCAAATGTCCATCAATGATAGACTGGATTAAGAAAATGTGGTACATATATACCACTGAATACTATGCAGCCATAAAAAAGGATGAGTTTCATGTCCTTCGTAGGGACATGAAGCTGGAAACCATCATTCCGAGCAAACTATCTCAAGGACAGAAAACCAAACACCGCATGTTCTCACTCATAGGTGGGAACTGAACAATGAGAACACTTGGACACAGGGTGGGGAACATCACACACTGGGGCCTGTGGTGGGTTGGGGGCAGTGGGGGAGGGATAGCATTAGGAGATATACCTAATGTAAATGACGAGTTAATGGGTTCAGCAAACCAGCGTGACACATGGATACCTATGTAACAAACCTGCACATTGTGCACATGTACCCTAGAACTTAAAGTATAATTTAAAAAGAAAGAAAGAAAACATGAATATAATACATAAACATATGGGGACCTTGCCAGAGAAATAAAAATTATTATTATTATTATTTTTTTTTTTTTTTTGAGACTAGTCTTGCTCTTTTACCCAAGCTGGACTGCAGTGGTGATATCTCGGCTCACTGCAAGTTCCACCTCCCAGGTTCACCCCATTCTCCTGCCTCAGCCTCCCGAGTAGCTGGGACTACAGGCGCCTGCCACTGCGCCCAGCTAATTTTTTGTATTTTTAGTAGAGATGGGGTTTCACCATGTCAGCCAAGATGGTCTCAATCTCCGGACCTCGTGATCCGACCACCTCAGCCTCTCAAAGTGCTGGTATTACAGGCGTGAGCCACCGTGCCCGGCCAAAAATTATTTTTAAAATTAAAAAAAAAAAAAGTTGTAGCAGTCATTCAAACATCATTGAGATATAAATGTATCTAAACTATGCTGCCCAACATAAACATGATCCAAGTCGTAAGCAGAAGCCATATATATAATTTCAAATGTTCTCATAGATGCATTTTGAAAAGTTTTTTTTAAAAAGTTTATTTAGAGATGTGTTTTATTAACCCAATATGTCCAAACATTATCATTTAAAATGTAATCAATACAATAATATTTTTGAGATATTTTATATTCTTTTTTTGTACTAGGTCTTTGAATCCTGGTGTGTATTTGATAATTAGAGCACATCTCAATAGCCACATATTACGTGCTCAATAGCCAGGCCCGCTAGTGACTAGTGGCTGCTGTATGGGACAGCACAGATCTAAACCTTGAAGTCCACTCAACACCTTTTCTAAAGACAAAACACATGGTTTTTATCCAGCATTTAAATGATTAATTATGGCTTTAAAGCAGAAGGCAAGTTCTAGTGCATTAACACAACTGATTCTGTATTTGAGGGTTTTTTCCTGATTTATTTCCAAGCCATGGCTCTAGCAACGTTGTATTAGAAGCTTTGATATGAAATTTTAAATATAATGTTTCATCTCTTCTGACTCACACTTTTTGAGACTTATATACCAAAAGTTATATAAAATCATTTTTTACTGTAGAACTACAGGTGAAATGCAAATCAGCAGGTTCAAGAATCCTACACTCAGAGACCACTAGGCATGACTGCCCTAGCCCATGACCCTGAACTCTGCCTGCCTGCCTGCTTGTCCACAAAACAGGAAAGACCATCTCTGCATCATCCCTAGTGCTTAGCATAGCACCCAGCTCACAGAAGGCATTCAATCAGAATTTGATGAGCACTAAACACCTGGACCTGAGTCAGAACTGAAACACCTAAATGCATCAATGAATTCCCTATGAGGAACTAATGTTCCCACTCCTCCAAACCCTACTACTCACTCAGGTGCTATTTCCCGTTTCCAATGTGCTCTCCCCACCGTAAATTATTCCTGGAACAGGCCTGTGCTCACAGTAGCCTGTGTGCCTTGACTATTCTTATTTCTCCAAGAGCCTCATCGTTCTTAAATCTAACATAAGCCTTTTACATTTTGGTGTTTCCAAGATGAGTTCAACTAAAGATGAACAAAAATAGAGGAGAGGATAGAACTGTTATAATTTCTCTGCTTTATCATCAACAAATGGTAAGAGTTTTAAAGTTACCTTTGGGTTGTTTCTTCATCTTGATATGCGTCCTTTTAAATCTTAATGAAATATCATGGAATACTGGAGGGTAAAAACATAAACACAAGAGGATTAGGTGTGTGGCTTTAATAAGCCTTTGCAAATATCACAAAGCAATGTATACTAGCCTCAACAGCCAGCACATATTGACCAAAGATAAATGGTAAGCTCTGATTTCATTCATTTTAGTAACCTTCTTAGGAGATTTGTTTTCACACTTCATATATTTGTAAGAATGTAATAAGAGAGAAACACAAAGATACCTATAGAGATACATTGTCACACAGACTTTAACAAATGTAATCCTGCAAATTAAAAAAAAAAAAATAGATTATCACTCACTTGTATGGTCTTCATATCGTTCTATATAATGCAAATGGTGAACTGCTCTGTTCTTTGCCTGAAAGGAAAATGTTTTTCTTAACTCTATTGTTGAAATTTACATCTTTTCAAGGATTCCAAAAACACTTTTAATAAAAATGTTTCATTATCAAAAATTCACTTACGCAAAAAGGTTAGTATATACTTCTAAAATATAAGGACTTATTTTTTAAAACTCTTAACTACAATATCACTATCACCCCTAAAAAAATTAACAATAATTCCTGGCTAGGCATGGTGGCTCACATCTACAATCCCAGCACTTTGGGAGGCCGAGGCAGGCCAATCACTTGAGATCAGGAGTTCGAGACCAGTCTGACCAACATGGAGAAACCACATCTCTACCAAAAATACAAAAGTTAGCCGGGTGTGGTGGTGGGCACCTGTAATCCCAGCTACTTGGGAGGCGGAGGCAGGAGAATCACTTGAATTCAGGAGGCGGAGGTTGCAGTGAGCCGAGATCGTGCCACTGCACTCCAGCCTGGGTGACAAGAGTGAGACAACGTCTCAAAAAAAAAAAAAAAAAGTAACAATTCCTTAGTATCTTCAAACATTCTGTCAGTGTTCAAACTTCCACAATTGTCTCATAACTTGGCTAGACAATTACAAATCTGATAAAAAATGGTGCAAAGGAATATAAGTACTTCTGAAACTGATTTTTATGAGCTAATTAACCCTTGACAGCAAGCCTCATGGGAAGGTTCTGGGACAAATTATTATTGTTTTGTGGTTCCCACTGTGTCTGGCATATAACTTACTAATCTTTTACTGAGTGTCAACAAAGAAAAAAAATGTACATACTTTCCTGAAAGCATCCATCCGATCAGTAGCTTTCCCAATAGAAAAACCTTTAAACAAAAAAGCAAAAATAAGAAAAGAGACAGAAATTTTGCCCATGTGGTTTTTGCCACATTTCAAGTTTCTGCTCCTACAATATTTCACAGCACTTCATCTTTCCACCACCCACAAAAGACTTGCTATACAAAACCATTAATAGGCTGGGTGTAATGATTCACATCCGTAATCTCAGCACTTTAGGAGGCTGAGGTGGGAGGATCGCTTGAGCCCAGGAGTTTGAGACCAGCCTGAACAACACAGCAAGACTCTGTCTCTATTAAGAACAAAATTTAAAAAATTAGCCAGGCATGCTGGTGCATGACTGTGGTCCCAACTACTCAGGAGGCTGAGATGGGAGGATTACTTGAGTTTAGGAGTTTGAGGGTACAGTGAGCTATGACTGTGCCACTGCACTCCAGATAGAGCAAGACCCTGTCTCAAAACAAAAAAAAAAAACCTAACAATAACAAAGCACGAGGCTACAGAGATCTGTTTTGAAGCATTCTGGAAATAACAAATTTAGATGTATTTATAAAATCCAAGGTTAGATGCTGCCTTTTAAAAATATCTAGATAAAATACACTCAATTTAAAAAAAACTAAATATGCTTTAAATGAATTAGGCAAATCACTTTGAACATTTAAAGATAGATTAAAATAATCAGAAAGGGGCCAGGTGCAGTGGCTCACGCCTATAATCCCAGCACTTTGGGAGGCCAAGATGGACAGATTGCTTGAGCTCGAGTTCAAGATGAGCCCGGGCAACATAGTGAGAATCCATCTCTACAAAAAATATAAAAATTAGCCAGGCATAGTGGTAGGTGCCTGTAATCCTTGCTACTCAAGAGGCTGAGGTGGCAGGATCACTTGAGCTCAGAGAGTTGAGACTGCAGTAAGCCTTGATGGTGCAACTACACTCCATCCCAGGTGACAGAGCAAGACCCTGTCTCAGGAAGGAAAAAAATATCAGAAAGGTTGGGAAAAAACATCCACTGCTATAGAGTAAAACCATGATTTCAATGGAACTTCAAATGGAATTCAGATTTTAATTAGCCAGGAAACCAAATCAATGACTCTTTAGTTTATGAACACTTCACTATGAAATACAGTTTACCAGCAGTTACAGAGATACTGCCATTATCTGCTGCCACTGTATTTTGTTTTGAACAACGTATTTTGTTTTTAAATTATACATGGGAAAATAACATAAAACAATACTGCTCTATAAGATACAAGGGACCTCTGAGACCTGGGACAAAAGAGGATGTGAATGCCAATTCCTAGTTTAAACAAAACAAATTAAACCATGGAAGTCCTAGAGGAAAATATGGGGAAACTTACTAACATTTACAATCTTCAAATGAGGCTTTCTAAGCAAGACACAAACCCGAAGTGATAACTAATATTTATAACCCTGTAGTGATATAAGACTGATAAATTTGCCACAGAGCTTAAAACTTCTGTGTGGAAAAAAATTAAAACCTAAGTCAAAATATCTGACTAAGGGCTAATGTCCTTAACTTACAAAGAGCTTATACCATTCAATAAGAAAAATAATAACCACCCAACAGAAAAACGGGCAAAGCATATAACGAACAGATCTCAAAAAGGAAATAACAACAGCCAATAAACATGTAAAATGGTGTTCAAGCTCTCATAATTTAAAAAATGCAAATCAAAACTGAGAGATTTGTTTCACAGATCATACTGACAATCAGTAAGGTCTGATGAAACCCGAAGTTGGCAAGGGTGAGATGGTGTAGAGAAACACAGACATTGATGCAACCTTTTGTGGGGAGGCAATCTAGGAATATTTATCAGCACTTAAAATACATATAACCTTGGGGCAGCAATTTTACTGCAAGAAGTTTCCCCTATTGATATACTTGCAGAAGTAAAACAAATTACACATAAACGAACTGTACAGTTTTTTATAATTAGTAAAAATTTGGAAACAACTTAAATATTCAGCAGTAGGGAAAAGGTTACAAAAATTATCCATGCACAATGGAACACTTTGCAACCAGTACAACGAATCAAGGAGAATGTTTATGTTAATCTGAGTATTAATATCTCTGAATATAATACTATGTCAGAAAATCAAGGTGCAAAATTATGGCTATAATGTGATCCCTTTATGTAAATTTTTTAAAGATGTATGATAATAATATGAACATAAAATTTAGGAAAATTACAAAAGTAGCTGTTAGGCCTGGTTTCCTTTGGCCACATACTATATATATATGTATTACTTTTGTTAAATGTCAGTATGGGCTAACTAGGCCATTTTCCTGTGTTCTTTTCCTTCAACAGACATGAATACATTTCAAAAACAGGTGTCCACTATGTTAACTATACATAGGAGAAAATTTAAATCATCAGCAAACCTACTAATTGGAGTAAACACTATTAACCTTTACAGTGTACAGTTTTCCAGTCTTTTCTTGGCACATAAATATACTTTTAAAAAAGAAAAAAACAAAACTAGGATTTTATATGGTCTTATATAACGTTTTTGTGTTTTTTTTTTTAACTTAGCATTATTTTAAAACTAATTTCCCATAATTCTTTAATGGATACAGAATATTACAGTGTATGGCTACACTGTTTTTATAACCATGGCCCTATTGAACATTTAGTTTTTCTCCCTAATTTTCCACTATTATACATAATAAAATAATGTCTTCAGCCTTTTATAATATTCCTTTTCCTCAGAGGAAAAGGCAAGTACAGTAGAATCTATTCTCTCTTTTCTCTCTAAGGGAAGTCATGGACTTACCACAAGCTTTGTGAACCCAAACCACTAAAAGGTTTAATCAATGGAAAAAGTCCGGCCAGCAGCATGAGCCCATGGGCTCCACAGCATGGCCCGTGCCACGCCTTTCCCTGCACACCACCGCCACTGTGATGCCATCACTCCCCATTCACCTGCAGCTCCTTTTCCGTTCCCCACAGCCACCAAGACACGGATCGATTTCTTTCTTCCCTCTTTCGCAGTCATAGTGAAAACGTTTCTTACCTAAAAGGCAAAATGTCTCATAAATATTGCACATTAAGAAAATCTGAAGGAGGGAACTGGAGGGAGCCGCCTTCCTTGCAGGCATACACGGTGAACAGGCACACACAGAGAACAGGCACACCATCCTCCAACTCCTGAGCACAAGTAACAGCCTTTTTCCAAACAAAACCTCCTCCTGGACTGTTTCAGGGAGAAAACAGAAATGAGACTTTCTCTTCATTTCACAGGCTTATGATAACTGAGAAAACCTTTAAAGGAATTTGACATTATACATCTCGATATACCCTATCTTAATGAATGTATTACAAGAAAGAAAAAAGTTGCTGATCAAACTTTGATGTAATTTATCACTGATTATAAGATGTAGCCCAATGTCAGAGATGTTAAAATGTGAGGAAAATGTACACCTCAGAAATTATGATATGCAGTATATAGACATAACCAGCACAGGACTGGCCTCTACGCTAAGGATTAACATATTTGGAAATACCTGCTTATTCTGTGTATTTTTTTCTGTGTATTTAAAAGGCCAGGAACAGCCGGGCACAGTGGCTCATGCCTGTAATCCCAGCACTTCGGGAGGCCGACGCAGACGGATCACGAGGTCAGGAGATCCGAGATCATCCTGGCTAACACAGTGAAACCCCGTCTCAACTAAAAATACAAAAAATTAGCCGGGTGTGGTGGCAGGCACCTGTAGTCCCAGCTACTCGGGAGGCTGAGGCAGGAGAATGGCGTCAACCCGGGAGGTGGAGCTTGCAGTGAGCCGATACCACTGTACTCCAGACTGGCAACACAGCAAGACTCCACCTCAGAAAAAAAAAAAAGGCCAGGAACTATTAAACTGTTAACTAAACTGCTTACGTGGCAGCTGGCTCTCTGGTGCATAGCTGTCTCTTCCCCATAAAATGGGGTTAAAAGAAAAGGGAGCTTGAATCCACCTCTGTGGATCTTATAGAAAATCACCCACATATATACAAATTCTTCAAAGAGATTAACTTCTAAAAGCTGTAAGTGGGAATACCAAAGACATAATATGTGTAAACATTTTAAATCCTACAGTGCAATTGATATTGAGGAAACAATACATACATTCAGAGGCTCAATCACAAACTCAATAAATGGTTATTCCACATGGTATTTAACACTGAGCATTCAGTGCCAGCTCAAAGGGAAGTTGGCTATTTTAGAGAATGCTCCGCAAAGTGACTATAGTTTACCTGATACAGACTTTAGTTTCAAGGGCCTGTGAGCAACCCAGAGACCATTTCCCCATCAAGAACCAGACAGGCACCACAACTCTTAAGCTTTCTACCCTGCCCAGGGCTCCCTGCAATCCCAGATCCCTGCATAGACTGCTAGATACAGCTGGTTTATAATTCAAACATAGACTCCCAATGCTACTTTAGGAAGGAGATAATTTAAATCTCATCTCCAAATCCTGTAGTTAACAATACCACCTTATGAGACCTCAGTGGTAGCTCCCCGCCCCACAGAGAGGGTAGTAGTCAGAAGAGCCAGTATCCAGTAACTGAAATTAAAGTTGCACAATTTTCCTTACGCAGATCAGCTGTGTGTCAGAAATAGTCATGCATCCAAGGCCTTCCCTTACAGTTCCTCTTGCCCTGTCCCTGCCCCACCCACCCCAACCTCTCCAAAGGCTTAACCAGGTATTTAATTCTGCATGCCTACCTCAAGTATCCTGGTATCAAAATCCTCATATGTTTCTGTAGGGAGAAAAGAAACAGGGATACAGATGAAATGTGTGTACACAATTAACATGAAAGCATTTTCAACACAGGCACCATCACAGACCTTTCGGGGAGAAAGAATCTCAGATCTTTTGGTCCCACTCTCAAGGCCATGCCCCAGTCACCCCTCATCACTAGAGACTGCTCCACCAGTTAAGTTCATAAACTCAGTCACTGATCTCCCCACCTGCACCCTCCTCCCCATCCATCTCTCATCAGCTCCTGGCCCCTCCAGACCCTGGATCCCTGCTCTCCCTTCTGCTTCCCTCCCTCTCACGGCCTCTCCCCCTAGGCCAAGACACCACAGTCCATCATTTCCACGAAACTTTGTGATGCCCTCAACCCCTTCACCCTTTGCTCTCTCCACCATACTAGCCAGGCCTGAATCCATGCAGCTCTCTGGCCACTCCTGACCTGCTGGGTGCTGCTGGAAAGAAGTCAAAGTATGCATACACAGGGCCCACTAAAAATCCATGAGCCCCAATTCCGTCAAGTCCTCCCTGCTGCCAGCTGGCCTTTATGTCCTTTCGGTTAGGTCTCTCTCAGTTCACCACTGCAGCCATTTCAAAGACTCCCTACGTTCTTTTATTTTCAAAATATTTTTATCACAGACAATTTCAATCAAACAAAAATAGAACAGCAGAAAGCTTATGTATACATTAGTCAGCTTCAACACGCATCAACTTACAGCCAATCTTTCCTCTAAACTCTGCTCAACTCTCACTACATTGGATAATTTGAAGCCAGTTTCAGATACTCTACCTTTTCGTAAAGAAATAATCTGGAGGCCATAATCATCAATGTCCCCATCTCACTCTCCGCAGATGATTCCACCTCTTCCTTACAGACCAACTGCGGCCACATCACACAACACCCCCACCTACCTTTCCACTACAACCCCACAGGCTCACCTGATTCTGTGCCCTGCCCTTCCTTCTGTGAGCAAGTGAAGCCACTTCACACTCTGAATCTGGGCTGTCATTAGGGACTTGGTTCATGGATTTTGTTCTCTCCCTTCCATACCTTCATCCTCCTGACTGAAGCATTTTGATCAGTTCTAAGCATGTTCTTTGGAATCTCTCCCCTCCAGTTTCAACCTCTTCCCTCCTCTTTAAGCCAAACTTCTTAAGAAAGCAGCGAAACTCTTACCTATTTCCTCTTCTCCCACTCATTGACAAGAACACATCTCTTGGATGATTTTTACTGCTTTACATACTCACGGAGGGCTGGGGGAAACTTTGTTTTCAAATTTGGCCTAAGTATTTTCAATTTTTGCTTCATTTGTGTTTTTATAGGGTTAACATGACAACTATCTGCTTTGCTGATTTCTAGTACAGAAACAGCATTCCCAAGCCATGCTGCTCCACAGGTGTCCCTGTGGCCACCTGTGTTTTGGAAACAGTGTATCCTATAGGCAGCTCCTGTAGGTCCACAGTGCACATCCCCACGTTTAAGGATCTGAGAAGGTACATGATAAATACCAGGAACCCAGTGCTTTCTATCCTGTTAGTGGAATACTTCTGCACTCCACAAAATACAGTTGGGATATTGATGTGATATGTTATTTCAAAGATGTTCAAATCTTTTTTGGAAAAAGGTAGTATAAACAGACAAGTAATAACACCATTTCAAGGAAATTCTAAACTACAAGTACTCTCTGTCACAAAGGCAAACAAAACCAGGAGTTTGCTACCTCCACAGGGACCAGGGTCAGGGGGGCCAAGACTGATGCCTCCCCATGAGTTTCCACTCCATCCTCGCTCCCGTTTAACCTTCATCTTCTTCTTTCGGTCCCACTCTTCTCTCTGCTGGATCATGTCTGCCTCCACCTTCTCCTGCTCTTCCTTGCTTCTTTGGGCAATGGTCTGCACTGCTCCATTTTTCATAAGAGGGACATTCAGTCCGGGCCATAGAAAACCATAACGCCCTGAAGGTTTAAAAATATAAATAATAATTTTGTTAAAGTACTCATTTTTCAAGTGTTAAAATGTCAGGCAATGCATGTACAGATAATGATGACACACTGTTCACTGGAGCTTAAGCTAACATTATTAACTTGGTAGGTCACTTGGCACAATCAAAATTTTAAATATACTTCATGGTATTACCTAGAGAAACACTCACATACAGGTACAAGGCATATGGATGCTTGGACAAGGACGTCCACTGAAACATTATTTGCAAAGGCAAGAAATGCAACTAATACAAATGTCCAGCAATTATGGACTGGTTAAATGAACCACAGCGTCTCCAGCATAGGAAACACTCTGCACTAAATCAAAAGAACAAGGTAACTCTCTAGGTTCTGATGTGGAATGATTTCCAAGACCTATTATTGAGTGAAAAAAGTAAACTGTAAGACAGCATGTACCATGTGATATAATCTAAATTTTTTTTAAAAAAGAAGATATCTATTTCTTTTTAGCTATTTATATATAAATTAATAACAATTTAATACATAATACCTTTTGTATTCATCTTTTTAGGTATTTATGTATAAATACCTAAAATTTAATACATAAATACCTTTTTAGGCATTTATGTATTAAAAAACTGAAGGAAACACACCAATATGAGGCCAGTGGTTTCCTTGAGGGAGACAATAGGATTGAAGAAGGTAGAAGAAGCATCCAGGGGGACTTCAAGTTTCTCTATAATCTACATTTTTTACTGAGAAAGTATAAATACATGATTCTTATAATTTAAAAAAAAAGTGTTAAAAAAATAAGATATAAGTAATAAAGAAAAATATCCAAGTAGACATGCGATGCTGGAAGTGTGGTGCCAGGTGTTTTCTTTATCCCTGAAGGCCATTACTATCAAAGATGGTTTGTCAGCAAGCACAGTACAAGACGGGCTGATTGAAGTACACTACACTATTTTTACTCTTCCAAAAGCATGAGTATAAACAATCACGTGTTCTGGGTGTCAACAAACTAAGGCCCACAGGCCAACTCAGTTCGTGACTTGTTTTTGTAAATGAAATTGTACTGGAACATAACGATGCCTATTCGACTGTGTGTTATCTGTGGCTGTTTCTGTGCTACAACAGTAGAGTTGAGCAGTTGCAAAACAGACTATGTAACTCACAATGCCAGAAACATTTACTATCTTCCCTTTGCAGGGAATATTCGCCAACTCTCCATTTAGTCTCTATTTTATCACTAATTATAACCTATTTGAGGGCAGGCACTATTATAGGAGATGACACCTAGGGACATTTAATGCTTGCTGAATGAATAAATCCATTTCTATGGGATTTTCCTCCCCCAGAATCCTGGGGCAATGAGTAAGTCAACTGGTTGAATTCTAAAACCATAGATCGTAGTGCCCTTCATAAGAAATGTTTTGATGCTTCTAGTTTGTAAAATATCTATAAAATCTGGGGTAAGAAACTTACAAAGCACTTTAGCTATTTTTATAAATAAGTTTACCTTCACCAATGATCTGACCCCTGTTCAGATCCTTTCTTTTCTTCTTTTTAGTTCTTTTGCCTCTTCCTTTTTTTGCTCCAGCACCAGTCTCTGCTAAAGCGCCTTTCCACAGCTCATCTGCAGTCACTGTAACGAAACAGGGTTTCTTTTCTTAATTCTGTAGTTTTCAAGCAATGGTCTATGATCTCCTATTGAATAATAAGAGAAGTGGAGGTCAGCTTACAGCTTTACCCATGCATCACTGAGGTAATGAAAGCAAAATTAAATCATCCTTTGCACACATCAGACGGTTACACTTGGAAAGCCCAAGAAGAGACAATTCTATTACTTTCCTCCACAAAACTCTCACTAAATATTTTATTTTTCCCTCTAACTGCTTAAAAGCCAGCATTCAAATCTCAGTTACTTACCAATAGGTTCGTTTCCCTGACATTTTATCAACCATGATATAGGCGTCTTCCCTGTCCTCTTGCCTCCATTATAACCACTAAGATAACTAATAACTATCCTTCCTAAGTATAAGTTTTCTAGTCCAAACAAGAATCAACATTTCAATCTGAACCCACAAATCTGGAACACAATCTATGGTTATAAAATCAACTGTTGGCCAGGTACAGTGGCTCATTCCTGTAATCCCAGAACTGTGGGAGACTGAGGCAGGAGGATCACTTGAGGCCAGAGTTGGAGGCCAGACTGGACAACATAGTGAGATCCCATCTCTATTAAAACTTCAAATATTAGCCAGGTGTGATGGCATGTGCCCATGGTCCCAGCTACTGGGGAGGCTGAGGTGGGAGGGTCACTTGACCCCAGGAGTTTGAGATTACTATAATCATGCCACTGCACTCCAGCCTTGGGGACAGAGTGAGACCCTGCCTTCAAAAAAATAATTGTTCCATTACCAATTTCTTTAATAAAGAATCGGAACCACAAAATGTTATAACAGTAAAAAATCTAAGACATATTTATATCTATATAACTGAAATACTAAACAAATTCTAGAAGATAAATGAGTACCTTCATTCTCTTATGAATGCTTAGAGTTTAAAACTTCTACCTACTTGCTTCCTGCAAGGTCTTACGCTGATCCTCCAGGTAGATAACACGAAAAGAGAAAAATGTTTTAGGGTTATAATACTTTTAAATGCTTTATATCTGTATAGCATCCAATTTTTCAAAAACACACACATATACACAGCTGGTCTTCGTAAGTGAGGCTCAGGGAAAGTGAGATTCCACATCACATGTTGTTTTGGACATCCCTGACCAGAACAAAGGATTCGGCTCAACTTTAAGCCAACTCTAATTCACTTTAAAAGACCACAGGCTCAAAATAAAAGTACCAACCTCCAACCAAACTCTCACTAAGGATTTGATTTTTCTCTCTAAGTGCTAAAAAATGGTGGTACCTATAAATGCCATGGAAAACTTGAAAGTTCACTTGTAATGGAGGCATACTAAGAGGCCAATCAATCACAGAGTTTTCTTTCACTTAGAATCAGAACCCTTAAATCACTCATTAAGATGAAAAGAGACTCAATTTTAAAAAGAACTTGACATTGAGACAAAAATGTAAAAAGACTGAATTAAGAGTTTAGCTCTTTTATATATATATAGTAAGAGGAAAATAAAATATCTAACTATATTTGAAAAAGACAGCAAGTCATTAGTCAACCTTTGAATGCCATTATGCTATTAAAAACGTTTTTAATACTTTTCAAATTATAAAATAGCTATTTTTAAAAATCTGGAAAATACAGAATGCAAAAATAATCATAATCCCATTACCATTGTTAGATAAGAATGTATATTCTGCCTTTTTCTTTATGCATGCATACATAGTATATATTTAAGCAGAATTATACCATATGCACATTTGTATCCTGTTTTTTTTAAATTTAATATTACATTGTGAGTCTTTTCCCATATTCTTAAATATTATTCATCAACATAATTGTGTAATGGCTGCAAGGTGAATTAAGTTCTTTTAACAGAGATTTTACTATTTTTACCTCAGGTCTAAGATTCTAAATAACCTAAAAGGCTAGTTAGAATACATCTACTATCATTTCAATTCTTTCTGTCATTTTTCCAGAAGGGTGCAGTTAGGTTAATATATACACCTATTAACTATAAAAGATTAAGTTCATGTTTTGTTTTTTTTTGGAGATGGAGTCTCACTCTTGTCGCCCCAGATGGAGTGCAATGGCACGATCTCGGCTCACTGCAACCTCCGCCTCCCGGGTTCAAGAGATTCTCCTGCCTCAGCCTCCCGAGTAGCTGGGATTACAGGTGCCTGCCACCACGCCCAGCTAATTTTTATATTTTTAGTAGAGACGGGGTTTCACCATATTGGTCAGACTGGTCTCCAACTCCTGACCCCAGGTGACCCGCCCACCTCAGCCTCCCAAAGCGCTAGGATTACAGGCATTGAGTCACTGCACCCGGCCTCATGTTATATATATATACACACACATACATATACATAAATCCACTGTAGTGTCTAATCTTATACATGGAGTTATTTCCCTCTTAATCATGCTAAGTAACACAGATTGCTAATTTGAATCAAAGGGATTTAAACAGTGGATCCTCTACAGAAAACAGATAGGTTTATAAGATTCAATATTCATAGGAAATCATTTTTGAAAAAGTGTGTCCTTCTATTTCTTGGAGATTCAGAAATCAAAGACTATTTCCTACTGAAACAGCAAAAACTAGCCCCATGCTAGTTTCAACTGAGTTGGCCCAATTGGAGCAAATCTTACTGTGACTTGGAGCCATAAACCCACACAAGTACTGAGTCAGGCCAGGAGCAGTGGCTCACGCCTGTAATCCCAGCACTTTGGGAGGCTGAGACAGGCGGATCACGAGGTCAGGAGATCGAGACCATCCTGGCTAACAAGGTGAAACCCCATCTCTACTAAAAATACAAAAAAATTAGCCGGGCGTGGTGGCGGGTGCCTGTAGTCCCAGCTACTTGGGAGGCTGAGGCGGGAGAATGGCATAAACCCAGGAGGTGGAGCTTGCAGTGAGCTGAGATTGCGCCACTGCACTCCAGCCTGGGCGACAGAGGGAGACTCCGTCTCAAAAAGAAAAGAAAAAAAAAAAAAGTACTGCTTCATGTCACTGAGGAAGAAGAGGAAGAACACCAGTGAATGAAGAGAGTCCGAGGCAGGGGTGGGACAACCATGAAGGATGAGGTCTTGGAGAGTAAGGCCACCTCTAGAACAAGGCTTTTTAGAACAGGGAAAAGGCTATTAAAAAATAAAAATTCCCAGCCAGGTGCAGAGGCTCACACCTGTAATCCCAGCACTTTGGGAGGCCGAGGCGGGTGGATCACAAGGTCAGAAGATCGAGACCATCCTGGCTAACACGGTGAAACCCCGTCTCTACTAAAAATACAAAAAATTAGCTGGGCGTGGTGGCACGCGCCTATAGTCCCAGCTACTCAAGAGGCTGAGGCAGGAGAATCGCTTGAACCCAGGAGGTGCAGGTTGCAGTGAGCCGAGACCACGCCACTGCATTCCAGCCTGGGCGACAAGAGCAAGACTCCGTCTCAAACATAAATAAATAAATAAAAATAAATAAAAATTCCCAAGGCTTGTAAATCTGATATACCCACTAAAGTACAAAGTCAACTCTTAGAAAAAACTGGGGCTATGGATACTAAGAGGAGAGACTAATGGCCCCAACTCTATCCATCTCTCTTTTCTCTGTACTGGAATCTGTAGTTGTGCAACTAAGCCTATGTTGCTTAATCCTCTACCAAGTCTTTTCTGCGTTGTTGCTACACAAATGACCTACTAGGAGACTTCCAAATTAAAGTGAGCTGTATCCATACAATGAAATACTCTATGGTCATAACGTCGCACTGCAGAAGTCCACGGAAAAATGCAATATATTACATTAAAAAAAGCAGAAGGCCAGGCACGGTGGCTCACGCCTGTAATCCCAGCACTTTGGGAGGCTGAGGCAGGTGGATCACAAGTTCAAGAGATCAAGACCATTGTGGCCAACATGGTGGAACCCCATCTCTACTAAAAATACAAGTATTAGCTGGGTGTGGTGGCACGCCCCTGTAGTCCCAGCTACTTGGGAGGCTGAGGCAGGAGAATCGCTCAAGCCCGGGAGGTGGAGGTTGCAGTGAGCCGAGATCGCACTACTGTACTCCGGCCTGGTGACAAAGCGAGACTCCATCTCCCAAAAAAAAAAAAAAAAAAAAAAAAGGCAGCAAACTCAGTATTTCATAGTAGGAATACAGGTGATTATCTCTTTTTTATTTTTCTGTATTTACCAAATATTCTAAACTAATCATGAATTGCCTTTATAATCCTAATTTCTTTTTTTTTTTCTTTTGGAGATGGAGTCTCGCTCTGTGGCCCAGGCTGGAGTGCAGTGGCACGATCTCAGCTCACTGCAAGCTCCGCCTCCCGGGTTCACGCCATTCTCCTGCCTCAGCCTCCCAAGTAGCTGGGACTACCTGGGACTATAGGCGCCCGCCACCATGCCTGGCTAATTTTGTTTTTGTATTTTTAGTAGAGACAGGGTTTCACTGTGTTTGCCAGGATGGTCTTGATCTCCTGACCTTGTGATCGACCCGTCTCGGCCTCCCAAAGTGCTGGGATTACAGGCATGAGCCACCGCGCCCGGCCAATCCTAATTTCTTTTAATTTGCCTAATGCTGAGTTTTAAACTCAATCTCCATTTGTTACCTGACAAGCTAGTCTCAGTTCAGATTAGACTCTTTTAAATGCTATCACAAATAAGACTAGTGTTAGTGAACAATATCTCCTTACAATTAACTTTTTCCAATTAGATGTCCTGTCTCCTCAACTAAGGCACGAATGAAAACATGAGTATATTCTTGGTGTGAATCTAAGTCAGCAAGAGATATGGGCCATGATTCAATACCCTTCAGGCCTCAGGTGCCCCAAACAAGGGGACTAAAGCAAACTAGTACTCCCCAGAATACAACTGGTAGCATGTGAGATAATTCTAGGATGTACATCAAGGAACATTTTCATTTTAACAGTACATTGTAAACTAATCACTAAAATCTTAATTCATGTAAAAAAGAAGAAAAATTCAGATATAAGAAATCCTTTTCCTGTTTCAAGAAACAGGAAGTTTGTGGCCATTCTACATACATTTAGTGAAGAAACTATATGGTCTATACTGCTGGCTCATCAGGTGACTGGGAGAAGAAATACAGCATTGTGTCTGCAGTGCACGGCTCAAGCTGGCGTAGGGATGGGTGTCTCTGGTTCCCAGTGATGACAAATGGCCTGTAGGCAGATGGGTTAAACTTTGAGTTAGATGTTTCACAGCTGTGGAAAAACACTGCTAGCATCAAATAATCATTACTAACAAAAATAAGTCACTAAAATCCTGAACTTTTAAGAATCAGATTTTTAGGAGTCTTTCTTTTAAAAATAAAACTTTTGATCAATAACAACCTAAATGCCCAGCCTAGTTGGGAAAGTTATAGTTCATCCGCACAACGGGGGCAGCTGGGTAAAGAAAGAAGCAGATTTGTCCATACCGCAGTTTCAGCACTGCATTCGCTAACCTAGGTCAGCAGTCTACTCTGGGCAATTGGCGCCCTCTGCTGTAAACAGCCAGCAACGTATTGCTGTGGAAAGACCTGCAACTGGCCAGGTCAGAAGAGCAAGGTGCAGGAGAGCATGTACACTATCCTACTCTTCATGTTAAAAAACAAGGAGTGGGTGTGAATGCATTTTATAGACTAACCCAGAAGTATGTAAGAACCTGGAAACAACGGTTGCCTCTGGGAGATGAGTTACTCAACTGCACAGAGGAAGACAGATGACACACTGAGTTCCCTCTTAGCTCACTTAATGAATTAGTCAATAAAAAAGTAGACAGGAAATACGGGCTTTTCATTTTTAAACTCAGGACTTCATCATTCTAAATTCCATCATGCAGCATACACTTTAGCTTTAGCTTTTCTTGTATGCTCCTTAATTTTCTTTTTTTTTTTTTTTGAGACGGAGTTCTGCTCTTGTCACCCAAGCTGGATTGCAGTGGCGCGATGTCAGCTCACTGCAACCTCCACCTCCCAGGTTCAGCGATTCTCCTGCCTCAGCCTCCCAAGTAGCTGGGATTACAGGCATGCGCCACCACACCCAGCTAATTTTTGTATTTTTAGTAGAGACAGGGTTTCACCATGGTGGCCAGGCTGGTCTTGAACTCCTGACCTCGTGATCCACCCGCCTCGGCCTCCCAAAGTGCTGGGATTACAGCTATGAGCCATCGCGCCTGGCCAGCTCTTTAATTTTCAATAAAATATCTTATTTAATATTAACATAAGTAACTTAATACTAAATATTAAATATTTAATTATTAACTTAATATTAAATAAGATATTTAATCTTGTACTGTTTAGCACTGCAATCTCTGATATACTTTAAAAAGTGTAAAATCATTACTAATAAATTTAGAATTAACTTTTTTTGAAAGCCTGAAATACTTCTCCTATCTAATAATGTACCTTAAAAGGTCCAACTGTCAAAAGCAGAAAGAAATTGACTTTAGATTTGAGAAACAGTCACTTAAAATACACTGTTACAACCAACTTTGTTTAAAACGTGTTATAATTTTTATAACAGGAGATGGCATCAGCTTATGCTAAATTACTCAGTTACAGATTATCAATGATCAATTACCAGTTTTGGTTTTGTTCTTATTCTCTGAATTATTATTAATTTCAGACCATGAAGTCCCCATCTCAGTTAACAATTGCCCTGGAATCCAAAATGGGCCAAGCCCAAAAAGCACCCTCGTGTGGCTCAAGTCAAAGACATGCAGAGTCCTTTGGGAGGCCAAGGCGGGTGGCTCACTTGAGGTCAGGAGTTTGAGGCCAGCCTGGCCAACGTGGTGAAACCCCGTCTCTACTAAAAATACAAAAATTAGCTGGGTGTGGTGGCACATGCCTGTAATGCCTATAATCCGAGCACTTTGGGAGGCCGATGAGGGCGGATCACTTGAGGTCAGGAGTTCAAGACCAGCCTAGCCAACATAGTGAAACCCCGTCTCTACTAAAAATACAAAAATTAGCTGGGTGTAGTGGCACATGCCTGTAGTCCCAGCTACTCGAGAGGCTGAGGCAGGAGAATCGCTTGAACCCAGGAGGCGGAGGCTGCAGTGAGCCAAGATCAAGCTATTGCTCTCCAGCCTGGGCAACAGAGCAAGACTCCATCTCAAAAAGAAAAAAAAAAAAAAAGAAACACAGTCTGACCTCAAGGAGGGTTTTGTTTCAGCATTTATGGTTTTCACCATGATGAACTTCTTCCTCCTAATTTAAATCTCCTCTATTAAATCAAACCAGCTGATCAGTGATGTGTTTGAGAGATTTTAGAAAACTATTGCTATTTGTCTGACCAATCTATTGCAGCATTTAGAAAAATACTGTAACAGGTACTAAGGAAACTGTTGTAGGAAAAAGAAAATGTAATGATAGAATTCTACCTAACTCAGCTGTAAATATACACACAAACTTAATAATAAAAACACTGACCAGAGATTCATCAAAATTGTGCTTCTTACTATGTTGGAGAAGACAGGGACAATGAAGAGTTAAATTTTCAATTAACATAACAATTGATAAATTGAAAATTTAACTCTTCATTGTCCCTGCTCTAAGCCTAATACACAGAAACTACCCCGTAATTGTTATTTAGTTACTATTTCATAAAGCCTTGAACTATAACAATTGCAATCATAAGAAATCTGAAAATACTCTTCAGAACCTATGTAATCGCATCATAAAGAATGTGATTATTGCAGTAAGACTAACCAGGCTAAAAAATGAAAAAAGAAAAGAGAGAAAAGAAAAAAGCAGGTGATTACTTATATTTTTTAAAACTACAGAAACTACTTTGACATTAGATCTTATGAGAAAAGGTAGTAGCATTAATGAATCTCACCATTGCCGAGAACACTCTTCCATGCCAAAATGGAAGCTGCTGGTAAGGTGTTTAGGGAACACTGCCTCCCCAATAAATGACCTGCAAATTGGAAAAAAAAAAATTTAAGATACATTTCTACATTAAAGGAACATTTTAAACAGTAACACCCACAAAATATATCTATAGAATAAAGAACCAAGACGAGGGAGTAAGTAATTTCTGGGCTCCAGGACAACTTGTCAAGTAGCTGACACCATACCTCATCTTCTCCCTTCACCCTCACATCCAACCAGTTACCAAGCCCTTCAGTCTCCTCAAAAATCAATGCACCTGCCAGCTGTACCTTTTCCTGTGGCCTCAATGCCCCTTCTTTGCTCAAGCCTCATCACCACTCAGCCACAGAGTAACAAGTTTCCTAGCAGGTTTCCCAATTTCAATCTCTCCCCCTCTGCTTCATGGCTTTTCTAAAATAACAGGTCTGGTCACTTCACAGCTCTGATAGATTATTCTCTGACTCCCTACTATCTTCAGAACAAAGTCAAAACTCCTCAGCATGGCCTACAGGCCTGCCACATGGCCCCAAGCTTCCACACCAGCCTGCTGCCCCACCTTTCTCTCCTCCATCTTCCCTCTGGCCATGCCAGACTTGTAGTCAGTCTTGAACCTACTGTGCTCTCGCATACTTCTGTGTCTCTGCAAGGTTCTCTGTTTGTCTGAAACATCACCTCTTAGTGAAGCCTCCCTGATCCTACAATGTTCCCCCTTCCCTCTGGAATCCCTGCAGCACCACGCTGACTGTACTGTGTACCCTCTCACACAGTGTGGTACTCCAGAACAGGCTCTGACACAGCATTTATGGGCAAGTGATTTTTGACAAGGGTGTTGAGACCATTCAATGAGGAAAGAATCATGTTTTCAACAAGTGGTGCTGGGACAACTGGATATCAACATGTAAAAGAATGAAGTTGGCACCCTACCTCACACCATATATAAAAATTAATTCAAAATGCACCAAAGACTTATAGGTAAGAGCTAAAACGATGAAACTTAGAAGAAAACATAGGGATAAATCATCATGACCTTGGATTTTGCAATGGCTTCTTAGATGAGACACCAAAAGCACAGCAACAAAAAGAAAAAAAATAGACAAATGAGACTTCATCAAAATTTAAAACTTGTGGCTTCAAAAATACTATCAAGAAAGTGAAAAGACACACAGAATGGGACAACAATTTTGCAAATCATATATATGATATAAGGGTCTTGTACCTAAAAAACATAAAGAACACCTACAATTCAACAATAAAGACAACCCAATATAAAAGTGGGCAACATATTTGAATAGCTATTTCACAAAAACAAAAACAAAAACAAAAGAAAACATATACAAATGGCCATTAGCACATGATAATATGCTTCTTATTCATGAGGGAAATGCAAATCAAAACCACAAACTGATACCACTTCACATCCACTGGGCTGGCCAGGTAAGGAGGCTCATGCCTGTAATCTCAGCACTTTGGGAGACTAAGGCGGGAGGACTGCTTGAGCCCAGGAGTTCAAAACCAGCCTGGTCAACATTGCGAGACCCTGTCTCTACAAATTTTTTTCTTTAATTAGCCAGGCATGATGGAACACATCTGTAGTTCCAACTACACAGGAGGCTGAAGTGGGAGGGTCACCCGAGCCCAGAAGGTTGAGGCTGCAGTGAGCTGCAACTGTGCCACTGCACTTCTACCTGGGCAATGGGACAAGACCCTGTCTCGAAAAAAAAAAAAAAACCCACATCCACTAAGATGGCTATAGTAAAAAAGACAGACATTAAGTGCTGGCAAGGAAGTAGAGAAATTGGAAGCCTCATATACTGCTGGTGGGAATGTAAAATGGTGCAGCTTTGGAAAACAGTTTGGCAGTTCCTTGACACCTAAACATACATGTCACATGTATGGCTCACACCTATAATCCCAGCACTTTGGGAGGCCAAGGCGGGAGGATTGCCTGCACCCAGGAGTTAGAGACCAGCCTCGGCAACATAGTGAGACCCACTCTACAAAAAATAAAGAAAAACTAGCCGGGCATGGTGGCATGCACCTGTAATCCCAACCACTCAGGTGGCTGAGGTGGGAGGATGGATTAAGCCCAGGAGATGGAGGCTGCAGTGAGCCGTGATCGTGCCAATGCACTCCAGCCAGGGCGACAGAAGGGGGTTAAAGAAGAAACAGTAAACACAGTTTCCATATGACCTAGCAATTACAATCCTAAGTATATACCCAACAGAAATAAAAATATACTTACAAAAACATTGCACACAAATGTTTCTAGCAAAATAGGCCTAAGAGCCAAAAGGTGGAAACAACCCAAATGTTCAACTGATGAGCAGAAAAACAAAATGTGGTATTCATACAATATCATTCAGCCATAAAGGATGAAGTGCTGGTACATGCTACAAGGATGAACCTTTACAACATTATGCTAAATGAAAGAAGCCAATCACAAAAGACTACATATTACATGATTCTACTTATATGTAATGTCCAGAACAGGCAAGCTACAGAGAGAGAGAAGGAAAGTACATCAGTGGTTGTGCTGGAGGCCAATGGGAAGCTGGGAAGTGACAGCTAAAAGGTACAGGTTTTCTTTTTACAGTGATTATAATGTTGGCTGCATTGCTCTGGTGATATACTAAAAACCACTGAAATGTACACTTTAAACGGATTAATTGTATGGTATGTGAATTATGTCTCAACAAGGAAGCCGTTACCAAAAACAAAAAACAGGCTTCGGAGCCAGGTGATATGGGTGCAAAAACCTTATTGTCCACCTAGCCTAACCTTAAGCAAGTTTCTGAAGCTGTGTGCCTTAACTCCCTCATCTGTAAAATGGGAACAGCAGTATATACCTCATGAAGGCATTTCGAAGATAAGGTGAGGAAAATGAAGGAAAGCTACAACAGCTAGGAGCCATTTGAACAGGACCTTGAAAAAGCAGGAGACGGCCGGGCGTGGTGGCTCACACCTGTACTCCCAGCACTTCGAGGCTGAGGCGGGTGGATCACGAGGTCAGGAGTTCGAGACCAGTACGACCAACATGGTGAAACCCCGTCTCTACTAAAAATACAAAAATTAGCCAGGCATGGTGGCAGACGCCTGTAATCCCAGCTACTCAGGAGGCTGAGGCAGGAGAATCGCTTGAACCCGGGAGGCGGAGGTTGCAGTGAGCCGAGATCGCACCATTGCACTCCAGCCGGGGCGACAGAGTAAGACTGTCTCAAAAAAACAAAAACAAAAACAAAAAAACAAAGGAGGAGACGGAGACAACACGGACAAAACAATGTTCAAGTCAGATTTTCTGCCAAATGACTTCAGGTCAAAGATTGCAGCTAAATGAGTTTTAAAATACACATATTCGGGCTCTAGGGCTCTTCAGATTTCGAAACTACAAACGGTGGATTGTGGACTTCCAGTAAAATTGAGCAAACAGAAAATGCAAAGTCAATCACGGAGCGTCTCCTAGAGATAAACGTTATGCTGGACGACAAACCCACGTCAACATCAAATGAACCCGGGGGTCGCACGCGCCCCAAAGGCGATGCTTGCCAGTTTCCGCTCCTCTTCGCCAAGCACGCTCAAGCGGTTTCGTGAACTGGGAAGAACCCTGAAGAACGACGTCCAGTTCCCCCTCATTTTACAGACAAGAGCTCCGCGACCCAGAGAGGGAGAGGACGCGCGCAAGGTCACACAGCGGCTCCGGCGGAAGGTGGGGGCACGGCGTGAAGAGCCGGGGGCCGCGGCTTCTCGCTTCCCTCCGCCCCGACTTCTGCAGGCCCCAGGCGAGCCCCCCACTCCCGGCCCGCTCAGAGCCCCTGCTCCCGGCGTCCCAGCTCTCACCTGCCGTCCCGCTACACAGCACGGGGAGGCAGCCCACAGCGCGCACCGCGGTCGCCATGCTGGAGTCCGAGCCGCGCCTCGGCCTCCGCCCAGGGCAGCCTTGCCCACCGCCTACCGCGACTGCTCCTCGTCAAACGGCAAGCCTTGGGCCGCAGCGGAATTCCTGAGGCCCGAGTCCACGCAGCAGCGCAGGCCGGGGTGAGGGACTGTCCGGACGGGCCACACTGCAGGCGGAGCCCGGCGCGACCGCGGACAGCCCCGCGGGCGCCTCCCGTTAGGACCCGAGGGCGGGGCTTGGACTGGCGGCCGGGCGTGGGCGGGGCTAGCTGGCTCCTGCAGCGCCGGAGAGAGGGCAGGACCGGCCGGGTGGATTTGGCTGCTCGTGCAGGAGCTCTGAAGGGGTCCGCTGGCGGGGGACCCTCGGACTTACCCGAGCTGGCACTGCGGACCCCTGCGAGGTTCATAGAAGCACGGAAGGGGGCCAAGTGCAATGAGGATCCAAGGGATGAATAAGCGAGGAATGTAGAGAAAGTGTTCATCCCCAACTCCAGTAAAGCTCTGAGTTTCATTAGATTAAGCACTTAAATGACCTGCATTTCACATACACTTGTGGATTCATACTGATTCTAACGTTTGGTCACACATGCATATCTCAGCCCTGGGCCATGGTTTTTTTATTGCCTCCATACCATCTACGCCTACTCAAGTGACCCACACACCTGCAACACAGAAGGGCACAATGTCTTGTAAGAGGGTAGCCTGCTCAGATACAATGTCTTGTAAGAGGGTAGTCTGGTTTTCGAGTCTAGCATAAAAATTTTCAAACATACCGAAGAGTAAAAATACTGACAAGCTAGACTTAACGATTATCAAGAGGAACACAGTTGTTTCATCTATTATTTTCCCATTTTCTTTGCTGAAATAGACAACTTATTTCACTCCAGGTTATTTTGATGTACACCATTTTCAACAGGCCTTTTATATATTGAGTTGGCGAAATTAAGAGAAAAGAGATTGATTACACCTATGTGTAAAGCCAACTGCTTCAGCATAATTGGGAACATGGTAAGACCAGCTAATTCCATGAGCAAGGACCTACTGCCACACTTCATTTGCTGTGGAGTGAGTTCCTAAGTCAGAGGCAACAGTGTGTGAAATAATTAAACCCAAGGATAGTTGTTTTGGCAGATGCATTGTGGGCAGGAACAGCAAATCCATATCCAAAGTGTCTATTCTAGTGAGAACAATTGCTGCCCCTTCCATGGTCCAACCTACAACCAGATAGCTGGCTGAGCCCCCAGGAGTGTTGCCATATCAGGAGCTGTAGCCAGATTGTCCCTGGCGAGTGAAAGTCCACGTTGACCCCATGTGTAACCTCCATCCCTAGCCCTTTATTCATGAGTCCATTTGGCTAAGTAAAGAGGCTGACTGACATCCACTAAATGGGTTATTCTATCCACCTCATTAAAATCCTCTGTGGAGGTCGCCCTTTGATAAGCACTCATGTGGGAAATAATTATCTTCACATTCTGGGCTGAAGTCCATCCACATACCTGTTTCCTAGACCTCTTTGTCACCAACTTCCTAATTATGTTCCTCTCAAGTACTGACCATCCAGCCAAGTCATTAGCCACTGCTCATGAAAAAGTATAGATCTATACTTCTAACCAGGCAAAATGAACAACCAGGCACATTACTCTTATCTTCTTCCCACTGGGAGGATTTCCCTTCACCGCCGTCCTTCAGAAGCATCCCAGAGTGGGATTGCAGTACTGCAGCTGTCCACTTTCAGGTGATACCAACAGATCATGCAGAACCATGAGTAAACCAAGCCCAAGAGTTTTCTTCTTCAGGCAACTGGTCACAGGTAATTCCTCATGAAGCTGTGGGTAGGGGTTGAGAGAGAGAAGATCATGTAGCTTGCATGTTCAGGTCCTGCTCCAGTTCAGTTTCATATGTACCACTTCCATTCGATGATGGAGTGTTGCTGTGCACACACAACTTTATGGCTTGGTGATCATACAACAGCCAGTTCATGATGAGCAGCTTAAACTGCATGGTAAGTTGCTGGTCAATGGTCAAGCCTCCAGACTCTGTTAAGGCCCAAAGCAAGTTTTGATTACTTAGTCGTTTGTTTCTAACTTTTAAATTTGAAATAATTACAGATTCAAAGATACAGATAGGAAGTTGCAAAAATAGTACAGAGAGGTCCCATGTATCCTTTACTCAGTTTCCCCAAATGGTACATCTTACATAACTATAGTACAACATCAAAACCAGGAAGCTGACATCGGTACAATCCATAGATTTTATGAGTTTTACATACACTCATTTGTGTATGTGTGTGTAGTTCTATGCAGTTGTGTCACATGTAGATTTCTGTATCCAGCACCACAATCGAGATACAGAACTGTTCTATCTCCAAGATCACCTGTGCATCTCCCTTCGAGTCAAACCCACCCCCTCTTTTATCCTCTCCTCCACCATCTTTAACCTTTGGCAACCACTAATCTGTTTCTCATCTCTATAATTTTATCATTTTAAGAACATTATATAAATGGAATCAGATAATACATGATCTCATGACTGGCTTTTTTTCACTCAGCATAATACCCTTGACGTCTATCCAAGTAGTTCCATGTACCAATAGTTTCTTCCTTTACATTGCTGAGTAGTATTCCATGGCACTAACATTTGTTTAACCATTCACCCATTGTAGGACATTTAGTTTGTCTCATATTATTATTTTTATTTTTATTTTCCTTTTCCTTTTCTTTTTTTCCTTAAGACAGAGTCTCGCTCTGTCACCCAGGCTGGAGTGCAGTGGCATAGTCTCAGCTCACTGCAACCTCCGTCTCCTGGGTTCAGGCGATTCTCGTGCCTCAGTCTCCTGATTAGCTGGGATTACAGGCGTGTCCCATTACACTCAGCTAATTTTTTGTATTTTTAGTAGAGACGGGGTTCCACCATGTTGGCCAGGCTGGTCTCAAACTCCTGGCCTTTAAGCAATCCACCCACCTCAGCCTCCCAAAATGCTGGGATTACAGGCGTGAGCCACTGCACCCAGGCTGTCTTCAGTTATTAACTATTTCAAACAAAGCTGCCATCAACATTCATGTATGTGATTTTTTGATATTTAGAAATTTTATTTTATTTTTATTTTTTTGAGACAGAGTCTCACTCTGTCGCCCAGGCTGGAGTGCAATAGCGCGATCTCGGCTCACTGCAAACTCCCCCTCCCAGGTTCAAGCGATTCTCCTGCCTCACCCTCCTGAGTAGCTAGGTAGAGGCCTGTGCCACCATGCCCAGCTAATTTTTGTATTTTTGTAGAGACAGCATTTCACCATGTTGCCCAGGCTGGTCTCAAACTCCTGACCTCAAGCGATCCGCCCACCTCAGACTCCCAAAGTGCTGGGATTACAGGCATGAGCCACTGTGCCCAGCCAGAAATTTTAAAATTGTGGTAAAATACACATAACATAAAAATTGCCATCCTTTTTTTTTTTTTTTTTTGAGACGGAGTCTCGCGTCGCGTCTCGCTCTGTCGCCCAGGCTGGAGTATAGTGGCATGATCTCAGCTCACTGCAACCTCCGCCTCCTGGGTTCAAGCGATTCTCCTGCCTCAGCCTCCTGAGTAGCTGGGACTACAGGCGCCCACCACCATGCCCAGCTAATTTTTGTATTTTTAGTAGAGACAGGTTTCACCATGTTAGCCAGGATGGTCTCGATCTCTTGACCTTGTGATTCACCCACCTTGGCCTCCCAAAGTGCTGGGATTATAGGCGTGAGCCACCACACCTGGACCATCTTAATCATTTTTAAGTGTACAATTCAGTGGCATTAAGTACATTCACGTTGTTGTGCTACCATCACCACCATCTATCCACAGAAGTCTTTTATCTTTCAAAACTGAAACTGCAGCCATTAAACAATAACTCCCCATTCCCCTCTCCCTTCATGTAAGTGCAGTTATATAGTATTGTCCTTTTGTGACTGGCTTATTTCACTTAGCATGTTGTTCTCAAGGTTCATCCAGGTATAGCGTGTGCCAGAATGTCCTTACTTTTAATATTATGAATAATATTCCATTGTATGAATAGATCATATTTTATTATCCATTCATCTGTCAATGGACACTTGGGTTGCTTTCACCTTTTGGCTATTGTGAATAATGCTGCTGTGAACATGAGTGTGCAGATAATCTCTTCAAATCTCTGCTTTCAATTATTTTGAAATATATCCATCATGTACATGATTTTGTGTGGCTATAAGTTTTAATTTGGGGGGATAAATGTCAAGCTGTGAGATTATTAGATTGTGTGGTAAGTATATGTTTAGTTTTTAAAGAAACTGCCAGCCGGGCATGGTGGCTCACGCCTGTAATCCCAGCACTTTGGGAGGCCAAGGTGGGTGGATCATCTGAGGTCAGGAGTTAGAAACCAGCCTGGCTAACATGGTGAAACCCCATCTCTACTAAAAATACAAAAATTAGCCAGGTGTAGTGGCGCACACTTGTAATCCCAGCTACTCAGGAGGCTGAGGCAGGAGAATCACCTGAACCCAGGAGGTAGAGGTTTCAGTGAGCCGAGATTGAGCCATTGCACTCCAGCCTGGGCAACAAGAGTGAAACTCCATCTCAAAAAAAAAAAAAAAAAAAAAAAAGAAAGAAAGAAAGAAAGGAAGAAAAAAAGAAAGAAACTGCCAAACTACTTTCCAAAGTGGCCATTCCATTTTATATTCCTGCCAGCAATATGTGAAAGATCTAGTTTCTCTGTATCCTCACTAACATTCAGTGTTATCCCCATTTTTTTTAGCTGCTCTCATAGGTATGGTGACATATCATCATGGTTTTAATTTACATTTCCCTAATAGCTAATGATGTTGAATTTCTTTTCATGTGCTTCTAGAATTGCCATCTGTATACCCTCTTGAGTAAAATGTCTTTTGCTCATTTTCTAGTTGGATTGTTTGGTTTCTTTCACTGCTGTGTTTTGAGAATTCTTTGTATATTCTACATGTGAGCCCATTTTCTTTTTTTTTCTTTTCTTTTTTCTTGGAAACAGGATCTTGCTGTATCGCCCAGGCTGAGTGTACTGGCACTATCATAACTCAATGCAGCCTCACACTCCTGGCCTCAAGCAATCCTCCTGCCTTGGCCTCCCATAGCTACAGGAATAACCACGGGATGGGTTCTGGGACCTATTGCGCCCACCGTGAGACAGACCTGACCTAAAACTCCACCAATCACCTGATCTCTTTATGCCTCTGCTCTGACAGGTCACTGTGACATTTCGGGTCTCCAGGAATTGGTGTCAGCTCAGAGGCAGTGTTGAGTAATCCTTAAAACATCTGGATATTTCTCTGTCCTTGATGCATAGTCACCCTGGTAAATGGCTACAAGTACCTTTGGGGAAGGCTGAAAGGAAGATTAGCTGTACGTTTTTGGTAGTGTACCAATGCCTTTCCTGAGAGGGGACCCAGCCTGCCCTTCACTCGAGGGACTCTGGATCTGTGAATTCACTCAAGTCTGGGAATTGATTGAGGAGACATGACTCCCTCTTTTGGTGATTCAAGTCAGACTTCTGTTCACTAGGCCTAGATCTTTTCTGCCTATACAAATCCAGTAAGACTTCAGTAGGTTCTCCATCTCTTTTATTTCCAGAAACACCAAAGGTCAACACCAAAGGTCCTAGTGAGCCTGGCCATTCTGATGATTGTGTTTGTTCTACTGTCTATATGGTAACCATACCCAACTTCTGTTCAGTGATTAAGTGCCACCACATAGTGCCTGTCACCTCACTATCTTCATTGTGTTTAGTGTTTTTTGGTTGTTTTGTTTTTGTTTTTGTTTTTTTGTTTTTGTTTTTGTTTTTTTGTTTTTTGTGTTTTGTGTTGTTTTTTGAGACAGAGATTTGCTCTTATTGCCCAGGCTGTAGTGCAGTGGCATGATCGCAGCTCACTGCAGCCTCCGCCTTAGTGGTTCTCCTGCCTTAGCCTCACAAGTAGCTGGGATTACAGGTGCCTGCCACCACGCCCGGCTAATTTTTATATTTTTAGTAGAGACAGGATTTTAGCCTGTTGGCCAGGCTGGCCTTGAACTCCTGAACTCAGGTAAGCCACCTGCCTCGGCCTCCCAAAGTGCTGGGATCACAGGCGTGAGACACCGCACCCGGCCTAGTGTTTTAGTTTGATGGTAGCTGTTCCCTCTATATTTTTGACCTAAAGAGCCATGGCCACATGCAGTGGCTCACACCTGTAATCCCAACACTTTGGGAAGCTGAAGTGGAAGGATCACTTGAGTCTGGGAGTTCAAGACCAGCCCTGGACAACACAGTGAGACCCCACCTCTACAAAAAGTTTTTAAAATAAAAAATTAGGGCTGGGCGTGATGGCTCACGCCTGTAATCCCAGCACTTGGGGAGGCCGAGATGGGCGGATTGCCTGAGGTCAGCAGTTCAAGACCAGCCTGGCCAACACAGTGAAACCTCATCTCTACTAAAAATATAAAAAGCCAGGCATGGTGGCAGGTGCCTGTAATCCCAGCTACTCAGGAGGCTGAGGCAGGAGAATCACTTGAACCTGGGAGGTGAAGGTTGCAGTGAGCTGAGATCCCACCGTTGCACTCCAGCCTGGGCGACACGAGCAAGGCTTCGTCTCAAAAAAAAAAAAAAAAAACAGCTGGGCATGGTGGTGTGTCCCTGTAATCCCAGCTACTTGAGAGCTGAGGCAGGAGAATTGCTTGAACCCAGGAGGCGGAGGTTGCAGTGAGCCAAGATCGAACCACTGCACTCCAGCCTGGGCGACAGAGTGAGACTCCGTCTCAAGAAAAAGAAGAAAGAAGAAGGAAGAGGATGAGGAGGAGGAGGAGGGAGAAGAAGAAAGAAAAAGGAGGAGGAGGGAGAAGAAGAAAGAAAAAGGAGGAGGAGGAATAAGGAAGAAGAAGTAAGAAGGAGGAAGAGGAGGAGGAGGAAGAAGGAGAAAGAAGGAGGAGGGAGGAGTAGGAGAAGGAAGAAGAAGGAGGAGAAGAAGAGGGAGAAAGAGAAGGAGGAGGAAGAGGAGGAGGAGGAGGAGAAGGAAAGGTGGAAAAAGAGAGCCATCACAGACAGCATCAAGGACACTGAAGCTCATCTCACAACTTATTTCTCACAACTGTAGTGAAAGAAGGATCCTCCGACCCTCTCAAGGTGGGTGAGCAGTTCTCATAAGATAAATCCACTCTATCATTCTAATCTCCCCAAGCCTTTGGATCGCTTCTTCTGTAGTATACCAAGGAAATTCTGGTATTTCAGTTTCCTCTGGTATAGGCCACTCTGGGCCTACACTTCCGTCAGTCTACGAAGAAAACTGTTGGTGACATTTTTAGCCTCTTTAGCCAAAACACTGACTCTGAAAGTTTTGCTTAGGGAGGAGTTTCACTTCCAGGGTGGCATGGTGAGGAGTTATGCAGACCCACTCCTCAGTGAAATAAGCATAATTGGTGAAAACTATTAAGAAGCTTTTTAATCTCTGGAAATTGTCCTAAGGACGTGCAGCAAATGAAGAAACATTTATTCAGGAAGAGCTACTAAAACTCAATAAGAACAAAAGAGTCCATGGCACTTGAGCTACAGTCCACTCCAACCCTCAGCACCCTCCTTCCCAGCTCAGCTTGATGAAGGCTCCATTCTCGACAGGTGTGATGAAGAAGACAGGGCTCACCTCAGCTCCCAATCAAGGGATGTGGTGTCTCGCTGGGAAAGGCAGACCACAAGATTCTTCATCTCCTCCAACTCCTAGTTGAAGAGGCTAAATTCCTACTATGTGTGGCTGAGAGATCAGAGGCTTCCTTCCTCCAAACTGCCCCCACTTACAGGATAAGCCTGGATCACTGGTGCACCAGGATGAGGAGATAGGGGCTCCCGTTGCCCTCATCTCAGTTCATTCATTGGACAGGGATTCCACACCAGGAGAATCAAGCCAAGAAGATCTGAGGCTACCACCCCCACCCATTGCCTGGGAGTAGTGGCTCAGAGATGTTGCCCAGTAGGAGAGAGAGTCCACAAGACCAGAGAGCTCCAAAGCTACCCCTCAAGGAACTGACTTTATTTAAAACAGAGTTTGGGGAAGTTCAAACCTAAGGGAACTCTTAAGAACAGTGATTTTGTTGGTCAGCAAGTAGGAGTCTGGTAACACCACTTAATTAAGCACAGCCAGCTAGGTCAGCCAGAAAGAGACACCTAAGAGGCCTCCAGGGGTCTCTTATTTATTTATTTATAATCAAGAATATGTGGTTTTGGAGGAGGATATCGGGGGACCTGCCCCGATAATCACGTAGGTTCTTTTCTATTTTCCTAAGCGTCGACTGGCTTGAGAAATAAAAGGGCAGAGTACAAAAGAGAAATTTTTAAGCTGGGTGTCCAGGGGAGACATCACACATTGGTAGGAGCCGTGATGCCCCACAAGCCACAAAAACCAGCAAGTTTTTATTAGGGATTTTCAAAAGGGGAGGGAGTGTGCGAATAGGTGTGGGTGACAGACACCAAGTACTTAACAAGGTAATAGAATATCACAAGGCAAGTGGAGGCAGGGCGAGATCACAGGACCACAGGACCACAGGACCGAGGTGAAATTAAAATTGCTAATGAAGTTTCGGGCACCATTGTCATTGATAACATCTTATCAGGAGACAGGGTTTTGAGATCAACGGGTCTGAACAAAATTTATTAGGTGGGAATTTCCTCTTCCTAATAAGCCTGGGAGTGCTATGGGAGACTGGAGTTTATTTGACCTCTGCAATCTCGACCATAAGAGACAGGTATGCCCCGGGGGGGCCGGTTCAGAGACCTACCCCTAGGTGTGCATTCTCTTTCTCAGGGACGTTCCATGCTGAGAAAAAGAATTCAGTGATATTTCTCCCATTTGCTTTTGAAAGAAGGGAAATATAGCTCTGTTCTGCCCGGCTCACCGGCAGTCAGAGTTTAAGGTTATCTCTCTTATTCCCTGAACAATTGCTGTTATCCTGTTCTTTTTTCAGGGTGCCCACATTTCATATTGCTCAAACACACATGCTGTACAATTTTTGTAGTTAATGCAATTATTACAGGGTCCTGGAACGATATACATCCTCCTCAACTGACAGGATTAAGAGATTAAAGTAAAGACAGGCATAGGAAATCACAAGGGTATTGATTGGGGAAGTGATAAGTGTCCATGAAATCTTTATAATTTATGTTTAGAGACTGCAGTAAAGACAGGCGTTAAGAAATTACAAAAGTATTAATTTGGGGAACTAATAAATGTCCATAAAATCTTCACAATTCACGTTCTTCTGCCGTGGTTTCAGCCGGTCCCTCTGTTTGGGGTCCCTGACTTCCCGCAATAGGAGGATAGACAGATTGACAGAACAAATTAGAAAATCCAGCAATACACAAATATGCCTGTTGTGTAAGGCCTAAAATTAAAGCCCAATAATATGGACTGCTGCCTTGACATCTGGTGAAATCAGGAGGGCTCCTAATGCCCTAACTGTAAGATCTACTCCCCACTCTTCCTCATGGATAAGAATCAAGCAATGCTCTATATCAAAGGGACCAGGCACAGTTTCTGCTTATCTCAGAGTAATGGGGTTCAGTTCCTGCCAGCCCACAGAATTATTCAAACAAACCGGTACCTCCTCCCACAGGAACCAGGAGTTATCTCTCCCTCTTAATACTACAAAGCCTGTTTCCCACAGCCCTTGCTGGTTCACTCTGTTCCCAAATGCAGCCCCTATGTTGCCCAGTGGGCATGGGGTATCCTCCTCTCAGTACATGTGAGTCATAAACCACTGTGGAGCTCTTCTTTCCAGTGTCGGGTGTCAGGTGTTCAGCCATCCCCAAACCCCAGAGCTGGAATCTTCGCCTCACCAACAGAGTGAATGAGAGGGCATTAAAACAATGCCCAACTTATTTTTTTACTAAGAGGCCAAAGCAATTCAGTGAGGAAAAGATAGCCTTTTCAACAAATGGTGCAGGAAGAACTGGACAACCACAGGCAAAATAAATAAGCAAGCCACAACCTGAACCTTATACTTTATCAAATAATTAGACTTCCCCAAATTTTTTATAAAACATTTATTCAATGAAAGACTCCATTAAGAGAATGAAATGGGCCAGGTGCCGTGGCTCACACCTGTAATCACAGCACTTTGGGAGGCCGAGGAGGGTGGATCGCTTACGGTCAGGAGTTTCAGACCAGCCTGGCCAACATGGTGAAACCCTGTCTCTACTAAAAATACAAAAATTAGCCAGGCATGGTGTCAGACACCTGTAATCCCAGCTACTCAGGAGGCTGAGGCAGGAGAATTACTTGAACCCAGGAGGCAGAGGTTGCAGTGAGGCAAGATTGTGTGCCACTGCACTCCAGCCTGGACGACAGAGCAAGACTCTGTCTCAAAAAAAAAAAAAAAAAAAAAAAAAACAGAGAGAGAAAATTAAATGACAAGCTACAGACTGGGAGGAAATATCTGCAAGCCACATACCTGACAAAACACTAGTATCTAGAATTTATGAAGAATTCTCAAAACTCAACAGTAAAATAACAAGCAATTCGATTAGAAAATGAGGAAAAGACATTTCACCAAAAAAGATGTACAGAAGGCAAAGACGTACATGAAAAGATGTCCCACCATATTAGCCATTAGGGAAATGCAAATCAAACCCACAATGATATATCCCTACACACCTATCAAAATGACTGAAGTAAAAAGTAGTGCCAACACCATAAACTGATGAGGATGTGAGAAACGGGATCACTCATACATTGCTGGTGGGGACATAAAATGGTACCGCCATTCTGGAAAACATTTTGGCAGTTTCTTAAAAAGCTAAACATGCAGGCCAGGCACAGTGGCTCACACCTGTAATCCCAGCACTTTGGGAGGCAAAGATGGGTGGATCACGAGGTCAGGAGTTCAAGACCAGCCTGGTCAACATGGCGAAACCCCGTCTCCACTAAAAATACAAAAATAAGCCGGCCGTGGTGGCATGTGCCTGTAATCCCAGCTACTCAGGAGGCTGAAGCAGGAGACTCGCTTGAACCCAGGAGGCGGAGGTTGCAGTGAGCTGAGATCATGCCACTGCACTTCAGCTTGGGCAACAGAGCAAGACTCCATCTCAAAAAAAAAAAAAAAAAAAAAGCTAAACATGCCTCTACCCTACTACGCCTAGCAATTGCATTCCTGAAAATTTATCTCAGATAAATGGAAACTCCTATTTACACTAAAAAACCTGTTTATGAATGTTCATGGCAGCTTTATTTGTAATAGCCTTCAAACTGGAAACATCCCATGCATCTTTCAATGGGTGAATGGTTAAACGCACTCTCGTAAATCCATGTCATATACTCCTACTCAGCAATAAAAAGGAGTAAGTCATTGATACACACAATTTGGGTGACTCTCCAGAGAATTATGCTAAATGAAAAAAGCCAATCTTGGCCAGGCAAGATGGCTCATGCCTGCAATCCCAGCCCTCTGAGGGGCTGAGGTGGGAGAATCGCTTAAGCCCAGGAGGTTGATGCTGCAGTGAGCTGCGACAACACCACTGCACTCCAGCCTGGGCGACAGAGCAAGACCCTGTCTCAAAAAGAAAAAGAAGAAGGAGACATCAACTTCAAAAGGTCACATACTGCATGGCTTAATTTACACAATGTTCTTGAAATGACAAACAGAAATGGAGACCAGATGAGTGGTTGTCAGGAGTTAGGAAGGGGGTGGCAGCAGGAGGGAAGTGGTGTGGCTATTCAAGGGCAACATGAATCCTTGTGGTAATGGAAGTACAGCTGGCCCTCCATATCCATGGGTTCCTTATCTGTGGATTCAGCCAACCAAGATAAAAAATATTCAGAAAAGAAAGGATGGTTGTGTCTGTACTAAACATGTACAGACTTTTTTCTTGTCATTATTTCCTAGGCAATACAGTATAACAACTACTACATAGCATTTACATTGTATCAGGTGTTATAAGTCATCTAGAGATTAAAGTCTACAGGAGGATGTGCATGGGTTATATGCAAATACTATTATATGTCATTTTGTATCAGGGACTTGAAAAGTCGCAGATTTTGGTATCTACAGGGATCCTGGAACCAATCCCTCAGGGATATTGAGGAATTACTATATTCTGTATCTTAACTGTATCCATGTCAATATGCTGGTTGTCATATTGTTTTGCAAAGTGTTACCATTAGGAAAACTAGGTGAAGGGTACATGGGATTTCTCTGTATTATTTCTCACAACTGCATGAGAATCTACAGTTATTTCCAAATAAAAATTTTAATGTAACAAGTATATGAACTCAAAAAAGTTCAGCTGACCATGAGAATGGATATCTTATACCAAGGACTAAAGGAATCTTTTCCCCTACCAAGAATCTTGGCCAAATTTTTTTATTGGGAGTTGATAGCCTCTCAAAAATCATAAACTTTGTGATTTTTACAAAGGTTCTTTCTGGTGGTCCCTGGATGTCCAAGCCACATCTCATCACCCTTACTCATTTGCTCAAACCAGGCCAGCAAATTAGGCCTCAGTCTTAGGGATCACCCCTATTTCTGCACCCTGGTTATTCGAACCGCTTTTTAAGGCCTCCCTCCCAGGTGTTTCCCTGGAAGGACTCGCTACCAATGCTCTGGAGAACCAGATACAGGCAGTTCAGGCCATGGTTAAGGCTCTCCAGTTCCCTAGGGCTGACCTCATCCCCTTTTATAACAGCTACATTTTGATATATTTCACCTACCACACAATTCACTCATTTAATGTGTAAACTTGGTGGGTTTTAGTATATTCACAGGACTGTGCACCCATGAACAGAGGCAGTTTTAGAACATCTATTATTACTGCGAAAAGAAACCCCATACCCTTTAGCTGTTTCTCCCCTAAACTTCGTCCAGTCTGTCACCCTAGCTTAAAGAAACCACTAATTTAACTAAGAACCCACTGCCAAATCTGAGGTCATGAAATTTATCCGTTTTCTTCTAAGAGTTTTACCATTTTAGCTTTGATGCATTTTGCATTTATTTTTGTATATTGGGTTAGGTAAGAGTCCAGTTTTTGCATGTGGCTGTACAGGTGTCCCAGCACCATTTGTTGAAAAGACTATTCCTTCCCCATAGAATGGTCCTGGCACTCTTGTTGAAAATTAGTTGACCATAGACACATAGGTTTATTTCTGAGCTCAAAATTCTATTCTGTTGGTCTATATATCCATAATTTTACCAGTTCCATACTATCTTGACTACAGTTGCTTTATAGTAAGTTTTGAAATTAGTAAGTGTGAGTCCTTCCACTTCATTATTCTTTTGCAAGATTGTTTTGGCTATTCTAGATCCCTTGCAATTTCATATAAATGCTAGAATCAACTTTTCAATTTCTACAAATAATATAGCTGGGATTCTTATAGGGATTGCCTTGAATCTGTAGATCAATTTGGGTACTATTGTTATCTTGACAATAGTAAGTCTTCCAATCCATGAACGTGAGATGTTTTTTCATTTATTTATATCTTCTTTAATTTCTTTCAACAGTGTCATGTAGCTTTCAGAATATGTTTTGCCACTTCTTTTGTTAAATTTATTCCTAAGTATTTTATACTTTTTGATGCCATTGTATTACACATGGAATTGTTTTCTTTCCTTCCTTCCTTCCCTCCTTCTTTCCTTCGTTCTTTCTTTTTTTTTTTTTCTCTTTTTTGAGACAGGGTCATGCTCTATTGCCCAGGCTGGAGTACAGTGGCATGATCATGGCTCACTGCAGGCTCAACCCTCTGGGCTCAAGCAATCCTCCTACCTCAGCTTCCCAAGTAGCTGGGACTACAGGCCCACACCACTATACCTGGCTAATATTTGTATTTTTTGTAGAGACAGGGTCTCACTATGTTGTCCAGGCCGGTCTTGAATCCCTGGGCTTAAGCGATCCTCCTGCCTCAGCCCCCTAAAGTGCTGGGATTACAGGCATGACCCATCACGTCTGGTCTGGAATTGTTTTCTTAATTTTATTTTTGAATTGTTCATCACACATGTATAGAAATATTACTCATTTTTGGCCAGGCACGGTGGCTCATGCCTGTAATCCCAGCACTCTGGGAGGCTGAGGCAGGTGGATCACAAGGTGAAGAGATCGAGACCATCCTGGCCAACATGGTGAAACCCCCTCTCTACTAAAAATACAAAAATTAGCCATGCGTGGTGGCCTGTAGTCCCAGCTACTCGGGAGGCTGAGGCAGGAGAATTACTTGAACCTGGAAGGCAAAGGTTGCAGTGAACCAAGATCGTACCACTGCACTCTAGCCTGGCGACAGAGCGAGACTCCATCTCAAAAAAATAAAAATTAAATTAATTAAGTAAATAAATATTATTCATTTTTGTATATTGATCTTGTATCCAGCAATGTTGCTAAACTCATTTACTCTAAAAGGTTTTTAATGGATTCCTTAGCATTTTCTATACACAAGATCATATCACTTGTGAATAGAAATAGTTTTTCATGTTCAACCAACTAATTAAACATCTACAATGCTTTTTTTTTTGAGATGGAGTCTCACTCTGTTGCCCAAGCTAAAGTGCAGTGGTGTGATCTTGGCTCACTGCCTCCCAGGTTCATGTGATTCTCCGGCCTCAGGCTCCTGAGCAGCTGAGATTACAGGCACACACCACCCCACCTGGCTATTTTTTTATTTTTAGTAGAGATGGGGTTTCACCATGTTGGCCAGGCTGGTCTTGAACTCCTGACCTTAGGTGATCCACCCGCCTCTGCCTCCCAAAGTGCTAGGATTACAACCATGAGCCACCACACCTGGCTCTATTATTCTCTCCCTCTGACATTTCTGTTCACCACTGCAGCACTCTGAATCCTGCCATTCTCCTGCTCCTAACAGGAAAAAAAAAAAAAAGAGGGAACTCACAATTGTCTTACCTAACAGAAAGTTATGGAACTTTCTGTACCTCAGATCCATCAGAGACTCCTGTGACAACCATGGCCTAATATTTTTGTTGTTGTTTATGATGGATGATACCTGAAAACTGAAACTGGAAGTTATTAAGCAGGATAAGCTATTACTAATTTAAGTTCTCTTTAGAATATAGTCCCCTATCTGAGGTAAAATCAGCCCAGATGGCAGAACTTATCTCAGTTACTATATAGAGCTCATCAACTAGCCAAATACCAGAGAGTAAACATATATACAGATAGCAGACATGCTTGGGAGGAGTATATGACTTTAGGGTACTCTAAAAACAAAGAGTGTTTCCTAACCTCAGATAGAACCCTCTTCGAAAATGAACAACAAATTAAAGAACTTATATTAGGTAGATGCACCCCTACTTCTTAGATTGTAGCTGTTATGAAAGCTAAGGCTCATGAAAAGATAGTATGAGAAGTGATAATACGAAAAAGATAATATGGAAGTGAAAGAAAATGCTCTAGCTGATTACCACGCCAAAGAAGCAGCCTTAACCAAGGCTATGTTCCTAACTGAACCCTCAAAGGATCCATCTCTGGAGGAATTCCAAGAGATTCAAAAATATCAACATTAAGGCCCTGATTCTGGAAATGAAAAGTGTTAAAAATTATAATCTTCACTCAAATAATCCCTAGTGGTCCCAAAATGGCCATGTGGTTGTGCCAGGTTTTTTCAAGTGGATATCAGCTAAATTTCTCCATTATATTATCCATTATGGTACATATGACTGTTACTATCTTAAATTAACATTGATGCAGAAACTTTAAAGAACAGCTTTTTAACAGTATTTTTAGGCTGCACACCATCTGTCAACATAGTCCTGGAAAAACTGTAAAGGTAGGACATGGCCAGGAACCAAAGTCTCAAGAGCCCTCTGGAAACTTTCAGATGGATTTTATCCAGCCTCCTCCCTTCATGATATTTGAATATGTTTTAGTTATTGTATGTTTTAGTATTGTATGTATTATATTAATGGGGTTGAAGCATTTCCTTTCTGAAAATTTGCAGTCCTTACAGCCACTAAGAAGTTTCCAACCTGGAACATCCAAACTTTTATAGCAAGTGATCAAGGCACATACACTTTAGGGGAACTGATAAATTAATAGTTTGGATATTTGTCCCCACCCAAATCTTATGTTGAAATGTAATCACTAATGTTGAGGTTGGGGCCTAGTGGGAGGTGACTGGATCATGGGTGTGGAGTTCTCATGAATGGAGTGCATTCTCATGAGATCTGGTCATTTAGGAGATACCTGCCCCCATCAACTCTTTCTCACTCCTGTTTTCACCATGTGATGTGGCTACTCACCCTTCACCTTCCACCATGATTGTAGCTTCCTGAGCCCATACCCAGAAGCTGAGCAGGTGTCAGCACTATGCTTCCTGTAAAGCCTGCAGAACTATGAACCAGTTGAACCTCTTTTCCTTACAAATTACTCAGTCTCAAGTATTTCTTTATAGCAATGCAAGAACGGCCTAATATAGAAAATTGGTATCCAGCAGTGGGACATTGCTATAAAGATAACTGAAAATGCAGAAGCAGCTTTGTAACTGGGTAACAGCGAGAGGGTGGAAGAGTTTGGAGGGCTCAGAGGCAGACAAGATGATGAGGGAAAGTTTGGAACTTCTTAAAGACTAGTTAAGTACTTGTGACCAAAATGCTTATAGTGATATGGACAGTGAAGTCCATGCTGCCAAGGTATCAGATAGAAATGAGAAACATATTGAGAACCAAAGCAAAGGTCACCCATTATGCCTTAGCAAAGAACTTGGCTGTATTATATCCATGCCCTAGGGATCTGTGGAAGTTTAAATTTCAGAGTGATGATTTAAGGTGTCTGCCAGAAGAAACTTCTAAGCAGCAAAGCATTCAAGATGTGGCCTGGTTGCTTCTAATAACCTACGCTCAGATGTGGAAGCAAATACATGACTTAAAGTTGGAATTTGTATTTCAAAGGGAAGTAGAGTGTAAAAGTTTGGGACATTTGCAGCCTGACCTTGTGGCAGAGAAAGAAAAAGCTTTACTGGGAGAGGAATTCAAGCAGGATGTGGAGCAACTACTTGCTAGAGATATTTGCATAACTAAAAAGGATCCAAGTGCTAATAGCCAAGACAATGGGAAAAAAGCCTCTAAGGCATTTCAGAGACCATTGTGGCAGCCCCTCCTGTCACAGGCCCTGAGGCCTAGGAGGACTGAATGGTTTTATGGGCCAGGCCCATGGCCATGCTGCCCTGCACAGCCTCAGGACAGTGCTGCCTATATCTGCTGCTTTAGCTCCAGCTGGGGTTCAAAGGGGCTCAGGTACAGCTCAAGCTGCCACTTTGGAGAATGCAAGCAGTAAGTTTTGGTAGCTTTCACGTGGTATTAAACCTGTTGGTGTGCAGAGTGCAAGAGTGAAGAATGCTTGTCAGCCTCCATCTAGATTTCAGAGTCTGTATGAGAAAGACTCAGTGCCCAGGCAGAAGCCTGCTGTGGGGGTGGAGCCCTCACAGAGAACCTCAACTAGGTCAGTGTCAAGGGGAAATGTGGGGTTGGAGCCCCCACACAGTGTCCCCAATGGGGCACTGCCTAGTGGAGCTGTGGGAAGGGGGCTATTGCCCTCCAGATTCCAGAATGGTAGAGCCACCAGCAGCTTGCAATCTCAGCATGGAAAAGCCACAGAGGTGGAGCTGCCCAAGGCCTGGGAGCCCACCCCTTGCAGCAGTGTGCCCTGGATGCAGGATATGGAGTCAAAGGAGGTTATTTTGGAGCTTTGAGATTTAATTACTGCCCTGCTGCATTTCAGAGTTGCATGGGGACTGTAGCCCCTTTCTTTTGGCCATTTTCTCCCATTTGGAATAGGAATATTTACCCAATGCCTATACACCCCTTGTATCTTGAAAGTAAATAACTTGATTTTTTTTATTTTTTAGGCTCATAAGTGAAAGCACTTGCCTTGTCTCAAATGAAACTTGAGACTTCAGACTTTTGAGTTAACTCTGGAATGAGTTAAGACTTTGGAAAACTATTGGGAAGGCATGAATGTATTTTGCAATTTGAGAAGGACATGAGATTTGGAGGGGGCCAAGGACAGAATGAAATGGCTTAGATATTTGTCCCCACTGAAATCTCATGTTGAAATGTAATACCAATGTTGAGGGTGGGGCCTGGTGGGAGGTGATTTGTTCATGGTGGTGGAGTTCTCATGAATGGAAAAAGTGCTTACAAGATCTGGTCATTTAAAAGTATGTTGGGGAGGCAGCCATAAAAAAGGATGAGTTCATGTCATTTGCAGGGACATGGATGAAGATGGAAACCATCATTCTCACAAACTATCACAAGGACAGAAAACCAAACACCACACGTTCTCACTCATAGGTGGGAATTGAACAGTGAGAACACTTGGACACAGGGAGGGGAAAATCACACACCGGGGCCTGTCAGTGGGTGAGGGGAGCTGAGGGTGGGGATAGCATTAGGAGAAATACCTAATGTAAATGACGAGTTGATGGGTGCAGCAAACCAACATGGCACATGGATACCTATGTAACAAACCTGTACACCGTGCACATGTACCACAGAACTTAAAGTATAATAATAATAAAACTCCAGAAAAAATTTTTTAACATTTTTTTAAAAAGTATGTTGGGGAGCCAGGCACCATGGCTCACGCCTGTAATCCCAGCACTTTGGGAGGCTGAGGTGGACAGATCACTTGAGGTCAGGAGTTTGAGACCAGCCTGGCCAACATGGTGAAACCCCATCTCTATTAAAAATGCAAAAATTAGCCAGGTGTGGTGGCATTTGCCTGTAATCCCAGGGAGGCTGAGGCAGGAGAATCACTTGAACCCAGGAGGCAGAGGTTGCAGTAAGCCGAGACTGCACCACTGCACTCCAACCCGGTTGACGGAGCAAGACTTCATCTTGAAAAAATATATATATATATATGTTGGGATGTTGGGGGAGCTAAACTATGAGGACACAAAGGCATAAGAATGATACAATGGAGCCGGGTGCAGTGGTTCACGCCTGTAATGCCAGCACTCTGGGAAGCTGAGGCAGGCAGATCACGAGGTCAGGAGTTAAGAGACCAGCCTGGCCAACATAGTGAAACCCCGTCTCTACTAAAAATACAAAAATTAGCCGGGCATGGTGTTGTGTGCCTATAGTCCCAGCTACTCGGGGGGCTGAGGCAGCAGAATTGCTTGAACCCGGGAGGTGGCGGTGGCAGTGAGCCGAGATCACGCCACTGCACTCCAGCTTGGGCAACAGAGTGAGACTTCATCTCAAAAAAAAAAAAAGAAAAGAAAGGAATGATACAACAGACGGACTTCAGGGACTCAGGGACTCAGGGGAAACGGTGGGAGGAGGATTAGGGATAATATACATTGGGTACAGTATATACTGCTTGGGTAATGGGTGCACCAAAATGTCATAAATCCCCACTAAAGAACTTATTCATGTAACCAAATACCACCTGTTCCCCAAAAACCCAGTCTCAGGTATTTCTTTATAGCATTACAAGAACAGGCTAATACAGGAACCACATAACAAAACTCCATAAGGCATTAACGCTTACTCAAAAATTATACTTCTTTTACTATCCACAATCTTCTGGAAAGCTTGGAAGAATAAATAGCATCCTTAAGTTAAAATTAACAAAATTTTCAGAAACCCTTGCACTCTCTAGGCAAAGGTACTTCCAGAATACCTTAGGGCCATTTGGTTCACTCCCCTGGGGACGTATCAGTTCTCCCCCTAAGAACTGGTAACTGGAAGGCCCACTTATTTAGGGATTTTACCTCCAATACTATACTCTACCATGCTGTATGAAGGCATGGAAAAATAGGGTAAAGGACTCAAGTACTGTCACCAACAGTCTTATCACCAACAGGTTGAGGCCACCTTCCCGCATCTTCCTAAACAGCCTCTTTATAATGTTAAATCATAAGATTTTGTCTACTGGAAGAGTCATCCAAGAAAAACTGTTTTTGAACCTTATTGTGAGGGACATTATCAGGTACCATTAGCAAAAAATACAGCAGTGAAACTCCAGGGAATAAATCAATCAAACTCTAGGGAGTCAAGTTGTACTCATTTTGCAACTAAGGAAAAAATTAAGAATTGACACAACAAGATGGCTACTCCAATAGAAAATTACAAACTAGGATTCTCCAGGGTATTCTATACATAGCTGATCTTCAGAACTATACAGATAATTCAAGACCCTCAGAATAAATTATCTTGAATAGTAGATAGCCTCTGCCCAAGATATCAGTCCAAGACGTCTGTAAAAATTCTGTTTTGTTTTTCATCTGCTTGCTTATGGTCATTCTTCTTTTCATTTTCTATAGACCCCTGGTTGTCACCCACCCACAGTGGCCCTTTGTCTCTTTTCTTTCATTTTTGTTATAGTTGTTACATCAGAACATGCTCATTCTAATGCCATTCTTACATTTTCCTAAACAGTAGCCAGTACCCTCAATCTTACCAACATTGGTTATACCATCTGTCACCAGACCACCATGATAAATACATTTGACAAGCTCTAGTCTCATCAAATGAGTCTATAGGGAATAATAGACAATGGCTTTTTCACTTGCACCTACAGAACAAATGACATTAAATAAACCCAGCTGTGGTTTTACTAGTGTCCTTCTCTCCCAGAAAAAGAACCAATTATGATAGTATATTGATCTGACTCCAGGTAATTCTAAATTTGAATCCAATGAACTTCATAGGGTGATGAATTAGTTACTTATCACCTGGAAGAGACATTAATAGGAATCCAAATTTGTAACACAGTTAATGTAAGGCCTTTGTTCCAATTTTGAGCCATGAAACAACTCCCTTTTTTTCTGGAGTTTTGTGTGCCCCTACCAGGTTCACTTCATTTTTCCCAGGACATCTAGTCTTATTTTCCCCAGATTAAGGAATAGTATTTCAAGACTTGCCTGTGTATTGAAATCCTAACTCTAGTCACCAATGCTGGAAATTCCAACTCAGGCAGGAGCTCCAAATGAGATCACCCGTGATTCTTCAGGCACTCTACTTGAGGAATTGCTTACTTACTGTTTATGTGAACAGAGCAGTGCTCCAATGGTGGGAAATAAAAAGACTGAAAAAGACCTATCACTAACTCTGGCCGAAGTTATGAATGACACCACCTCTTCCCTAGATGGAATACAGATCTGTCTCAACTTACTGGCACAAGTTGTGATGGACAATTGCATTGCTAGGATTATTTGTTGGCTAATCATGATAGCATCTGTGTCATTGCTATTACTTCTTACTCTACTTGGATTAATCAAACAGACATGGTAGAATAAGCTATACATCACCTTAAAGAAAGCACTTCTTTGCTCAATGCTTCTGTACAGCTGCTCTCTTATCAGATGATTGCCATAATGATAGAACAAAAAGATCAAGAAGATATCCTGGTACAGTTTACTACAGAGACAACTGAACAATCTCCAAGTGGTGAAGATCTGGATCTCTTGCCTTCTCTGAACTGGTCAATCTTTCTCAACAAAGAGAATGATCAAAAGGGAAGTCCTTGACAGTCTTAGTGTTTGTGACTTATTTGAATAATAACTGAATCATTTTCATATTGATTTGTTTGAGGGTGTGTGCTTGTGTAATAAAGAACTTGGGCCAGGTGTGGTGGCTCACATCTGTAATCCCAGCACTTTGGGAGGCCGAGGCGGGTGAATCACCTGAGGTCAGGAGTTCAAGACCAGCCTGACCAACATGGAGAAACCCGTCTCTATTAAAAACACAAAATTAGCCGGGCATGGTGGTGCATGTCTGTAATCCCAGCTACTCAGGAGGCTGAGGCAGGAGAATTGCTTGAACCCGGGAGGCAGAAGTTACAGTGTGCCAAGATCGTGCCACTGCACTCCAGCCTGGGCAACAAGAGTTGAAACTCTGTCTCAAAATAAATAAATAAAATAAAAATAAAGAACTTGGCTGGACTTTATCCCTAGTTCCTGAGAAATAACCTCTAGATCATTGGAATTTCCTGAGGGATACAAGTGCCTTTTACTATTCATGGTGGGCCACATCTTGTGGGGGTTCAGTCAGGATGGTGGGGAAAATTAAATGACGCAAACATTCTTGGAAGGCCTGGAGGGCTTGCTCCAGTAATAAACTTGGCTGAAGGCAGCCTTGTACTCTTAGTTAAATAAATTAAAGTAGAAAGAAAGGAATGTGGGGAGTTTACCTAACTAGTTTGTTTATTCATGTGGTCCTAAGACTAACCTTTGATTTACAGTGGGTGCTTAATTGCTTTCTACTTGGGAAGTCCACAGTGTCAATTACCATCTAGTGGTGTTGACTCAAGCCTCTGTCAATTAATCTTTACTGAATAAATGCAAGTCTCACTAGCTGGTCAGGGCAGCGGTCCCAACTGTTGATAGCACTCTGCTTGGAGTCTGTAAGCAGCCCAGACACTCAGCTGGACTGGCAAAGCAGAGTATCTGTGTGTCAGTGTACTTTATTCATCCATTGTTGGGTCAGGGTCTGCAGGACAGACCCCCGCATTTTCTGATAGTTTATGCTACAGAGGTGACTGACAGTTGGCCTCTACTTTATGCTAATGAGATAGCAGGATGGTTGCTGGTCATGCCAGAAATACCAAGCATGTAATTAGAGTTGGGGCTTTCAGGCATGTAATATCAGTAGGGAGAGGAGGGGGAGCTGGTGATTGAGTTCAACTGTGAGGTCAATGATTCAATCATTCATGAATATTTAATAAAACCCCAATAAAAACTCTGGACACCAAAACTCATGTGAGCTTCCATGGTAGGCATTTCTCTGTGCATTGTCACACATCAGTGTGCCAGCAGGGTAACATGCTGCTGGGGAGACAGAAGCTTTGCATTTGGGGTACTCCCATACTCTTCCCTATGCATCTCATCCTTGGGCTGGTTCTGATTTGTGTCCTTTTTCTATAATTGTCATCAAAAATATAGTACTCTCCTGAGTTCTGATATACATTCTAGAAAGTTATCAACCTGCAGATATCATGAGAATTCCTGAATTTGTAACCAATTGATTATAAGTAAAGGTAGCCTGGGAACTCCCAAATTCATGGCTGTTATCTGAAGTGAGGGCAGTCTTGTGGGCTACTGTATCCTTAACACATGAAATTTGGCTTAACTCTGGGTAATTGGTATCAGAAGTCATCACAGTCCTACAAAATACACTGAATTTCTATGTAACCACACACACACACACACCCCAACCTATCCCTAAAAGATGGAACAGTGCTAATCTATATTTGAATTTGAAAAATAACTACAGTAAGCAATATTACATTTTTCTAAAGAAATATTTAATTGGTAGTCTTCTAGAAAGAAGGCTTTTCATATAGTACAAAAACATGCAGTCGGAAGCACTGAGAAAACTGGGCAACATAAGAGAAGCATGAGATGTGACATGAAGCAGCTGATAGTCTATGTAAGTCAAAAATAAAATTCTAAGCACACAACCAACTGAATCGACCCTTCCACTTGGCCAAGAGCATTCTAAAGTAAACCTGAAACACTAGCTCAGGCCATGATGGGAATGGGTGGTCAGACATACCTCATTATACCTTCCTCTCTTTGGAATTCAGGCACAGTGGACCAGCATTAACATTAAAACAGAGACCTTAAGACTGACAAAAACAGGCTCTTTGTAGCAATAAGATAACATGACAGATAACAGGCCCTGAGAGAAATCTAAGTATTTTATCCTAAAATAAATTTCTCTTAAGTCTGATAAGAAACATTTACAATCTATTCTCTCTGAAGCCTGCTACCTTCTGGCTTCATCTCACAGTAAGAACCTTGGTCTCCACAACACCTTATCTTAACCCAGACATTCCCTTCTATTGATTCCAGGTCTTTGGATAAACCCACTGCCAATCAGAAAATCTTTGAATCCACCTATAACCCAGAAGGCCCTCCCTCTGTCCCTGTCCCTTCCCCACCAGCTTCAAGTTGTCCTGCCTTTCTCCATCGAACCAATGTAAATCTTACATGTATTGATGTCTTACATTCCCCTAAAATGTAAAAATGCATGAAACCAAGCTGTAGCCTGACAGCACAATTGTCTCTTCCTCTCACGTACCTTTGCCATGTTAACCATACTCGTCAGTTTGAACCCAGTGTCCTGCCCTCCAAAAATCCTTTGCACTTCCTACAAGATAAATCCTCACTCCCGTGTTTGGTAATGTCCTCTTTAGGCTGCCCCAACCTGCTGCTGCTCCTGACAAGAGCCACCTTGGGCACATGTTCTCAGGATCTCCTGGGGCTGTGTCAGACTTGTTTCTTATCAGACTTAAATCTATTTTGGCGTAAAACACTTTGATTTCTCTCAGGACTTACTGTCATGTTGTTATTGCTACAAAGAGTCTGTTTTTGTTAGTCTTAAGGTCTCTGTTTTAAGGCAAATGCTGGTCAACTGTGCCTACAGGTCACTCATATTTATCTCAGAATAAATCTCTTAAAATATTTTACCATTTGACTTTTTCCATTGTCATCTGGTTCAGGAAACAAGAAAGTGGTAAAGTGATAAAAAATTATTTAAATAGATCAAGACAGTGATACGATTTACCACAAGTCTAGATATTGTCCATTTTTAAAAACTTACACAAACAAATATGTTTATGATTACAAATGGTAAGATATGACTTCATATCAGTTTTCAAGAGAACACCTCTCCAAGGAAGGGAAATTTACACAGGTTTCTGACTGATTATGTAGGCTTTAGGTAAGTAGAGAAGGTGCCCCCGGCTGATAGAACAGCTAAGGTAAAGGTTTGCAGGCTGAGATGTGGAAAGGCATGTCTGAGGGATGACAAGAGAGCATTTGTGTGCAATGGAGGCTTCTGTCAGGAGCAGCAGGAGGTTGGAGCAGCCTAAAGAGGGCATTATATACCACACACGGGGGGTGAGGATTTATCTTGTAGGCCGTGCAAAGGATTTTTGGAGGGCAGGACACTGGGTTCAAACTGGTAAGTATGGTTAATATGGCAAGGATACATGAGAAGAGGAGACAGATTTTGGACGAAGACCAGTTACAAAATTGTGACAGATGTCTAGGTATAAAGTGATCTGGGTAGGTACAGAAAAGGGCACTGGGAAAAAAGGGAGAGACGGAGCAAGAAAATATTTGCTATTTCTGCTCCTGTAAACCTTGGCTGTCCAGGAATAAATTTCTGTGTGATCTTGACCTCAGCTGTCCAAGTACTTCCAGATCCAGATGCCTCCTGTGCATCCTACCTGCCCTGGCCAACCTTGTGGACTCTTAGACCCAGCCTGTCTGCATGGGCCCACTTTGAGCTGGTTCCCTGAATTCTGGGCTCAACTTCCTCATCTGGACTTTAAATGCTTAAAGTATTTTCCTCAGTATAAGCTAATCCTTATTAGGCAAGTATCCTTTGGTCTACGCCAGCTCCTGGTCTAGGCTTCTCCACCTGAGTTACAGAGCCAACATGGTAGGAACTTTAAAGCAGAGCCTGACAAGGTTCTGAGACCCAGTAAATGTAGGGGTAACTGTTACAGAAAATAAAAAGTGATACCAAAAATGCATAGATGGCTTGAAGTAACAAACAAAACAGGAATACTTGTTTAGCAATGGTTGGTATATGTGTAAATTTGATTTTGAAAAATGATTTTATTGAGGTATATTTACCATAAAATCTGCCCATATAAAGTGAACAATTCAATGATTTTTAGTGAAGTTACCAAATCGTTCAACCATCACCACCATCTAGTTTTAGAACATTTTCGTCACCCTAAAAAGATTCCTTGTAACATTTGCAGTTACTTTGTTTCTGAAGATCTGCCATTTCTGGACATTTCCTAAAATGGTACTAGAAAATACCTGGTCTCTGGCATCTGCCTTCTTTCACTTAGAATCACGTTTTTGAGATCTGGATTGTGCATAATACCCATATTTTAGTTGTTTTTTTTTTTTTTTTCTGAGACGGAGTCTCACTCTGTCTCCCAGGCTGGAGTGCAGTGGCGTGATCTCGGCTGACTGCAAGCTCTGCCTCCCCGATTCACGCCATTCTCCTGTCTCAGCCTTCCAAGTAGCTGGGACTACAGGCGCCCGCCACCATGCCTGGCTAATTTTTTTGTATTTTTAGGAGAGACAGGGTTTCACTGTGTTAGCCAGGATGGTCTCGAACTCCTGACCTCGTGATCTGTCCGCCTCGGCCTCCCAAAGTGCTGAGGTTACAGGCGTGAGCCACCGCGCCCAGCCTATTTTAGTAATTTTAATGTTTAAACAAGGTTTCATTTCATTTCAAAAATTCCAAATCTATTAGCATAAAGATGTAACAAAAATTGCTTTTTGCTCAATCCTAGACCACTCCATTGCCTCACAAAGAAAGGTAACATGTGCTACAGAGAAAGAAGTGCATAGAGGTGTTGTACTGCAAAGATCCAGTCTATTAATCTCCATACTACAGCTGTGAACCACAGGAAAGAGGCCCAGCCCAGTTAGGACTATAGGCCAAGGCATGTCACTTTCTGAACATCAGTTTTATTAGCTCTAAAATACGACTGGGCTAGATCATGGGTAGCTGTCTACCTTTCTCAGCCTCCATCCTCTGCACCCATGCATGACACCCTGCCCCGTCAGTAACAGCATGAGGAGGCAATGCACAAGTGTCGTTATACAAATGGCCCCACCAGGCAGAAAATCACCAGACAAGGTGATTTCTCAGCTTCTTTTCAGCTCTAGTTTTATACATCTCAAGTTGGAAAGGAACTTTCCTCACATTCATCATGTTCCCAAGGTTTCTCTTTGAGATGAATACTGAAGCTTGAACTCTACTAATGGGTTTTCCCAGTTTCACTAAATTTGAAGAGTTGCTCTAGCACAAATTCTCTAATGTACAAATTCTCTAACGTGTTTTGGTGGAACATCCACCAAAGCCCTTCCCACATTCATCACGTCACCAGAGTTTCCAGCTAGTAGGGAGAGTTCTAAGGGGTTTATAAAGCAATGAGGTTTGGCTGAAGGCTCTCCCACATTACCCACATTCACAGGTTTTTCTCAGGTATGAATTTTCTGATGCTTAATAAGGGATGAGCCCTGACTGAAGGCCTTCCTCTATTTCCTGCTTTCATAGGGCCTCTCTCTAGTATGTGTTCTTGATGCTTAGTAAAGGAAGAGATACAACTGAAGATTTTTCCATACTTACCACACTTGTAGGATTTCTCTCCAGTACAAGTTATCTGATTTTCTTAAAGAATCAGTATGTAACTGAAGGCTTGCCACACTCACTGCATTGATAAGGCTCCTCCCCAGTGTCGGCTGTCTGATGCTGAATAATATGCATCCTCTGATCAAAGCGTTCCCACATTCATTACATTCACGTGGTTTCTCACTAGTATGGATTCTCCCATGTTTGGTAAGAGAGGGGAAGCCCACCCCCTCTTGACATTGACAGGGATTCTCTTTAGTAATTATTGCCTGATGTGGAACAAGATGTGGTCTTCCCACATACATTACACCTTTAGGATCTCTCTCTGATATGAATTCTTTAAGTTCCAGTGATGTCTGCACTCCAGCTGAAAGCCCTTCTATATTCACTGAATTTATAGGGTTTTTTTTCCAGCATGACTTCTCTGATGTTTAATAAGGGATGCAGTATGAGCAAAGGCCCTTCCACACTCATTACATTTGTAGGGTTTCTCTCCAGTGTGAAATCTGTAATGTTGAGTGAGAGATGAACTCTGGCTGAAGGCTCTCCCACATTTATTACATTTGTAAGGTTTCTCTCCAGTATGAAATCTGTAATGCACAATGAGTGATGAGCTCTGGCTGAAGGTTCTCCCACATTCCCGGCATTCATAGGGCTTTTCTCCAGTATGAGTCCTCTGATGCTTAATAAGGGATGAAGTGTGACCAAAGGCTCGTCCACATTCATTACATTTGTAGGGTTTCTCTCCAGTGTGAAATCTATAGTGCAGAACAAGAGACGAACTCTGGCTGAAGGCTCTCCCACATTCACTGCATTCATAGGGCTTTTCTCCAGTATGAGTTCTTTGATGTTTAATAAGGGATGAAATATGACCAAAGGCTCTTCCACAGTCACTGCATTCATACGGCTTTTCTCCAGTGTGACATCGCTGATGGCGCCTAAGTTCTGACTGGAAGTGAAAGGACTTCCCACACTCATTACATTTACAAGATTTCTTTTCTGGGTGGGTTCTCTGAGAGTTGTTTCCCCCTAAAGTCTGCCTGAATTCTGTATCACATTTATAAGATCCTTCTCCCATGAGAATGCTGTGTTGGTTAACAAGGACTGATCTTAAACCTAAGCTTCTCCCAAATCCATTCCATTTATAATCTCTGCTAAGGGTGGTGGCAGATTTGTGAATGGTTGACATTTGTTTCAGGTGTCTCTCCTGTTTTATCTGCTGCATCTCTAACTGGCCATCACAACCGCAGGCTGCTTTCAAC